>NC_000017.11:18672929-18975959 GCF_000001405.40 Homo sapiens | reverse complement strand
GCCTCGACCTCCCAAAGTGCTGGGATTACAAGCGTGAGCCACCGTGCCCAGCCCAAAAGAGTTACTTTTTAAACAGCTTTATTGAGATATTCACAGACCATATAATTCACCCAAAGTGTACACTGTTCCCATGGTTTTTAGTACGTTCACAAAGTTGTACGACCTATGACTCTGAAACGTAACTAGTTTTCCTTTGCGGTTCCACAGTTTAAGTCACCAGCTGCAACTCAGGAGCAGGAAGCCTCTATGATTTTTTTTTTCTTTGAGATGGAGTTTCACTCTTGTTGCCCAGGCTGGAGTGCAATGGCGCAATCTCGGGTCACCGCAACCTCTGCCTTCCAGGGTTCAAGGGATTCTCCTGCCTCAGCCTCCCAAGTAGCTGGGATTACAGGCATGAGCCACCACGCCCGGCTAATTTTTTTTTGTATTTTTAGTAGAGATGGGGTTTTACCATGTTGGTCAGGCTGGTCTTGAACTCCCGACTTCAGGTGATCTGCCCGCCTCGGCCTCCCAAAGTGCTGGGATTACAGGTGTGAGCCACCGCATCCGGCTGCCTCCGTGATTTTAACTTACTTTCCAAGCTTGCTAGTTTAACGGACGGCTCCCAGCATTTACCCCTAAGCTGTGGATGTCACGGAAACATTAATTACAGAGGCTAGGAATGCCTGCGGGCTGCAGCCTCCGAACGCAGGGCAAGCTGCTGTCCTTCCTGCTTCTCTGCCAGCTTGCTGTGACTTGGGAGAAGCCCTTGCCTCAGTTTGGGCCTCAGTTGCCCCATCTGGACAATGAGAGAGTTAGACGGTGGTTCTGTCTAGGTGCTTGGGAGAGAAGCATTTCCCTAAGACCCTGAATGTCTTTTTGCCATTGGTGGGATATTTGCCTCTATATTCCAATCTGTGCTCATGTCAGCTGGCCCTGGGACAGGTGCTGTCACCCCAAGTAGAGAAGCTGAGGCTCAGAGTTTCCATGAGCTGTGAGGCCTGCCAGTCCCCCTGAATAGGGCAGGGGCTTTCCCCACCCCTGACTGTCAGATAGCAAGGCTGGGCCCCCAACTCAGATGTCAGCAGGCCACTGCTCACCCCCACCTCCCAGCACTGGTGTCTAGTCCCAGCCAGGCGCTCTTCCCTGAGGAAGCCGGCACTCACTCCCTGAGTGGCCATTTCACCTTGGGCTCCTCATCTGCAAAATGAGGAGAGTTGTTGCAACGACTTAAGTGAGGCTGCTAGTGTAGCCGGCCAAGCCTGTCCCTGGCTCCTCAAGGGCCTCCGGTGAATGTGAGTTCTCTTTCTCAGGGAAGATGATGAGTGAGTTTTGGGGTGTGGCCATTGGAGTCAGCACGCTGCCCACGAAAGCTGTGGTTGCTGTTATGACTGAGGTGGCTGCTACTGACTAAGGGAGGGCACCCGGCCTGGAGCTGCGGCATCAGCAGGTGACAGAGCTGGCAGGACCCTGGGAGGCCTTCTGGTCTGTGCACTGCCCTGTTTCACAGACAGGGACACCAAGGCCCAGGGAGGGGCAGGGGCATAGCCCAGACGGGAGCCCAGACCAGGGCTCTGTCCACTGGACCCTTTGCCTCTTTGTTACTGGTTTTGTTTCTGGTTAGAAAAATGCCACCTACTTGTCATGGATGAGCCAGAAGATAGTGAACGGTCCATGCCTGTATCCCAGCACTTTGGGAGGCCAAGATGGGTGGATTACTTGAGGTCAGGAGTTCAAGACCAGCCTGGCCAACATGGTGAAACCCCATTTCTACTAAAAATACAAAAATTGGCTGGGCATGGTGGCTCATGCCTGTAATCCCAGCACTTTGGGAGGCCTAGGTGGGCGGATCACGAGGTCAGGAGTTCGAGACCAGCCTTGCCAACATGGTGAAACCCCGTCTCTATTAAAAATACAAAAATTAGCCGGGCATGATGGTACACGCTTGTAATCCCAACTACTTAGGAGGCTGAGGCAGGAGAATTGCTCAAACCCAGGAGGCGGAGGTTGCAGTGAGCTGAGATCACACCACTGCACTCCAGCCTGGGTGACAGAACAAGACTATGTCTCTGGGAAAAAAAAAAAAAAAAAAAAAACTTAAAAAAAAATACAAAAATTAGCCGAGTGTGGTGGCACATGCCTGTAGTCCCAGCTACCTGGGTGGCTGAGACAGGAGAATCACTTGAACCCAGGAGGCGGAGGTTGCAGTGAGCCGAGATGGTGCCACTGCACTCCAGCCTGAGCAACAGAGCAAGACTCCATCTTAAAAAAAAGCAAAACACCCCTATGGTCTCAACACACAGAACTGCTACCTCCCTTCTGACTAGACTGTGGCTATCTTTGAGGGCTACCCTGGCCACAGAGCAAAGTGGAGTCAGACCTCTAGGTGCCCCTAAAAGTCCCCAGTGTCAGTGAGAGCCACACAGAGACCAGGAACCTCAAGTAGGACTAGTGCCTGGGTTTCTGGACCGAGGCCCCGCATCCACCAGGCAGACCCAGCCCAAGGGGTAGAGGATGGGGAGGTAGGGCAGAGGCCAGGCTACAGCTCCAATGCTGGTTGGTGTCCTGAACCACCTGGGGTCAGCAGTGTTCCTCCTCCACCTCCCTGTGTGATCCTCTCTGGGCCTCGGGCTCCTTATCTGTGCAGTGGGGCCTGCCCAACCCTGACCCCAAGGCCAGGACATGTGCAGATTCGTTTGGCCTTGATGGGAAAATCTCCTGACTGATGTTCCACCCAGAGAAGACCGTGCCATGCCAAGCCCATGCTGCATTGGGAGGAGGTGGGAGGTGGCGGGTGTAAAGGGGCTCAGCCTGGCAGGGTACCACTTGCCTACTGTGCCCTCCACGGCCAACCTTTCACCAGCCCCTTGCCCACTGGGGCTGGCCCTCAGCCCTCCCAGGAGAACTGGGCAGACGCCTGCTGTGAGCCCACATGTTCCCTGGAAAGCCCTCCCATGAGGCATGGCGGATGTGGGCAGCTTGTGAGCACAGCATGCCGGAGCATGAGGGGCCCTGCTTGAGGACCACGTGTTACAGATGGGGAAACTGAGGCCCAGCCTTCCAGAGCTTCTGATAGCTCCTAGTTGGGGTCTGTTCTTTTTTTTTTTTTTTTTAGACGGAGTCTCGCTCTGTCCCCCAGGCTGGAGTGCAGTGGCACAATCTCGGCTCACTGCTCACTGTCAACTCCACCTCCTGGGCTCACGCCATTCTCCTGCCTCAGCCTCCCGAGTAGCTGGGACTACAGGCGCCTGCCACCGTGCCCAGCTAATTTTTTGTATTTTTAGTAGAGACGGGGTTTCACTGTGTTAGCCAGGATGGTCTCGATCTCCTGACCTCGTGATCCGCCCATGTCAGCCTCCCAAAGTGCTGGGATTACAGGCTTGAGCCACCGCCCCCGGCCAGGTCCGTTCTTACTGTTGGAACCCAGGGAGGGTCTCTGGGCAGATACTGATGGAGCCCGTGCTGCTTGGGAGAGGAAGAGCAGAGTCGGGAACCACGGAAAAGTCACTCCACTCTGGGTTCGGATCCAGCTCTGTCTCTGGCCTCAGTGCTCTGGCCTATGAATGGAGCTGGTCGGGCCTACTCCCAGGGTAGGCCACGTGGGAAAGGCTTGTGTGAGCGCTGTGATCGTTCATTCCACAGAGGCTGGCTGTGGCTGCCTTGTCCTATGGTGGACCCCTGGGGCTGGGTCCAGAGGCATGGACAATTGTGGGGCCTGTGCCCACTGCTTCACAGGCCTTTTCCCACCCCCATGCTCCCTGGAGCTGCCCACGGCCTTTGGGACAAGCAAAGCAAGGGCACCATCTGCTTCTGCCCAGAGACAGGAAGCAGCTCATCTGAGGTCACCTGGAGGGCTGGTGACAGGGTCTTGAGGGCAGGGCCAGAGTCACCCCCTGCACTCAACAGAAACTCCTGCATTGCCTCCAACAACCCCATTCAGCCCATTTCCAACCACGTCCCAGGCCTGTGTCGGAATAGAGGAGGCTGCGGGGGTGAGCTGGGAGGAAGCTGCCTTGCTACACCCACAAAGGGCAGGATTATTCCCATATTACAGACAGGGGAACTGAGGCATCGAGTGACTAAACCAACTGGTCTAGGCCCACTCCCTGGTGAATGGCAGAGCCAGGAGGCGAACCCGGGCCTGCCGGCTCCTGTGTGCCTGAGCAGGGTCCTGTGCTGGGGCGGGGTTGGCCCTTCTTGCTCAGCCTCACTCTCTGCTCTCTCTCTCCCAGGGCCAGCAGTTTCATCATCACAGGGTCCCTGCCTCAGGGACTAGGGATAAAGACGGCTTCCCAGGACCCCCTAGGTACCGCTCTGCTGCTGACAGCGTCCAGAGCTCTACCAGAAACGCTGGCCCAGCCATGGCTGGCCCCCACCACTGGCAGGCCAAGGGAGGTCAGGTACCCCGCCTGCTTCCGGATCCCGGCAGCCCAAGACTGGCCCAAAATGCCCGCCCCATGACCGATGGCAGGGCCACCGAGGAGCATCCGAGTCCCTTCGGAATCCCATACTCCAAACTGTCTCAGTCGAAGCACCTAAAGGCCAGGACGGGCGGTAGCCAGTGGGCCTCATCGGATTCTAAACGGAGGGCTCAAGCCCCCCGGGACCGCAAAGACCCCTAGCAGCATGTCCCAGCCTGGAGCCACACCTTCTGAGGCCCCAGCCCAGACTCATGACGCGGAGGGCAGACAGGCCGCCTGGGCCTACCAGAGCCCACTGGGACGGCAGGAAGGTGGGATGGGCGGGAGACGTTGGCACTCACCTGGTCGGTGCACCAGTACCAGGTGGCCATGATGGTCAGGCCAAAGGTCATCCCGGTCCACGGCAGGTCCCCTGTGTGGGGGTCTCGAAACATGTGCATGGCGTCTGTACGTGGCAGGTGGCAGGTGGTGTTGGCAATGGTCCTGGAGGGAATGGCCTGGGCGTAGGCTGCCTCCAGCTGCCCGTAACCACCGATCTGGTCAAAAGCTGGAGGGGTCAGGGTGGAACAGGGACAGTTTGGTGGTTGCGGGGCCCTGACTCCCTGGGCTCCCCCCTGCCTTCATCTCACAAGAAACTTCCTGATGCATCAAACTTGAGTTTTTTCCACCTCATCTTTCCCAGTGTTTGGAAAGGTGTGAGGGTAGAGGGTTGTTTTTTTTTTTAAGGTGTATTTGAATGACTATTTTATTCGTATTTAAAATAATACTATTAAGTAAGCATTTTGCACATGGGCACCCCAGTGTCCCGCTGGCCCAGCAGGAGTCACTGTTGGCCTCTGGACACTCATCGGCCTTGGGCAAGTGGTTCTCAGCCAGGTTTCCGATTGTCGATTCAAGGAAGCAAAAGTAATTTTTCTTGACATTTGAGGACCTTCCTGAGGCTTCTAAAGTGTTCATCCTGATCACCTGAAGGGTGTGATTTTAGCAGAGCTGAGAGTGGCTGGTGGTGATGTGGCCCCACCCCCTGAGGCACAGAGAAGAGGGAGACAGGTCCAGAGAGGGATGGGGCCTCCACCAAGACCATATAGACCATCTGGCGGGCTCAAGCCGGGGCTTTTTCCTCTCCAGTCCAAAACACCTCACTGTTCCTGTCTACCTCGGGGTCAGGGCCCGGCATGGCCAAGCCCTGGCCCATCTGTGTCTGTGTCACTCCCCTCCCTTCCAGACTGGGCCTGGCTGCTGGGATCCCTCTCATGCGGTGGGTCCCAGGGACACTAGAGCCCCTGGTCTGAGAGGGAGAAGCCTGGATGTAGGAAAACCCGTTTCCACCCCAGGCCCTACTCCCTAGCCTTTTCCAAGTGGGACATGGAAGAGGCAGCCTGCTGCCTGGATGCTGGTCTCCCCAGCATCACTGTTCCCATGGAGCTCAGGTCAGGCTCTGTATTCAGACCGAGGGTTTGTGTGAGGCTCAGAGCAAATGAACAAGTGCCATTCAAGGGTTAGAAACTGCTCAGCCACAGGGTCCCAGTGTCTGAGTCTGGAAGAGTCTTTAGAGATTTGTTCACTCTCTGAGGGATCCTCCTGGCTCTGCTTACATACTTCCAGGGACGGTGAGCTCACGCTCTCTCCGGGCAGCCCTGTGAGTTTCCTATCTGTTCCAGACTAGTATCGCCAATCTCTCCCAGCTCTCTTCTTTCCTCCCTGGCCTTTGTCCTGCAGGAGGTAGCATCACCTCTTGGCATTTTGTACATGCTTTTAAACAATTGGAGGAGCTGCCCAGGCAGTTTTATGGCCTCCTGGTTGTGTGCCTTCACACCCGCCTACAGCCCCACCTCACCATCAAGCGCTGAGCCAATGCGGGTGTGGCTGGCCCTGAGTTCCTGAGTCAGCTCCTTGCCAGGGCCAGAGCTGGTAACAGCGGGGCAGCAGGGTGGGTAGCCTCTACCAGCCAGGGCAGTCCCTGAGGGGCCAGCAGGGGGGCTGACTGCCTAGTGGCTCAACCTCCTGAACCCACCCACTCCCAGCGATGCTACCCAGAACCCCAACGGCATGAATCCTGCACAGTGCCGGGCAGTGCCAGACTCCAAAGGGCTCGCTGTGGGGACAGCCCCGCCATGGCCACAGACTCTGTCCTCACCTTTGATTGTCAGGATGACAGCCCCCACCACCATGATGAGCGTCTGCAGGGCGTCCGTGTAGATTACAGCAGCCAGGCCCCCTGCCAGTGGAAGCAAGGTTGCTGGAGGGGGCCCTGGCCCCAGGGAGGAGGGACACGGGGAGGAACTTCTGGGGCTCCTGCTGGGGCCACTTCCTGGGCTGCTCCCTCGGGCCTGTAGGGGGAGGTGGCCTTCTGACCCCTTTACACGTCCCCTGGGTGGACCTCCCTGCTGCAGGCACCATACCTGCGATGGTGTACAGGGCTGTGATGCCGAGCGTGAGGATGGTGGAGAGGTAGAAGTTCCAGCCCAGGCAGATGTGCACAAACAGAGCCCCCGCGTACAGGTCCAGCTGCGGAGGGAGAGAGCCTTGTGTGGGACTGTTATTCCCAGGGCTCCAGCAAGCCACTCCCTGGGTGACCTCGGGCAAGGCCCTCTCTGGGCCTCGGTGGCCTGTGGATAAGGAGGGGAGACCCCCACTCGCCTGCCTGCCTGCATCACGGGGCCATTGTGAGGTTGGGGGAAGACCTGGCCGTGGAGCTACAAGCTTGTGCGGATGTCAGGGGACATTACTGTTGCTAATAAAGTCCAAAGTGGCCAATGCCTTTCCCAAAAGCAGTGTTGTTATTGAATCTGGCCCCTTCCCGAGGGGATAAAAGGCAGAGCCCTGTCCCCTCGGTTCCCAGGGGCACCTTGATGAGTTTGTGAGGAGTCTGTGAAGACCAGTAGGCCTCAGGAAAAGTGTGTGCTGGGCGGACCAGTAGGCCTCAGGAAAAGTGTGTGCTGGGCGGACCAGGAAACAGAGGGGCAGCCTTGCTTCCTGCCCCCACCCCCCAGTGGGTTTGGAACTGAAGCCAATAGTGGCTCAGAGGCTGGGTCTCAGGCTGAAGCTGGTCTCCACACTGACTGGACACAGCCCCTGCCCTCCCAGAACCTGTGGCTGCTCCTCCTAAAGGCAGGAGCGCTAGCCTGGAGGCCAACCTCTGCCTGGCATGGGCCTCAAAGACCAGAATCCCACCCTCCACCTGGCAGTAGGGGCCCAGTGAGAGGAAGGGCAGGACCCTGTTCTCTGGGACATGGGCTAGTAACAGGCTTCACCTTGCCCCACCCCTGAGTTCCTAAACCTACCATTCTGCTTTGACTCAGGAGATGCGAGATGACCCAACACACAGCCTCAGGGGCCAGGAGCTTCCTGAGAAGGCTGGGGCCCTGTGCTTCCTAGTGTGGGGACACATCTGCACGAGGCCCAGGAAGTGCAGGCCCCAGGCCCCTTTGAGCTCCCCCAGGCAGGGATCCCTGCCTCCTGGGGTCTGACACAGGGCCCAGGCAGGATGGGATCTGGCTCCAAAGCCTGTGCTTCCTGTACCTCTCCCTCCAGGCGCCTCTCTCAACCTGTCTTAGAGAGACCAGCCAGTTTGGAAACTAGCCAGGGGCTTTCAGGAGAACCCCGGCTCTGGTCCTTATCTTTGGCTGTGTGTGTGTGTGTATAGGAAGGGCAGGTAGTTCAGGGGAAGGTGTGGTGGGGGGTGGGGGCGGGATCTGCCTCCAGCCCAAGTAGAGAAGCGCAGAGGTGCTGAATATCAGAGCAGGATGGACTCTTCAAGTCCTGCCCCATCAGACTAGAGGATAAACTGAGGCCCCAGGAAGGGAAAGGACTTCCCCAAAGTCAGCCCCTGGTAGGTATCAGAGATTGGAGTTACCAGGAGAGGGAAGGCCGAGAGGGAGCAGGAGGCTTCTAGAAGGCCCACCACAGGCAGCCTGCAAGCTTCTGTCCTACAGTCACTGCTCCAGACTCCTGCTGGACCCTGGCTGTCTCTGGACAGAACCTGGGTCTGTGTGCCCGGTCTTTGGCTCTGGCCACGCCAGACACATGGCCCTTCATCCCATGCCCAGCACTTAGCTGCCTCTGAGTCTTTGCTCACCGGCTCACCAGATTCCCTCTGCCCTGGAACATCCCAGCCTCTGCTTCTCATGTTTCAAAACACAGCCGTGCCAGCCCCTCTGCTCCTCGAGTACATTGTTCATTCGCCCTCCCTCCTGCCTCCCTCCTTCCTGCCCTTCCTTCCACGGTGGCAGGCCCCAAAGACTGAATAGAAGTCCCGCAGGTGCAGGAACGGCAGGAGCAAGGGTGTGGGGTGGGCCTTTCACTGCTGTCTCCCCTATAGACTGGACACTACATGGCATCCAGTGAACGTTTGCTGCTGTTGCTAGAGGCCCAGTAGGTGTGCGGTTGCCTGCAACTCCCGAGCAGCCCCCGGGTGAGGAATTCAGACATCACTTAGCCCTATCCGACCCTTCCTGCAGCCCGAGCACTCCTCTGTGGGCCGGGGCAGCTTCAGCCTGACAGATGCCAAGAGCCACACAGCCCTGGCTCTGTGCCCCTGGTCTGCCATGTCCCAGCCACATGGCTTTGAGCAGGCCACTTCATCCCCTGAACCTCAGTGCCCCTGATCTGTGCCATGGGGAAGTGGGTGTGGAGCACACAAAGCCAGCCACCCAGCCCCTCCACCCTGCCGGCACCCTGCAGCCCCTCTACCCCCTCACCCTGGCACGGGATGCTCCGTGGGACTGTCTGAGATAGCCAGCTCTCCTCTGTGCCTCCCTCCCCAGTGACCCAGGAGCAACCGCAGAGTGTTGTTTTTTTTTTTTTTTTTGAGACGGAGTCTTGCTCTGTCACCCAGGCTGGAGTGCAGTGGTGCGATCTCGGCTCACTGCAACTTCCACCTCCCGGGTTCAAGTGATTCTCCTGCCTCAGCCTCCTGAGTAGCTGGGATTACAGGTGTGTGCCATCAAGCCCGGCTAATTTTGTACATGGTTTCACCATGTTGGCCAGGCTGGTCTCAAACTCCTGACCTCAGGTGATCCACCCACCTCGGCCTCCCAAAGTGTTGGGATTACAGGCGTGAGCCACCGCACCCGGCCCAGAGTCTATTCCAACTCCTAGAAGGCACAGATGGGGAGGTCAAGGCCCAAATTGCAGAGGAACTTGCCCATGGAGGCAAAACTCTGGGAACAAAATCAACAAGACTGCACCAGGGAACAGCATCCCCGAGGAAGGGCCACTCCCAGGGCACAGGCTGAACCAGGACCTCACTCCAGGCTGCCACCCATGGGGCCGGAGCAACTGGTCCACCCCCAGCTCAGCAGCCTGATCCAGGCTGCTGTCCAGAGGTGCCTGCCTGCTCCTGTGATGTGGCCCCACATTCACCCTGCACAAACTGTCCTTTCCACTACCCTGCTCCTTCCTCCCCATGCAGGACCCCCACGATTCCTCCCTTCATCTTGTACCCAGAAACCCTGCCAGTGCTTCACGGCCCTGGTTGTCCTCCAGGACTCCCTGCTGACTTGCCACTTTTGACAGGTGACAAATGTGCGTGTGTGCCACACGGCGCCCTGATGTCTTTCAGGTCTCCCCCAGTGCTGCTCATAGCATCCTACCAGGTGGGTGTGGTAATCCACTCCACTCCACAGTGGGGGGCACCTGGGCATGGAGAAGTGAAATGACTTTGTCAAAGTCCCACCGTCCTAAGAGGTGGGCCCCAAGGACGTGCCCTTCCTGCTGGCTGACCCTGGGGCCTGTGAGGTCCTGGGGAGGAAACTCATGGCAGGGGACCTCCCAGAGAGCACACACTGTTGGCAGCAAGCCACTCCTCTCCTGGCACCATGTAGCCACCACTGGGGGCTTGCAAGGGCGGGAGCCCAGTACACAGGGAGGGAGCAAGGCTGAGAGAGGACGTGTGGGCCCTGTGGTGCAGCGTGGGACTGATCTGGCGGGCTCTGCACAGCTTAGACCCCCAAGCTCCCCACGTATATGAAGGAGCCTCACTCCATCTCCCAGCCGATGGAAACCATTCACTCCAGGGCGTGTCTGAGGCTGAAGGAGGCTGGGAACCGGCCCTGGTACTCTGGCTGCCCGGCCTGGGCCCTTGCCCTGCCCGCTCTCAGCCACCTTCCCACATGGAACTTATATCTCCCATCCTTCGTGGGACAGCAGAGAAGCTGGGTGGGCTCTGCACTGACACTAGGAGTTGACTGTGATTTCTCCCAAATCTTTTTGGTGTCCTCTGCCCCTGAGCCTTGCCCATTTCCATGGAGGCCATCACCGTCCTCCGGGGCTCCCCTTTGCCACACTCCCCGCCTCTGACCCACCGGCCACTGCTATGGATTCCGTCTCCAAAACACACACCCACTCCCCAAAACCTCTGCTGCCCCCACCCTGGGCCCGATCCCCTTGCAAGCCCCTCACTGGTCCCTCCTGCATTTGGCTTGTGCAAGGAAGATCTGGGGCTCTGCATTTCCTCTTTTTTTTTTTTTTTAAAAAAACCTCTGCCTCCTGGGTTCAAGCGATTTTCCTGCCTCAGCCTTCCGAGTAGCTGGGATTACAGGTGTGTGTCACCACGCCTGGCTAATTTTTTGTATTTTTAGTAGAAACAGGGTTTAACCATGTTGGCCAGGCTGGTCTCGAACTCCTGACCTCAGGTGATCCACCCGCCTCGGCCTCCCAAATTGCTGGGATTACAGGTGTGAGCCACTGCACCCGGTCAGGTTCTGCATTTCTACCATTCCAGGAATAAGGTGCACCCCCGCCCGGCAGAGGCCCTGCCCAGAGGCTCTGCGTGGTCCCCACTGCCTCTCCGCTCTTGGTCATTGCTGCCCCTCCATATCCCTAGACACCCCCAGCCCCATGAGCTTCCCACTCCTGGACTTGCCAAGCTCTTGCCCTGTGGCTGCAAGGCTGGCATTTCCACCCCAGACTGCCCTGTCTCCAGTGAGCCCACTCCCTGCTCCTGTCTCCCCATTTCTGTCCCCCCTTCACCGTGTTTGCTTCTTTTGTCACACTTTTACCATTTCTTATGATTTCCTTGGTCTGTTTCCTTACCCCCTGTCTAGAAAGCATCTATGGGTGTGGGGGGCTCACCCAGGGCCTGGCACACAGTAGGTGCACAGTAAGTAGGTGATTTCCATAGGGCAGGGAGTGGCAGCCCAGAACCCACAGGCCAGGCCCAGTCATGCCTTATGGTATTGTCTGCAGGCACTTTCGGGCCCCAGGGGCAGAGTTGAGGAGTGAGGACAGAGACTGGGTGGCCTGTGAAGCTGAAAATATTTACTCTCAGGCCTTTCGCAGAAAAAACGAGCTGACCCCTGGCATAGATTCTCTCACCTAGACCCACGAGGCATGTGGGCAGCCCTGGGGATGCGGCCAGTGAGCAAGGGAACCAACGGAGCACACAGCCAGCAGGCGTTCCGAGTCCATGGGGGTAGAGAGAGGAAGGGGGCTGGCCTGCGGGGATGGGGGTGAAGATGGAGAGAGTGGAAAGGCTTGAGGGACATGAGGGAGCCACGTGGATATCCAGGCAGAAGGTTCCAGGCAGAGGCCACAGCAAATGCAAAGGCCCTGAGGCAGGACCATGCCTGGTGTGTTCATGGAAGCGCAGAGGCCAGTGTGGCTGGAGCGGGTGGGGGCAACAGGGCGAGGGAGGGGTGAGGTCAGTGAGGGCGCAAAGCGACCCCCGTGGAGGACCTTTACTGCAAGTGGCATGGGGCATCGTGCCCAGTTCCAGAGGTTAAATGACTGGCTAGAGCCCCACAATGATGGAGCTGGGCTTGGGCCCATTCGTCTGAGGGTCAGGGTGGTGATTCTCCAGGCCCTGCCATCGCCGGTCCTCCTGTGGGCCAGTGCCCCTGCCTGAGGGATGGCAGCAGGCACCCTAAGATCTCTGTCCACACGGGCAGTGGCTGGGACGGGTGCTGGATGCGCAGACATGTGAGGCATTCCCGGGGCACAGCCCAGTGAGGTCAGGGCCTCTGGGGACCGCCTGGGCGCGTGCACTTCAAACAGCCAGGGTAGCCCCAGTCCTCTCGCAGCCAAGCCCAGCAATTAGCATTCCTCAAGCTTCGCCCTCTGCTTCATCCAGGCAGCCCCAGCGTTGGTTCTGAAGCCCAGCCTTGATGTGAGTGGGTGCTCCCTGTTTTATAGTTGGGTAAACTGAATCACCCCCATCACAAAGTGGAGTTTGAAAGGCCACGTCCTGGCTGCTTCAGGGCAGCAGGGCTGAGGTTGGGCCTCTTGTGGTGGGAGGCACAGACCTGGGTTCTAACAGTAGTCCCTGCCTGACTCGCTGTGACCTGGACCTCAGTGTGTCATCTGTAAACTCGGAGAGCTGGACAAGATTGTTTCTAAGGTCCTCCCACTTCACTGAACTCTTCCCTCTGCCTTTTGTTCTTTTTATTTTTGGAGAGTCAGCTCACTGTAACCTCCATCTCCCCAGTTCAAGTAATTCTCCTGCCTCAGCCTCCTGAGTAGCTACAGGCGCATGCCACCACATTTGGCTAATTTTTTTGTATTTTAGTAGAGATGGAGTTTCACCGTGTTGCCTAGGCTGGTTTTGAACTCCTGAGCTCAGGCAATCCGCCTGCCTCAGCCTCCCAAATTGCTAGGATTATAGGCGTGAGCCACCACGCCGGCCCCCTCTGCCTTTCTAGAAGTTCCGCCCAAGCCATCCACTTTCAGGACTCTCCGAGTGTGAGGTATAAGCTCTACTGCAGAGAAGCCAGCAGGGTGAAACAGGGGGCAGAGAACCCTGTGCCCATGGCTCAGTCTCCCTCCCTCACCAGACCTACCTGGGGCCTCCTCACAAGCCTGGCCTCCTCTTGTCTCTCTCACCTCCAGTCCACCCTCTGGAAGATTCCAGAGAGCACAAAGTACAAACACGACCATGTCACTCTCCCACTTAAACACCACCCCGGCTCCTAAACACCACCCCCGCTCCACCTGGGCACCTTGGGCACTTCAACCTCTTACAATCAGACCTCCCTTGCCTCATCTCTCACTGCAGGCCAGACCCTGAAAACTGGCAGCCGAGAGGCAAATGTGGCACACGGGCCTGTTGTGTGTCAATCCTGGGGCACGTTCTCTGGTTTGCCTTTGTCCCCACCACTGCCTATTACTCACTCCCAGCTTCTCTCCACGCTGTTCTTTATCTGGCCCCAGAAGTGTCTGACTTAGTGACTCCTAGAGTCTAAGCCTCCAGCCCCGACCACCCCCAGACACATCCTGCCTCTTCCCACCTCTCTCTTTGTCATTTGCTCCCATCCCCCATCAGTATCCCTGTCTCCATCAGAGCCCAACTCAAATGCCACCCCCAGCAAGCCCCGCTGTGTCCTCTTCTGAGTTTCATGCCTGTCCCATGCATCCATCTATTTCTCACCACAGTGCGAGCCCCTGGCAGACCAGGGCCAGGTCTTGTTTATTTCTGTATCCCTGGTTTCCAGGGAGGTGGCTGGCATGGGGGTGGCTGGCATGGGGGTGGGGTGGAGATCAAGAAATGTGGGAGAGGAAGGAAGAGTATGAGTGGAAAGCTCTAAACTCAGCCTTAAGGGCAGGCCAAGGCCAAGTCCCTCCGGACTCTAAAGGGCTCCCAGAGAAAGCAAACCTCCTACAGTACGCCAAGGGCATCTGGCGAAGACTGCGGTACGGGGTTTGCTGCTGGCCACTCCTGAGACCTGCCCACACGAAGGATGAGACACTCTGGGAATCCCCTCAGAGTCACCTAGCAACACCAGTGCAGATAGAGGCCAGGCTGAGGCTGCCGAGGGGATGCCCCAGGAGAGGAGAGGGCGGGTCAGATGCTGCATGAGACCCCCACCGGGGCCCCGTGGGGGCTCTGGATGGACCCTTTAGGGCCCTCTTCCCAGGTAGCCCTGCCCACAGCTCCTGGCTGACCAGCGAGGCCTCTACCTCTCCGGCCTCTGCACCTCCATTCCCTTCACTAAATCGACGCCTCTTCTGGGCTTTCCTAGTCCCAGGACTGAATGAAGAGGGCCCAGGAGGCCATTTGCCTCTGAGGGAAAGCTGGGCCTCACAGAGCACTTCCCGCAGACACAGCAGCCCTCACACGGTGGTCCTGCCCATTGCTACCACCAACTCACAGGAGCCCTAGGAGACAAGGTCTGCCGCCCCTCCTTACAAGGGAGGAGCCCCAGGCACAGGGAGGCTCGGAGGTCGCAGGGGCTAGTGTCAGCTCTCTCAGCCAGAATCAGGCAGCCCCAGGACTCAAGCCCCTTCAGAAGCCTGGGGCTGGATGAAGCTAGCTGCCCCCAGGGACTTGGAGTGAGAGCAGAAGGCCTAGTGTTGCCATGAGGTCACCGGGAGGGTTAGGACAAGCTCTTTCCCTTCTCTGGGCCTTAGTTTCCCTCTCTGTAAAGTCAGGGGCTTGGACAAGATGAGCTCTATGCTTCTCCTGACCCTGACATTCGAGGTGTGCTCCTGCTCTTAATATGCCCGTGGGGGCAGGGCCAGGCCCCCAAGGATGGGTGTCAGTGATGGAGCCCACCAGCCTTGGGGTGAGAGGCAGGTCAGCTCAGTGCAGACCAGATGTGGCTAAGACCACGTGGGCTTTTGGCGCCCCCTAGTGGGAGATCGTGGCTCACCCCGGTGCCGGCCCCAGAACTGACCTCAGACCGAGAACCGTCCTAACACCCTGTGTCTAGAACCTGAGGCAAAGCAGAGGTCACCAGGTTGTGTTCTGTCCCTGACTAGGGCTGGCTGCTGAGCCTACACCCCGGGGGCCCTGGACTACCTGTCCAGACTCGCTGCGTGACCCTGGGCAAGTCATTGCCCCTCTCTGGGCCTCAATTTGCCCAGCTGTTAAACAAGGCAGAGATGAATGAGAAGATGTCAGGTCCTCTTGAGGGGCCCACAGATTGGCGATGTTTCCAGGCTATGCCAGCAGGGAGCCGGGGGCAGCTCACCGATATCTTGGTGAAGACAGACAGTAGCAGGGACAGGACAGACAGGTACATGCGGATCCGCTGGCCCCCGTAGCGCTTCTGAATGTACTCAGGTAAGGTGACGATCTGGGAAGGCACATGGGTAGGGGCTAAGCATCCTCCAGATGATGCCCAGGGCTCCAGGCAGGGCCTGTCTCAATCACTCTGCCTCTCCCCCCGCCACAAAGCAGCTGCGAGCCTCTCAAGGGCAAGGCCCAGGCACTGACCCCTTACAGCCCCAGCACCCGGCCTGGAATCCCGGGCTGCTCCGGCTGCGCCCCGAGGGTGTCAGGCAGGGGAGTGGCAGGCTGAGATCCCTAGACTGGCTCTTTAGGGCTGAGACGAGGAATGGATTGGAGGGGCCGTGGCTGGGACAGAGGGACAAGTTTAGAGGCTGTTATGACAAATCCAGGTGCACTATGATGAGGCTGGATGAGGGAGGTGGCTGTGAGGGGCAGAGCTGGGGACAGGCTGAGAGACATCCAGGAAGTGGAGTTGACTGGACTTAGTGGCTGCATGGCTGGGGCTGAAGGAGTGGGCAGAGTCGACGATGGTGCAGCCAATTGTGCGGCCCAGGTGTGCCATTCAGGTACGCAGCCCAGGGGTACAGCCCAGGTATGCTACCCAGGTGTGTGGGCCAGGTGTGCAAACCAGGTGCATGGCCCAGTTGTACAGCCTATGTGCCCAGCTGGATGGGACATTATTCCTGAGATGCAGCACTCAGGGCAGTGGAAACCAGCCAACACGGCACCCAGGCTGAGGTCTGAGGGGATCCACCTTAGCAGGTTGATAGAAATATTAGTCGGGATCCACCTTAGCAGGTTGATAGAAATATTAGTCGGGCTAATAGCAAACCCAGCCCTAAGAGTTTACCAACTCCTGATGTGAGGCCACGGTGGTCCTGCCCATTACTACCACCAACTTGGACCAAGGCCCAGCCCCCCAGCTGGAGGCCCCATGAGTAGACTCACCTCTGAGGAGATGTAGATGGGCACGAACACCCATGCCAGTGCCAGCAGCACGTACGTGGCCTATGGGGACAGAGACAGGTGAGGACTGCAGGTGCAGCTCCCACAGCTCTGCTCCAGAGACAAAGCAGACATGGCTGGGATGAGCCATCCGGAGGCCTGGCTTCCCCCAGCCCCTCCTGACTTGCCATGAGATCCTGGGTGGCTCCTTCCCCTCTCTAGGTCTGGGCAAGGCCCACAGCTCCCTGCCAGTCGTGCCATCCAGCACCTTGGTATTCTGAAGACACGATTTGGCCCAGGAACAGCACTGCACAGAGCCCACCTGGACATCGGCTGACACCAGCCACTGGGAGCTGTCCCCCTCCAGTGCTGCGACCACATCCTGTGCCCTGGCCCTCCCACAGGCCGCCAGTCCTCCAGGACTCACATTCCACTCGAAGCCTGCCACGGCCAGACCTCCTGCCGCGCCTGAGCCCGCCAGTCCAATGAAGAGGCCAGAGCCCTCGCTGCTGGCGAAGAGGGAGGCTCCAATCTGGAGGAGAGAAAGGGAAACGCATCAGCAGCAGGCTCCCTGCGCCGGCCCCATCCTGGGCCTAATAGCTTCTCCCTCATCCTCACAAACCTAAGCGGGGTCCTAGCCCCACCTCACGGATGAGGAGCCCAGGGTGTGTGTTCTACCCATGACTAGCTGCACAGCTAAGGAGCGGATGTAAGTTTCAGACTCCATAGCCCCTGCCCCTTACACAATTTCTAGCAGCTCAGCCCTATGCCCCTCACTTGGGGACCTCCTGCCAGCCTCCGGCCTGCTCCACTGAATTGGACTGGCTCAAAGATACAGATGCCAGGTGACCTAGAGATCAGACACAGCCCCACGGACAAAGTGGGGGTGTGTGAGAAGTCAGGGTGCACTCACCGGCCACCACGTCATGTCCCGGCCTGCCAGGAAGTAGCCATTCACCGTGTTCCTACTGGCCCGACAAGAGGACTGCAAGAGGAGAAAAGGGACAGGAGTTGGAAGCCCGCACACTGCTGCTGGGAAGTCGAATGGGAAACGGCTTGGCAGCTCCTCAAAAGGTTACGCATAGAATCACCATATGACCCAGAAGTTCCACTCCTAGGTATATGTCCAAAAGAATTGAAAACACACATCCACTCAGAAACTTGTACACGAATGTTCATAGCAGCATTATTCATAATAGCCAAAAGTGAAAACAACCCACATTTCTGTCGACTGATGAGTAAATAAACAAAATGTGGTATATCCTATATAAAGAAATATTATTCAGTCTTCAAAAGGAATGAAGTTCTATTGGGTGCAGTAGCTCATGCCTGTAATCCCAGCACATTGGGAGGCGGAGGTAAGCGGATCACTTGAGCCTAGCAGTTTGAGACCAGACTGGCAACATAGTGAGACCCCAGGTCTACAAAAAATGCAGGGTTTGGTGGCACACACCTGTGGCCCCCGCTACTTAGGACACTGAGGTGGGAGCATCTCTTGAGCCCAGGAGGTGGATGCTGCAGTGAGCGGTGATTGTGCCACTGCACTGCAGCCTGGGCAACAGAGTGAAATCCTGTCTGGAAAAAAACAACAAATATCTTGGGAATGAAGCTCTGATGCATGCCCAACTTGGATGGACCTTGACAACATGATGCTTCATGAACACAGACAGACACAAAAGGCCACGAATTGTATGATTCCATTTATATGAAAAGTCCAGAACAGGCAAATTTATAGAGACAGAAAGCAGATGAGTTGTTGCCAGGGGCTGGGAGGCAGGAAGAACGGTGCTTGACTTTGATGGGGACAGGATGAAAATGTTTTGGAGCTAGCTACAGGTAATGGTTGCGCAGCATTGCAAATGTACTAAATGCCATGAATTGCACACTTTAAAATGGTTAAAATGGGCTGGCGCGGTGGCTCACGCCTGTAATCCCAGCACTTTGGGAGGCCGAGGTGGGTGGATCACGAGGTCAAGAGAACGAGTCCATCCTGGCCAACATGGTGAAACCCTGTCTCTACTAAAAATACAAAAATTAGCTGGGCGTGGTGGCAGGCGCCTGTAGTCCCAGCTACTCGGGAGGCTGAGGCAGAATTGCTTGAACCCGGGAGGTGGAGGTTGCAGTGAGCCGAGATCGTGCCACTGCACTCCAGCCTGGTGACAGAGCAAGGCTCCGTCTCAAAATAAATAAATAAAATAAAATAAAATAAAATGGTTAAAATGATGAATTGTATATTATGTAAATTTTATCTCAACTTTTATAAAAAGAACAGAAGCAGTCAGCTCCTTACCTACGTATTCCCACATGCCTTTGGTTTACGGGGAGTATAGAATTTTGTCCTCCATGTAAGTGGAATAAAAATTCTGGAGTCGGAACGTCTGAGAGTAAAATCCTGTCTTCCCTGCTTCCTGGCCGTGTTACCTGGGGCAAGTTACTGAACGCGTATGCCTTGGTTTCTTCCTCTGTAATGTGGTCCTAAGAAGTTCTTCCTTCATGAATTTTGTTTTGTTTTGTTTTTTGAGACAGAATCTCACTCCGTCACCCTGGCTGGAATGCAGTGACAGATCTTGGCTCACGGCAACCTTCACCTCCCGGGTTCGAGCGGTTCTCCTGCCTCAGCCTCCCGAGTAGCTGGGATTACAGGTGCGCACCACCACACCTGGCTAATTTTTTGTGTTTTTAGTAGGAGGGGGTTTCACTATGTTGGCCAGGCTGGTCTCAAATTCCTGACCTCATGTGATCTGCCTGCCTTGGCTTCCTAACCCTCACAGGGTTTTTATGAGCTTTAGTGGGTTAGTACACGTAGCATGCTGAGATAAGGGTCAGTGAGTACATGGATTTTTCAAGCCTGTCTTTAGTGCTATTTGGATGGGAGAAATTTAAGTTAAATCATCCAGGCGTGGTGGCTCATGCCTGTAATCCCAACACTTTGGGAGGCCAAGGAAGGAGGGTTACTCAAGCCAGGGATTCAAGACCAGCCTGGGCAACATAGTGGAACTCTGTCTCTATAAAAAGTTTTAAAATTAGCTGGGCGTGGTGGTGCATGCTTGTAATCCCAGCTACTCTAGAGTCTGAGGTGGGAGGATCACTTGAGACCAGGAAGTCAAGGCTGCAGTGAGCCAAGATGGCGCCACTGCCCTCCAGCCTGGGCTGCAGAGCAAGACTCTGTCTCAAAACAGAAAAAAAAAAAAAAAAAAAAAACAGAAAGAAAAAAGAAAAAACAGAAGAATTTGAAAAGAGGGACACAGGACAGGTATTTAGATACAAATTTTGTATTTCTTTTCAGAACATACATAAGGCTGGATCACAAAATATATCCATCAATATGCAGGTCTCTTTCTTCCTGACTTTAATTGCCCTGCCCTATACTCAGGATGATTAGGCTTCATTGTATGTACTCACCATTCAAAGCTTTATCTATTTGTTATTTATTTATTTATTTATTTATTTATTTATTTATTTATTTATTTTTGAGACAGAGTTTCGCTCTTGTTGCCCAGGATGGAGTGCAATGGCACGATCTTGGCTCACCGCAACCTCTGCCTCCCGGGTTCAAGCGATTCTCCTGCCTCAGCCTCCCTAGTAGCTGGGATTACAGGCATGTGCCACCATGCCCGGCTAATTTTGTATTTTTAGTAGAGATGGGGTTCCTCCATGTTGGTCAGGCTGGTCTTGGACTCCCGACCTCAGGTGATCTGCCCACCTCGGCCTCCCAAAGTGCTGGGATTACAGGCATGAGCCACCGCGCCCGGCCTATTTATTTTTATTTTTAAGACAGGGTCTCATTATGTTGCCCAGGCAGGTCTTGAACTCCTGGGCTCACGTGATCTCCCCATCTCAGCTTCCTGAGTAGCAGGAACCACGTGGACACCACCACACCCAGTTCAGAACTTTTGATGTGGCTCCTGCCTCTCTCCAGCTCCAACTCCCACCACTTTCTCTTTGTGTGCCGTGATCTTGCTGTACTAAAGGCAGCATAGTCTGAAGGCTCACAGTCTTGGCCAGGATGGCCATATCCAGATGTGTACGCTGTGCACTGCACAACTCCAAAGCATCTATGTTTACAGCCCATGCTTTTTCCTAACCCTTCTCATCTTTCAAGCCTATAGTGGGCATTGCCAGTTGCCTTCTTATATCTGGGGCTCTGGGGGCTGCTGGCAGTTGCTGGGGGCCACATGTACCCATTTAAGGTTCCCCGAAGGCCCCCATGCCAGAGTTGGCTTCAACTTCTTGATCTGTGTGGAGTTCTTAGTCCTCGCAACAGCTCTATGAAGCAGGTGCCATGTTACCAATGAGGAAACTGATGGTCTCAGAGATGAAAACACACCCATCTAGCAAGTGGTGCAGCCTGGATTTCAACTCAGGCTCAATCGCAGGGCTGGTCATTTCACATCAGGACACGAGGGGAGCTGGGCTTAGGACAGAGCTACACATGGATGGAGGCTGAGAGAACCAAAGTGAGGTGTAGCTGTATCCTTAATAATGCTGTGAATCCCTGGATCATACTGCACCTGAAGCCCTTTCTATTGCTGGACACAATTACATTTCCTGAATTCTTTTTTTTTTTTTTTTTTTTTTTTTGATACAGTGTTTCACTCTTTTGCCCATGCTGGAGTGCAGTGGCGTGATCTCAGCTCATTGCGACCTCCGCCTTCCGGTTTCAAGCAATTCTCCTGCCTCAGCCTCCTGAGTAGCTGGGATTACAGGCGCCTGGCACCACGCCTGGCTAATTTTTGTATTATCACAAAATAATACAAAAGTAGAGACGGGCTTTCACCATGCTGGCCAGGCTGGTCTCAAACTCCTGACCTCGTGATCCACCCGCCTAGGCCTCCCAAAGTGCTGGGATTACAGGCATGAGCCACTGCGCCCGGCCTACATTTCCTATATTCTTAGAGCTCATTTGAAAGCAGTTTTCAGTCACTTGTTAACAGATACTTTAATGAATGCAAAGGCTCAGCTCAAAGTCCCCTCCTCCAGGAACATCTCTTCCTTAAAGGCCTCCCCCCGGCCCCCGCCAGACTCTCCCAGGCCCACCATCTAAACATCTTTGCAGGGCTGCACCTGCCTGGCTTGCTCTGTCTGCTTCTCCCTGTGGGATGCATCTCCAGCATCCTCCCTGTCTGGTTCTGATCTTTTCTGGATGTGCTCACTGCTCTCTTGCCAGCCGCTCCCAGCTGGGCCAGCCTAGCCTGCTAGGAGGGACAGGGCAGAACTCCTACAGCCCTACTTCCAGGGGCACCAGCCTGCAAACAGCAAGCTGACTCACTAGGAGAGGTGGGTCATGGGCAACAAGGGCTGGTGGCCCAAGTCACTGGGCTACAAAGGGTCTGGCCTCAGGTGCCCAGAACATCTTTCTTAGACGTGCTAGCCAGGACAGCCTTGTCTCCCCTCCTCTTTCCCTCTTCAGATCTTGCCTGGCCCTTACCTCCCCTCATCCAGAAACCCTCCACTGTCTGTTCTGCCCCACGTGGGCACCTCCTCCTCTGAATTCTAGCCACCAACTGTCACAGGAATATAGCACGTTACAGTTTGCAACAGATTTTCACTTCCATTGGACCCTTGCTCCTTGGAACAGCCCTGAGATGTGGGCTGCACAGAAACCCGCATTGCGTGTTTGAGGAAACTGAAGCCCACAGAGATTAAGTGACTTAAGTACACAGAGCAGAGCCGAGACTTGAACTCGGCTTTGCCGATGGCCAGCACTGGGCTACTTGTGAGTTAATATTTAATCACATACAGGTTGAGGAGCCGTTATCCGAAATATTTGAAACCAGAAAAGTTTTGGATTTCGGACTCTTTCAGATTTGGAGATACTTACAGAATACCTGCCAGTTGAACATCCCCAACCCAAAACTCTAAAATCTGAGATGCTCCAATGAGCATTTGCTTTGAGCATCATGTTGGTGTTCAAAATGTTCCAGATTTTGGGTTTCAGATTTTTGAAATCCAACCTGTGATAATTAATTTTAATGACTGCGGCTGCTACTCTTATAATCACCACTGCTACAACTGCCACCACCACCACCACTGCTACCACTGTAGAACCAATGGCAGCAGCAAGGTCTGGTCCTGTGTGGGCCCCTTGATAGCAGACCTCACCCCAGGTAGGTGGTGTCTCCATATAACAGATCAGAACACTGAGGCCCAGGAAGCTGAGGGGACGTGACCAGTCTCCTGTTTGCCAGGCCTTCGTGCTTAGGCCAGGGGTTATGGAAGATAAGAACGGGTACTCGGCCGGGCGCGGTGGCTCACGCCTGTAATTCTAGCACTTTGGGAGGCCGAGGCGGGCAAATCATGAGGTCAGGAGTTCGAGACTAGCCTGGCCAACACGGTAAAACTCTGTCTCTACTAAAAATACAAAACATTACCTGGGTGTGGTAGTGGACGCCTGTAATCCCAGCTACTCAGGAGGCTGAGGCAGAATTGTTTGAACCCAGGAGGTGGAGGTTGCAGTGAGCCGAGATAGTGCCACTGCACTCCAGCCCAGGTGACAGTGCTAGACTCCGTCTCAGTTAAAAAAAAAAAAAAAAAAAAAGAAGGGGTACTCATTCTCCCCAGGAGACTGTCAGGGCTCAGGGATGCCAGGCTGGGGACCTCTGGGGCTTAAGAAGTGGAGCCCAACATCCCCAGGCGCTAAGCGTGGAGCAGGTGACCTGAACCAGGCTGTGTCCACCTTCCCTCAGGAAGGCCTCCACGATAGACCAGAGGAGCCCTTCCCTTGCTGCAGGGCCAGAGCCTCGGTTTCTCCATCTGCACATGAAACAGCCTGTCCCCAGGGGCCCCGCTGCCCCTGGAATCTGTGTGTGGGGTCAGATCTCTGCTCATTTCTCACTGTTATGAAGGGAGAAAGAACCGGCTTATGATCTAGGGCTAGGCCACAGGACATAAATCCCCAGGGAGCTTGTTCAAAATAAAGACCCCCAGTTCCCAGGGCCCTCCCTGCCTCCGGATTCTGATCCAGCAGCTCTGGGGTGCAGCCAGGGAATCCCGGGGAGCCTGTTGTTCAAGCAGACAGGAGTCACTGACACCATGGAGACTGGGACCAGGAGGCTGATGGGCCACACCCAAGGACTCCAGCTGGGCAGCAGCACAAAAGCCCAGTTACCTGTTAGAGAGAATTTCCTCCTCCTCACTTTGCAGATGGAGACGCCATTACCCAAAGAGAGAAACGGGCTTGGTCAAGGTCTCCAAGCAAGTCTACCCCAGGCTGGGAGGAGGACCACAAGGATCACTAGGCCACCAGCTGGGACCAATGCTGACACCACAGGGACATGCTGGACCCCGGTTCCCACCCCAAGCACCAACCCTGAGAGCCCACTTGGCCAACACCACCACAGGTCCCCTTACCCATATGCCCACGGCCACATTCAGAGCAAAATACACAGTGATGACGATGATGTCAGCCACGCTCAGCTGCGTCCCGGGAGTGTGGAGGTCGCTGGTGGAGTTGGCGGCCATGGCTGTCCTGCCGCAGGCACTAGGTATGAGCCCGAGGGACTGAGGGGCAAACCAGGTCAGAAAGGGTTTCCTGGCAGGGAGCTCATTGATCATTAAACCAAGCGGACAGTGGCATCTCCAGCCCATGATGTGGCTGCATGCAGGGCAGCTGCCTCACCATGCAGTTCAGCTTCCTCACCCCATGGTGGGGTGCAGATCCCAGAGCGCAGGAGTCAGGGAGCCTGGGAGAAGCAAGTGGGAGGAGGAAAGGAAGGAGCCTCCTTGAACTCGGAGGGGGCTTGGGGAAAATGAACCGCATTTAGTGGACCCGGAGGCAGCCCAAATAGTCCCAGAAAGGCTGGGTTGCTTAATGGGTGGCTTCACCTATATCTAATTTGTATAAGAAGCATAGAGCGTAGGGACAACCGCCTCACCTCTGAAGATACTGCCGTGGCGGGCAGCCATGTCCTCCCTTGGCCATCGGGCTGTGAGTGGACTGAGCAGGGCTTGGGAGGGGGACACCTGCATTATGGCTCACGTCCAGCCAACACAGCCCAGGCTCAGAGGCAGCCCCATGTCGGACAATAAAGTCCTGCTTCCAGCGTTTCTGCTTTCTTTTTCTAGACCCGTGAAACAGTCCCAGGCCCCTCAACTTGACCATGCATTCGGCCCCCACCCCGGGCAATGTCTGCCTGGGACCACAGAGGGACCCAATATCTGTCACACACCAAGGACCATGCGTGGCTGTTCTGCACATGATCCCATTTCACGGACCATGCGTGGCTGTTCCGCACATGATCCCATTTCACGCTCACAGCAGCCACGCAGAGTAGGCAATGTCTCATCCTAGTCAAGGAAATGGCCATCCGCCATTACGCAGCCATTGAAGGCGCAGAGTAGGATTCAGTGCAGATGTGGCCCCACCGTCTCCACCGCAGTGACAGTGACGAGTTCCATCTGGATTCCATCAGAGTGGGACGCTCGCTCACTAATTCTATCAGTGTACACAGCAGGGCTGGCCGGCAGTCTCACGCCTCTGCTCAGTGACATGACTCGTGACTTTGCAAAGCATTTGCAGTTTAACCAGACATGCAGCACTTCCAGAAGTGTTAATGAGTGAGCGGCTGCCACCAGGAACACGCTGGCCTGCAAACCCAGCCAGCCTGTTACTCAATAACCCTGAGGTGCGGGTAAAAATTAATCCCCTCGGCCAGGAGCAGTGGCTCATGCCCTTGGGAGGCTCATGCCTTTGGGAGGCCAAGGCGGGTGGATCACCTGAGATCAGGAGTTTGAGACCAGCCTGGCCAACATGGCAAAACCTCGTCTCTACTAAAAATACAAAAATTAGCCAGACATGGTGGTACGCACCTGTAATCCCAGCTACTTGGGAGGCTGAGGCAGGAGAATTGCTTGAACTCAGGAGGTAGAGATTGCAGTGAGCCAAGACTGCGCCATTGCAGTCCAGCCTGGGCAACAGAGGGAGACTCCATCTCACAAAACAAACAACAACAACAACAAAAAACAATTAATAGTCCTCACATACAGGACTAGGCAGAAGAAGGAAGGGAAAAAGGAAGTCACTGCTGAGAGAACCCTCAGGCAGGCTCAACTGCCTGCCGTCTCCCCTTGCCTCTGGCCAGCGAGCCTCAGATGGTGTTTACTTCCCAAGCCATTGCTTGCAATGTGTTTTAAAACAAAAGGCTGCTTTGCACTGATCAGGAGGACCCAGCTGGGAGGATCCAGACTTACCAAAACTATCCCATTAATAGAGTAGTTGTACCAGCAGCATTGGCTCTGAGACCGTTGGCTAGGTCTTAGAAGGAAATAAACCACTTAGTGATAACTGCCGCCTTTGGATCAAAAGTCCTTGGGATTTTTGCCACTGAGTTTAAATGGAAAAAAATGAAAAAAGAGAAAAAAAATCCTAGGGAAAGAAAGCACCAGTAAAGGTGCTCTTAAGGGGCTGAGACTGATTTGCTGGTTCTGTCCTGAAGGACGGGGACAGGAGGAGGGTGGCAGCGGAGGACATGGAGGGAGAAGTACCAAACAAGCCCAGCCATGTCTGCGGGAGAAGAAACGCCACCCGAAGCCCAGTCACACCCACATTCCCACCCCACCTGACCCAACGGGATCACCTATTCACTCACCCCAAGAAACATGAAGACCGTCCTAGCTGAGAAGTCATCCGTACCACACCCCTTGAAGCCTCTTCCATCCCCGGAAGAAGTCCCTCAGACTCATGAGAACCAGGAACGGGATGTGGAGGGGTCAGCAGAGCCTAAGCAGGACGACTGGAGCCATTTGTATCTTGTGTGTGGGGCATCTATGAGCTTATGAGTTTCTTTCTTAAGTGCTTCAGAATTGTGACCAAGGCATGACCAACCATGTGATGAGCTGGGCAGCACTGGAACGGACTGCACATGAGTGAAGGGAGCCCATGAAGGGAGCCCACGGTCATCTGCGGCAGCTTGCAGCGAATCCCTCCAGGGCCTCTCTCTGCCTGCCTGCCAAGTCTAGTTCCAGCTTATCTGTTGCTCCTGCTTTTGCAATAAGCACAAGACTGATCATTTATTCCTGCTAAGTATTGTCTGCTTGTCTGTCCTGATGGAGAAACTCCCCAAGAGTCCTAAGCTACAAGGGCAAGCGTGCTCAGGGCAGCCAAAAAGTTTAGAAATTTCCTACATAACCACCCAGAGAAGGTGGTGAGTGAATTATGAGACCTCCAAACCATGGAACACCATGACCATTAAAAAGATGAGGTGGCTTTATATAATGGCATGGAAGGATGATACACTTGTAAGTGAAAAAAGCAAGCTAGAGAATATAGACCCATATCCATGTTTATCCTCTCATTATATATAATGTAAGGGGCTGAACAGCCACAGTGTTTTGAAGGACACACACCAAACTGCTAAGGAGAGGAGAAAGGAGAATTATCACTTTATTTTATTTTATTTTTTTGAGACAATGTCTGGCTCTATTGCCCAGGCTGGAGTGCAGTGGTACAATCACAGCTCACTGCAGTCTCAGCCTCCTGGGCTCAAGGGATCCTCCTACCTCAGCCTCCTGAGTAGCTGGGACTACAGGCATGCACCACCATAGCCAGCAAAGTTTTGTGGGTATTTTTTTATAGCGACAGGGTCTCACCATGTTGCCCAGGCTGTTGTCAAACTCCTGGGCTCAAGCAGCCTTCCAAAGTGCTGGGATTACAGGCGTAAGCCACTGTGTCCGGCCCAAGTTATCACTTTTTATGCTTTGGTGTGGGCTGGGCTTTTTTGTAAGACCTCTGGCCTTGGCCTTGGTTTAGACCAGCAAGCTGGCCCCTAGGGGTGCCCCCGACCCTGCCTGGGCTCCCCTCACCAGCCAGGTCAAGCAGTTTCCTTCCACTGATACAGAGGCTCAAGGAGAGTGTTGCCAGGTGCTTTGTGAAGGGTGGTGGGTCCCAGACAACCATTTCCTGAATGCTCACCTGCCCACCTGTGCTGGGTACCTGCATCTGCATTGGTTGGTCACCTCCCCGCAGCCCTTCCAGGCGGCCTTCACTTCCCTCCACTCCGCTGCTCTGCTGGCCGAGCGCTGCATTCTCTCATCCAGGTACCCTCTTGACCACTCCCCTTGAGGGCTTCAGGTTTGAGAGTCCACCCTCCATCACTCCCCACCCAAACCCACCCTCCCCAAAGCTCAGTGGGCTCGGCTGGGACCCCAGGGGCCAGCCCACAGCTTCATCTTTACCATGGTTACAGACACCTACCGAGCAGTCACCATGTGCCCACGCATCGTCCACCCTCAACTCTCCCAACTCCTTGAGGGATGGAAAATCCGAGGCACAGAGAAACAGAGGAACTTGCTCAAAGTCACACAGCAACTAAGAGACAGAGGAGGACTTTGAACCCAAATTGTCCAGCTCTCGAATCTGCCCTTTTAACATTAAACTCCACCACCCAGCATGGCTCGTGACAGGTATTCAGTGGGAAGGAATGACCCCCCTCCTCCCCTGGGGTCCCAGCCAAGCCCACTGAGCTTTGGGTGAGGTTGGGTTTGTGCAGGGAGTGATGGAGGTTGGACTGTTAAGCCTCAGGCCCTCGAAGGGAGTGGTTGAGTGGGCACCTGGATGGGAGGACCCTGAGCTCAGCCGGCAGAGCAGCAGAGTGGAAGGGAAGTGAAGGCAGCCGGGAAGGGCTGCTGGGAGGTAATGGAACCGATGCAGACCAGGCGTCCAGCACAGGTGGGGAGGGACTGATCCCTGGCCTCCAGTCTTATCCTTTTGAATCTACTCACCACGCACAGTATGTCAGAACACCCTAAAAGCCTAACCCTGGACATGACACTCCTGTTTCAAACTTACCTTCAACAGCCTTTACTGCTCCAGAGATCAAGTGCAAGGCCTTGGGCTCGGCACCAGGGGCCCTGGAACCTGGCCCTCCCCCGACCCAGCTCCATCTTCTGCTGCCCTCAGTTCCTCCCTGGGTGTCCTCAAGTCCCCCTACCTCTCAGTCTGCTTGGTGAACTGCTACTCATCCTTCAAGACGGTACTGAGACATCACTGCCTCTCTGAAGCCTTCCTTGGCTCCTCCCTCTTCTGTGCATCCCTGGCCCTGCTGGGCTAGTGGCTGTGCTGCCACACGACACAGTAGTATCTGCCCCCACCCACCCGTCACCCCGCTCCTCCAGTGACCGGCACAGGGTCTACCCTTGCCACATCACTGCAAGAGGTCCAAGGAGCCCAGGCAACTGAGGAATCTTCAGATGCTGAGGCCCCTGAGGCCCTTCAATCCCAGAAACCTATTCTTTTTTTATCATTATTGAGGGAGAATGCATTTAACATAAAATCCATCATTTTAACCCCTTAAAGTACACCAGTCTGTGGTTTCCACCACCTTCACAACACTATGCACCCATCGCCATTACCTATTCCAACATTTTTCTTTTCTTTTTTTTTTTTCTGAGACAGAGTTTTGCTTTGTCACCCAGACTGGAGTGCAGTGGCGCAATCTCGACTCACTGCAACATTTGCCTCCTGGGTTCAAGCAATTCTCCTGCCTCAGCCTCCCGAGTAGCTGGAATAACAGGCACGCACCACCACGCCTGGCTAATTTTTGTATTTTTAATAGAGACGGGGTTTCACCGTGTTGGTCAGGCTGGTCTTGAACTCCTGACCTCAGGTGATCCACCAACCTCAGCCTCCCAGAGTGCTGGGATTACAGGCATGAGCCACTGCGCCCAGCCTATTCCAGCATTTTTCATCCTCTCCAATGAAACCTTGTACAAATTAAGCATCATCTTCATTCCCCCTCCCCAAGCCTCTGGCAGCCACCAATCTACTTTCCCTCTTTGTGGATTTGCCTTCTCTGGTGTTGTGGTATCATAGGTATGTAGGAGTTGCCTTCTCTGGTGTCGTGGTGTTATGTATACACACAGGTTTCCACCCTGGGTTCCTGACTCAACTCCACAGCCCTTGCTGCATTCTGTTGTTATCACATCTGGCATGTCAGGCCTCAGGAAACAGAATCTCTCTGACCTTCTCCTGCCTCCTCTCACCTGCCCCAAGGCGGCCTCTAATCTTCCCCTGTCTTTCTAATTGTGGGTCACATCATCCTCATTCCAGAGAGGGTCCTGCCCCACACCCTGGGGGAAGGAATGCTGATCTCAAGAAGCTTTCATAAAACCCAGGAGGACTAGGTCCAGAGAGCTGCCAGATGGCTGAACACGTGGAGGCAGGCAGGAAGGTGAAAAAGAACTCATCCCTGTCCTGGGAGGGTGGCAGGAAGGTGAAAAAGAACTCATCCCTGTCCTGGGAGGGTGGCAGGAAGGTGAAAAAGAACTCATCCCTGTCCTGGGAGGGTGGCACTCCCCAACTGCAGGAACAGAAGCTCCTGTGCTCAGGACCCTTCCAGATGTCACCCTGTGTCTCTCTTCATCTGGCTGTTTCTTTGTATCCTTTAAAATGCCCTTCACAATAAACCAGTAAGCCTCCTAAGTAAGTGTTTCCCTGAGTTCTGTGAGCCGCTCTAGCAAATTAATTGAATCCAAAGGGGGTCGATCGTGGGAACCCAACTTGAAGCTTGTGGGTCAGAAGTTCCAGAGGTCTGGACTGGTGGGAAAGGAAGAGTCAGCCTTGGGAACTGAGCCCTCACCCTGGGTAGATAGTGTTGGAATTGAATTGGAGGGCACCTTGCTGGTGTCTACTGCAGAACTGATTGCTTGTCTATTGATGGGGAGATGTCCCCACATTTGGTCACAGAAATCTTCTGCGTTTGTTGCAGTGTGAGAGCAAAGGTAAAACCCGGTTGGGAAATTTTTCCAAAACAGGTGTATTATGTAAGTGGCATCACACGATACATGGTCTTTTGTGTCTGAGTGCTTTCGCTGAGGATGTTTTCACGGTTCATCCATGTTGTAGTGCATGTCGGCGCTTCGCTCTGTCTTCTCACTGAATAATTGTCAACTGTATGTGTATGCCATAGTTCGTTTATCCATTCGTCGGTTGGATGGACATCTGAGTTTTTTCTACCTTTTGTCTATTGTGAATAAAGTTGCTATGAACATTGAGGTGAAAGTATCTCTTTGAGACCCTGCTTCCTTTTTAAAATTTTTTAAAATTAAAAACATTTGTTTTTGTTTTGTTTTGTTTTTGAGACAGAATCTCACTCTGTCACCTAGGCTGGAGTGCAGGAGCGCAGTCTAGGCTCACAGCAACCAACCTCCACCTCCCGGGCTCAGGTGATTCTCATGCCTCAGACTCCCAAGTGGCTGGGATTACAGGCTAAATTCTGTATTTTGAGTAGAGACAGGGTTTTGTCAGGTTGGCCAGGCTGGTCTCAAACTCCTATCCCCAAGTGCTCCACCACCCCAGCCTCCCACAGTGCTGGAATTACGGATGTGAGCCACCTCACCCAGCCAATTTTTTTCTTTTTTTACTTCTAATAGTACTTTGAAAGAAGCCCTACTTTCAATTCCTTTGGGCATATATTTATGAGTGGAATTGCTGGGTGGTATTCTATGTTAAACTTTGAGGATTGGCCAAACTGTCTTCCAGAAGAGCTGCACCATTTTACATTCCCACCAGCAACGCACTAGACCCCCAGTTTCTCCACATTCTCATGAACACTTGTTATTGTCCATTTTTACATTTTTTTTTTCAGTCAGAGTTTTACTTTACAGCCCAGGCTGGAGTGCAGTGGCACGATCTGGACTCACTGCAACTTCTGCCTCCTGGGCTCAAGGGATCCTCTTGCCTCAGCCCACCAAGTAGCTGGGACCACACGTGCATGTCACACACGCAGCTAATTTTTGTATTTCTGGTAGAGATGGAGTTTCACTGTGTTGCCCAGGCTGCATTTTGACATTATTATGATAGCCGTCCTAGTAGGCGTGAAGTAGCATTTCATTGTGGTTTTGATTTGCATTTCCCTAAGGACTAGTAATGTTGAACATCTTTTCATGTAATTGTTGGCTGTTGAAGGTATGTCTACCTTCCTTGGTAGAGAAATATCCTGACCCACACATGCATAGCCACTGCCATTATCAAAATCCCCAACCAAAAGTTGTTATGCTTGTTACAACTGATGAGCCTGCATTGATACATCTCCCAAAGCACATACATTACATTAGGGTTCACGCTTGGTGTTGTATTCTATGTGTTTGGATAAACATATACTGACATGCATCCACCACTATAATGTCATACAGAGTAGTTTCACTGCCCTAAAAGTCGCCTGCATTCTCCCTATCCTTCCCTCTCTCCTCCCTAACCCTTGGCAACCACTGATCATTTTCTGTTCCCACGGTTTTGCCTTTTCCAAAATGTCATATAGCTGTAATCAAACACTTTGTAGCCTTTTCAAAAGGCTTCTTTGACTTAGTCATCTGTATTTCTGTTTCCTCCATGTGTTCATGGCTTGGTAGCTCATTTCTTTTTAGCACTGAATAATATTCCATTATCTAGATACTATGATTTATTTATTCATTCACCTACTTAAGGACATCTACCAAAGTTTTGGTAATTATGAATAAAGCTGAATTCATAATGAGTAAACATCCATGCACAGGTTTTTGTGTGGACGTAAGTTTTCAACTCCTTTGAATAAATACTCAAGAGTAACTGCTGAATCATATGGTAAGTGTAAGCTTAGTTTTTATGCTTTTTAAAAAATTATTATTTTGCTCAGTTATCAGATGGAAAGGGATTCAAATATACTTGCATCAAAGCACATTTAGATTTGTAAGAAACTTCCAAACTGTCTTCCAAAGTAGCTATACCGGCCAGGCGCGGTGGCTCACGCCTGTAATCCCAGCACTTTGGGAGGCTGAAGTGGGAGGATCACCTGAGGTCAGGAGTTTAAGACCGGCCTGATCAACATGGAGAAACCCTGTCTCTACTAAAAATACAAAAATTAGCTGGGCCTGGGGCACGAGCCTGTAGTCGTAGTTACTCAGGAGACTGAGGCACAAGAATCATTTGAATCCAGAAGGTGGAGGTTGCAGTGAGCTGAGATTGCGCCACTGCATTCCAGCCTGGGCGACAGAGCAAGACTCCGTCTCAAAAAACAAACAAACAAACAAAAAACAACAGGCCGGTGCGGTGGCTCACTCCTGTAATCCCAGCACTTTGGGAGGCCAAGGCAGGTGGATCACCTGAGGTCGGGAGTTGGAGACCAGCCTGGCCAAGATGGTGAAACCTCTTCTCTACTAAAAATACAAAAATTAGCTGGGCATGGTGGCACATGCCTGTAATCCCAGCTACTCAGGACGCTGAGGCAGAATTGCTTGAACCAGGACCCGGGAGGCAGAGGTAGCAATGAGCAAGATCGTGCCACTGCACTTCAGCCTGGGCTACAGAGTGAGACTCTGTCTCAAAACAACAACAACAACAACAACAACAACAAAGTAGCTATACCATTTTGCATTCCCACCAGCAATGAATGAGAGTTCCTGTTGCTCCACATCCTCCCCAGCATTTGGCGTTGTCAGTGTTCTGGATTTTGGCCACTCTAATGGGCTTGCGGTGGTGTCTCTCTGTTGTTTGAATTTGCAATTCCATGATGACATATAATGTTGAGCATCTCACATGCTTATCTGCCATCTTTATATTTTATTCGATGATATGTCTGATCAGATCTTTCACACATTTTAAAATTGTTTTCTTATTTAATTTTTTTTCTTTTGCTTTGTTATTGTTGTTTTGGTTTTTTGACAGGGTCCTGCTCTGTTGCCCAGGCTGGAGTGCAGTGATGTGATCTCAGCTCACTGCAACCTGCACCTCCTGGGCTCAAGCAATCCTTCTACCTCAGCCTCCCAAGTAGCTGGGACTACAGGCGCCTGCCACCACGCCCAGCTAATTTTTTATATTTTCAGTAGAGATGGGGTTTCACCGTGTTAGCCAGGATGGTCTCGATCTCCTGACCTCGTGATCTGCCTGCCTCGGCCTCCCAAAGTGCTGGGATTACAGGCATGAGCCGCAGCACGTGGCCAGTTCTTTCTATATTTTGAACAACACTTCTTTATCAGATATGTCTTTGGGAACTATTTTCTCCCAGTCTGTGTCTTTTCATTCTCTTGACACTGTCTTTTGCAGAGCAGAATTTTTTTTTTTTTTTTTTTGAGATGGGGTCTCACTCTGTCACCAGGGTTGAAGTGCAGTGGCTCAATCTCGGCTCACTGTAACCTCTTCCTCCCTAGCTGAAGCCATCCTCCCACATCAGCACCCCTAGGTAGCTGGGACCACAGGCATGCACCACCATGCCCAGCTAATTTTTTTTTTTCATATCTTTGGTAGAGACAGTGTTTTTCCTTGTTGCCCAGGCTGATCTCAAACTCCTGAGCTCAGGTGATCCACCCACCTCAGCCTCCCAAAGTGCTGGGATTACAGGCATCAGCCACCATGCCCGGCTGCGGATCGGAAATGTTTAAATTTATGAGGTCCAGCTTATCAATTCTTTCCTTTATCAGTTGTGGCTTTGATGTTGTATCTGAAAAGCATCACCAAATCCAAATTCATCTAGATTTTCTCCTATGTTGTCTTCCAAAAGTTTTACAATTTGTGTTTTACATTTAGGTCCATTTTGAGTTAACTTTTGTGAAAAGTGTAAGGTCTATGGTTCATCTTTTTTTTTTGTATGTGGATGTCCAGTTGTTCCAGCACCATTTGTTAGAAACACTTTTCTCCATTGTACTACCTTTTCTCTTTTGTAGAAGATCAATTGACTATATTTATGTGGGTATATTTCTAGGCTCTCTATTGTGTTTTATTTTGTTGTTGTTTTGTTTTGTTTTTGATTTTGATTTTGTTTTTTTTTGGGGACGAAGTTTCGTTCTTGTTCCCCAGGCTAGAGTGCAATGGTGCAGTCTCAGCTCACTGCAACCTCTGCCTCCCAGGTTCACGCGATTCTCCTAGGCTGTCATTTTCAAGTATAAAAATTTAGTGTTCCATCGGCCGAGGTGGGCAGATCACAAGGTCAGGAGATCGAGACCATCCTGGCTAACATGGTGAAACCCTGTCTCTACTAAAAATACAAAAAAATTAGCTGGGGGTGGTGGCAGGTGCCTGTTGTCCCAGCTACTCGGGAGGCTGAGGCAGGAGAATGGCGTGAACCCAGGAAACGGAGCTTGCAGTCAGCCGAGATTGCGCCACTGCACTCCAGCCTGGGGGGACAGAGCCAGACTCCGTCCCCCCTCAAAAAAAAATTTAGTGTTCCATTACCCAATCTGTGCAGAAGACATAGCTACAAGCTCAAGTCATGTGAACTTATTCCTTCTTTCATGTTCTTTCTTTCTTTATGTAGATCCAAATTTCTGATCTGTATTGTTTTCCTCCTTTCCTTAAAAAAATTGATGGCCAGGCACGGTGGTTTACACCTATAATCCCAGCACTTTGGGAGGCCAAGACGGGTGGATTGCTTGAGCACAGGAGTTTGAGACCAACCTGGGCAACACGGAGAAACCCTGTCTCCACAAAAAATACAAAAAAAATTAGCCAGGCGCCGTGGCAAGTGCCTGTAGTCTCAGCTATTCAGGAGGCTGAGGTGGAAGGATCCTTGAGCCCAGGAGGCGGAAGCTGCAGTGAGCCAAGATCGTGCCACTGCACTCTAGCCTGGGCAACAGAGTAGTGTGACCCTGTCTCAAAAAAAAGAAAAAGAAAAAAAAGAATTTATTTATTACAAGACAGGTCTACTGGCAATAAATTCTCTCAATTTTTGTTTGTCCGAGAAAGTATTTCTCCTTCAAATTTGAAGGATATTTTCACAGCGTACAGAATTCTAGGTTGGTAGTGTTTTTCTCTCAACACTCAAATATTTCACTCCACTCTTCCTTCTTGCATGATTTCTGAGGAGACACATGTAATTTTTATCTTTGCGTCTCTATAGGTAACATGATTTTTTCCTCTGACTTCTTTCAGATTTCTTTCTTTTCCTCTGACTTCTTTCAGGATTTTTCCTTTATCTTTGATTTCCTGTAGTTTGAAAATGTCACACTTATGTGCAGAGTTTTTGTTTCGTTTCATTTGTCATTTATCCTGCTCAGTGTTCTTTGACCTTCTTGGATCTGTGGTTTGGTGTCTGACACTGATTTGAGGAAACTTGCAGTCCAATATTTCTTCTCTTCCTGTCTCTCTTTTCCTTCTGCTATTCCCATTTACATGTATGTTACACCTTTTGTAATTGCTCCACATATTCTGGTGTTTTTTTTTTTTTTTTTTTTTTTGTCTTTGTTCTCTTTGCTTCTCAGTTTTGGAGGTTTCTATTAAGATATCCTAAAGCAAGGCCAGGCGCTGTGGCTCACACCTGTAATTCCAGCACTTTGGGAGGCTGAGGTGGGCGGATCACCTGAGGTCGGGAGTTCGAGACCAGCCTGACCAACATGGAGAAACCCTGTCTCTACTAAAAATACAAAAATCAGCTGGGCGTGATAGCGCGCGTCTGTAATCCCAGCTACTTGGGAAGCTGAGGTGCGAGAATTGCTTGAGCCTGGGAGGCGGAGATTGCAGCGAGCCGAGATCGTGCCGCTGCACTCCAGCCTGGGTGACAGAGTGAGACTCCATCTCAAAAGAAAAAAAAGAAGATATTCTAAATCTCAGAGATTCTCTGCTTAGTCATGTTCAGACTACTCATACGTCTATCAAAGGCATTCTTCATTTCTGTTACAGTGTTTTTATCTGTAGCATTTTTTTTATTGTTCTTAAGATTTCCACCTTTCTGCTTTCATTGCCCGTCTGTTCTTGCATGCTGTCTGCTTAACGAGAACCCTTGGCATTTTAATCATAGTTAGTTGTTTTAAATTCCTTGGCCGGGCATGGTGGCTCAGGCCTGTAATCCCAACACTTTGGGATGCTGAGTCGGGCAGAAGATCACCTGAGGTCAGGCATTCGAGACCAGCTTGGCCAACATGGTGAAACCTGTCTCTACTAAAAATACAAAAATTAGCCCGGCATGGTGTCGCACACTTATAATCCCGGCTACTCAGGAAGCTAAGGCAGGAGAATCACTTGAACCTGGGAGGCGGATGCTGCGGTGAGCCGAGATCATGCCACTGCACTTCAGCCTGGGTGACAGAGCAAGACCCTGTCTAAAAAAAAAAAAAAAAAAATTCCATGTCTGGCCAGACACAGTGACTCACACCTGTAATCCCAGCACTTTGGGTGGCAGAGGTGGGCAGATCACATGAGGCCAGGAGTTCAAGATCAGCCTGGGCAACTTGGTGAAACCCCATCTCTACTAAAAATACAAAAATTAACTGGGCATAGTGGTACACGCCTGCAATCCCAGCTATTCGGGAGGCTGAGGCACAAGAATCATTTGAACCCAGGAGGCAGAGGTTGCAGTGAGCCGAGATCACGCCACTGCACTCCAACCTGGGTGACAGAGTGAGACTCTGTCTCAAAAAAAAAAAAAAAAAAAATTCCCTATCTGATAATTTCAGCATCCCTTGTGCCAGGTCTGGTTCTAATGCTTGCTCTGTCTCTTTGAACTGTTCTTTGCTTTTTAACATGCCCTGTAATTTTTTTCTTGATAGCTGGAAGTAATGTACTGGGTAAAAGGAACTGCTACGTAAATAGGCCTTTAGTGATGTGGTGGTGAGGTGTAGGGGGAGGTCCTACAATTAGGTCTTTTCTGATGACCCTGTGCCACTGGACTGTGAATGTCACCGAGCTTTTCTCAGATTTTCTTCTCTACCCTTAGGTAGGAAAGGATGGCGAGAGTAGGCTGGGATTGGGTACTATCCTTCTCCCACATGGTTGGCTAGGGTGAGCTTTAGTTGAGTATTTCTCTTCTCCCACGTGGAAAGTTAGAGCTGACTAGAATTAGGTTTTACCCTTCTCCTAGTTCAGTTAGGCTCTGATAAAACCCCAGAATGTTAGGCTCTGGTTAACTAGCTTCTCCTGAGGGCAGAGTTTGTCAAGAGGAGCACAGTGCTCTGAAGCTTTCAGAATGATTCCTATTTCCGTCTCCCTGCTGGAAGCTCAAGGGGATTCTTCTTGAGAAGGTAAAATTCACAAAAGTATGGGGTCCTCATATGAGGGAGTCCCCCTGAAGTTTTTAACTCTCAGACTTGTTCTCACCTAGCCTCTAACAATTTGTTGATTACAGTTCAGGTTTCCTAACTCTGGCACCGGTTCCTATAAAGACTTCTGTACATTGTTCTCAATGTTTGCATTTCTGTCTCTGATTATGGGAGCAGTGGTTTGCCCTGTGACCTCACTTCTCATATGGCTCTAACAAAGTAGAGTTGATTTTTCAGTTTGTTGAGCTTTTTACTTGTTGTAGGATGGAGTTTCAACTCCCAAGCTTTTTACATGTGGAACTGAAATTTACTAAGAAGAAATTCACAAAACATAAAATTAACATTTTAAAGTGAATAATTTAGTCAGGCGCTGTGGCTGACACCTATAATCCCAGCACTTTGGGAAGCTGAGGCGGGAGGATCACTTGAGCCCAGGAATTTGAGACCAGGCCGGACAATATGACAAAACCCTGTCTCTACTAAAAATACAAAACTTAGCTGGGCGTGGTGGCACATGCCTGTGGTCCCAGCTACTCGGGAGGCTGAGGAGGGAGGATCGCTTGAGCCTGGGAGGTGGAGGCTGCAGCGAGCTGTGATTGCATCACTGCACTCCAACCTGGGTGACAGTGAGACCCTGTCTCAAAAACTAAATAATAAAATAAAAAGTGAGTAATTTAGTGGCATTTAGTGCATTCACAATGTTGTGCACTCACCACCTCTATCTAGTTCCAAAACATTTCTGTCACTCCAAGAGAAAATCCTGTGCCTATTAAGAAGTTTCTCCCTGGCTAGGTGCGGTGACTCACACCTGTAATCCCAGCACTTTGGGAGCCTGAGGTGGGCAGATCACGAGGTCAGGAGTTTGAGACCAGCCTGGCCACTATGGTGAAACCCTGTCTCTACTAAAAATATAAAAAATTAGCCAGTTGTGGTAGCATGCTCCTGTCATCCCAGTTACTTGGGAGGCTGAGGCAGGAGAATTGCTTGAACCCAGGAGGCAGAGGTTGCAGTGAGCCTAGACTGTACCACTGCACTCCAGCCTGGGCAACAGAGCAAAACTCTATCTCAAAAAAAAAAAAGAAAAGAAGTTTCTCCCTATAACCCACTCTATCCCCTGGATCAGGGGTCCCCAACCCCCAGGACCACGGGCCGCACAGCAGGAGGTGAGCGGCAGGCAAGCCATCATTACTGCCTGAGCTCCACCTCCTGTCAGATCAGTGGCAGCATTAGATTCTCATAGGAGCAAGAACCCTATTGTGAACTGTGCATGCGAGGGATCCAGGTTGCACACTCCTTATGAGAATCTAATGCCTGATACCTGAGGTGGAGCAGTTTCATCCCCAAACCATCCCCAACCCCTTGCCCCAATCTGTGGAAAAGTCGTCTTCCATAAAACCAGCCTCTGGTGCCAAAAAGACTGGGGACCACTGCCCTGGATAACTACACATCAGCTACATATCTATCTACTCATCCCCTGATAACTACATATATGCTTTCTGTTTTTATGGATTTGGCTATTCTGGATATTTTATATAAATGGAATCACACAATATGTGACCTTCTGTGTCAGGTTAATTTCACTTAGCATAATGTTTTAGAAGCTTGTGCACGTTGTAACTCATACAGTAATCTATTCCTTTTTATTCTATGTAAATACTGTTTTTTGTTTTGTTTTGTTTTGTTTTTTTGAGACAGGGTCTCACTCTGTTGCTCAGGCTGGAGTGCAGTGGTGCTATCTTGGCTCACTGCAACCTCCGCCTCCCAGGTTCAAGTGATTCTCCCATTTCAGCCTCCCAAGTAGCTGGAACTACAGGTTGGTGCCACCACACCTGGCTAATTTTTTTTTTTTTTTTTTGGTAGAGATGAGGTTTCAACCATGTTGTCTAGGCTGGTTTCAAACTCCTGACCTCAAGTGATCTGCCCGTGTTGGCCTCTCAAAGTACTAGGATTACAGGCATTAAATACTAAGATTTGTTTATTCATCCATTGATGGACATTTGAGATTCCACAATTTGGTGATTGTGAATAGTGCATCTGAACATGTATGTCCATGTACTTATTTGGGTATCTGTTTGTAATTTTTTTTGGAATATACCCAGGAGCAGAATTGCTGGGTCATCTGGTAATTTTATGTTTAACTTTTTGAGGAACCGCCAGACTGTTTTCCACAGCAGCTGCATCATTTTACCTTTCCACCAGCAGTGTATGTACGAAGGCTCCAATTTTTCCATATTCTTGCCAATACTTGTTTTTGTTTGTTTGTTTGTTTTACAAGGCAGGGTCTCACTATGTTGCCCAGGCTGGTCTCAGACTCCTGGGCTCAAGTAATCCTCCCACCTCAGCCTCCTGAGTAGTTGGGACTACAGGTGTGCAACACTGCAAGTGGTGCCAACACTTGTTATTTCTGGTTTTGTTTGTTTTGTAGCATAACCATTCAAATGGGTATGAAGTTGTAACTCATTGTGGTTTTTGTTTGTACTATCTATAATGACTAATGATGTTGAGCATCTTTCCATTTAGATATATTTTTTGTATGAATGCCTGTATATCTTTTTGTTCTTTTTTTTTTTTTTTTTTTTTTGAGACTGAGTCTCACTCTGTTGTCGTGTCTTGGCATAATCTCAGCTCACTACAACCTCTGCCTCCTGGGTTCAAGCGATTCTTGTGTCTCAGCCATTGAGTAGCTTGAATTACAGGCGTGCACCACCATGCTTGGCTAATTTTTGTATTTTTAGTAGAGACCGGGCTTTTCCACGTTGGCCAGGTTGGTCTCGAATTCTGGGCATCAAGTGATTCACCCATAGCCTCTCAAAATGCTGGGATTACAGGCATGAGCCACCATGCCAAGCCTGTATATCTTTTTGTATATCTTTCTTTGTGGGAATGCCTATTCAAATCCCATTTAAAACATGTTTTTGGGCCAGGCGCGGTGGCTCACTCCTGTAATCCCAGCACTTTGGGAGGCCGAGGCAGGCAGATCACAAGGTCAGGAGTTCGAGACCAGCCTGACCAACATGGTGAAACCCCGTCTCTACTAAAAATACAAAAATTGGCTGGGCGTGGTAGTGCATGCCTGTAATCCTAGCTACTCAGGGGGCTGAGGCAGCAGAATCGCTTGAACCCAGGAGGCAGAGGTTGCAGTGAGCCAAGATCACGCCAATGCACTCCAGCCTGGGCAACAGAGCGAGACTCTGTCTCAAAAAAAAAACAAACATATATATATATATGTATTTTTTTTTTGGCCAGGTGCAGTGGCTTACACCTGTAATCCCAGCACTTTGGGAAGCTGAAGTGGGCAGATTGCTTGAGCTCATGAGTTCAAGACCAGCCTGGGCAACATGGTGAAACCCCATTACTACAAAAAATACAAAAAATTAGCTGGGCATGGTGGCACATGCCTGTAGTCCCAGCTCCTCAGGACGCTGAGGTAAGAGGATTGCTTGAACCCAGGAGGTCGAGACTGCAGTGAACTTAGATCATGCCACTGCACTCCAGCCTGGGTGACAGAGCCAAAACTTGTCTCAAAAAATAAATTGGTTTTTTATCTGTTTGTTGTAGAATTGTACATTTATATATCCTGAATAAGACCTTTATCAGATATATAATTTGAAAATATTTTCTTCTACTTTTAGATTGTCTTTACACTATCTTGATAGTGTCCTTTGGTGCCCAAAAGTTTTAATTTGATGAAATCCAGTTATCTATTATTTATTTTGTTGCTTGTGCTTTTGGTGTCATATCTAAGAATCCTTTGCCAACCCGAAGGTCATGAAGATTTATCCCTGTGTTTTATTCTAAAAGTTTTATAGTTTTAGCCCTTCATTCTTTGTGTATGGATTTTTAGTTGTCCTAGTACCATTTGTTAAAAACACCATTCTTGGCTGGATGCAGTGGCTCACACCTGTAATTCCTGCACTTTGGGAGGCTGAGCGGGGTGGATCACTTGAGGTCAGGATTTCGAGACCAGCCTGGCCAACATGGCAAAACCCCGTCTTTACTAAAAATACAAAAATTAGCCAGGCGTGGTGGTGCATGCCTGTAGTCCCAGCTACTCGGAAGGCTGAGGTACAAGAATTGCTTGAACCCGGGAGGCAGAGGTTGCAGTGAGCCGAGATAGTGCCAGTGAGTCAAGATCGCGCCACTGCACTACAGCCTGGGCAACAGAGTGAGACTCTGTCTCAAAACAAAACAAAAAATGAAAAAGAACCCCCCAAAATCACCGTTCTTTTTCCTGCTGAGATCTTGGCACCTTTGTTGAAAATCAATTGACTATAGTATTTATTTCTGAACTCTTGATTCTACTTCATTGGCTTATATGCCTCTCCTTATGCCAGAACTACACTGTTTTTGATTGGTATAGCTTTGTAGTTAAGTTCTGAAATCAAGAAGTGCAAGTCCTCAAACTTTGTTCTTTTTCAAGACTGATTTGGCTATTTGAGGCCCTTGGTGATTGCATATGAATTTTAGGATGGGCTTTTCTATAGCTGCTAAAAAATGCCATTGGGATTTTGATAGATATTCACACTGAATCTGTAGGTTGCTTTGGAGTATTGCATCTTAACGATATTAAGACTTCCAACCTGTGATCGTGGGATGTCTTCCTATTTAGCTCTTCTTTAATTTCTTCCAACAATGTTTTATAAAGTACACAATACATACAACATAAAATTTAGCATTTCAGACTTTTTTTTCTTGAGATAGAGTCTCACTCTGTCACCAGCATGGAGTACAGCGGTGTGATCTCTTTCCTTATTGATCTTTTGTCTGGTTGATCTGTTAAAAGTAGGTGTTGAATTCTACAACTTTTTTTTGAGATGGGGTCTTGCTCTGTTGCCCAGGTTGGAGTGCAGTGGCACGATCTCGGCTCACTGCAACCTCCATCTCCCAGGTTCAAGCGATCCTCCCTCCTCAGCCTTAGAGGTAATAAACAGTGAGAGCCAAAAGATTAATGTCCCTGGCACACAGTGTGGTGGAACTGGTATGTGTCCATCCACTCATGCCCTTTAGTGGCATCCTGTGTTCTTGATGCCTCGAGAGCATTGCTTTAACCACGAGTCTGTCAAGTGATGACGTCACAGTCAGAACTGGAAACGATCAGCCTGTTTTCTGTCATAGAATTTCTGGGTTCACTTCCCCATTATCTCTGGCCACAGAGATTGTCTCTGTCTCTAGCAAAGACAGTAGTCTAGAGGGTAAATGGCTTCTCTGGCCAAAGAAAAGCCTACAACACACGGAGAAACTGTATCTGGGGCCTCCTCTAGACAGGGAAGAGGATGGCTGAGGGGTTTGGGTGTCCTTACTGGGCACTCCTGAAGCCCTGAGAGTCCCCCAGCACTCCCCACCACACCACAGAACCTGACTTGCCCCTTGAAGGCTTCCATCCTCCTGCCCCAGCCCGGCGGGCCAGGACGTGGCACTCCACTCTCCTCCACCATCATCTGCCAGTTGTCTTTCCTGGGCCTCAGCCCTGTCAGCCATCCCCTGGCACATGCCCCACCCGTGGCTCCTCCCAGCACTCATCTTCATGTTCTTCCAGAGCCAACTCAGGGCAGACCTTCGAGTCTCTGTGGGTGTGAAGGATCCTAGCTTTAGCCAAGTTCATTACCCAGAGGAAAACACTCCCATAAAACATGTTTCCATTCACTTCTGTAAATATGACTTTTCTTCATGAAGGATGACATGCCAAGAAAAACCAGAGGTCAAAGCTCACTGGACACAGTGGCAGGAGGAAACCTCCCACTGAAGGAGCTTGAGAGCCCACTGCATCTCCAAGGAACCCAGAGCAGAACCTGTCCTCCGTGCTAGTGCAGCACCACCATTCCCAAACCATGGGAGGGCCACTGTGCCAGCACAGCCACCCCAGGGGATGCCCCATGGCTGTTCAGGAAGTGCCTGTCACTTGTTATAAAGCCAAACCACATGGCAACTTCAACCGTCATCTATAGTAGCAAATGGTTAGGCAGCATCCAAACGGCAGAAGGTAAGAAAAAACCCAAACCCATCAGAGGCTGGAGCTGTGAGATTTACTGAAGCCTCTTCAGCTCATTTCACAGCAACAGTGGGAGGTCCTGGCACCACAGGCAGGCTCCACTCTCATGGGTGGTGACACCTTGCTCCCAAAGCTCTTCTTCCAAATGTGGAAACTGGGTGGTCTCCAGCCTGCAACTGACAGAGCTGCACTGGCAAAGAAGCCACCAGCTACCATCCCATGCCCTAAGCCAATTCATTCCGAAGATCGAGAGGCCCCATTTCTAGGGACAGGTTCACAGAAAGCAAGGACACTTCTTCAAAGTAAATAGCTCTATCATTAACTGGATTTGGAAACTTGGGGAGAGAATGAACACCTTTCCCTCAAAGCTGTTTCCTCAAGTAAACTAGGTGTGAGGGGTGGCACTGCTGAGTGTGCAAGAGCCCACGGAACACTTGGGCAGCTTCCAGAAGCAGAGCCCTTGGTGCTTCTGCACAAACAAGGCCCTGGCCTACTGGGGCAAGCCCTCGGGCCACGCTGCTCTCTGTGGAGCACAGAGAAGGCCAGCGTGGCTGGTGACTGATCCTAATTTTGTGCTAAATAAACTATTTTATTCCAGATTCTAACACAGACAAGCAGAAAGCAAAGGTTTAAGGTGTTTGGGGAGGAAGAAAAATTAGTTTTTATGAGCAAGTCTACATATTCCTCCATAAGTCAGGCTGAGTGGGAGGACAGGGGTGTGTAAACCCCAGTGCCAGTGCTCCAGGGGAGGCCACTCCAATGGACTCTGGGGAAGCTCAGGGTCCTAAACTCTAAAGACAGATGAGGCCGGGCGCAGTGGCTCACGCCTGTAATCCCAGCACTTTGGGAGGCCGAGGCGGGCGGATCACGAGGTCAGGAGATTGAGACCATCCCGGCTAAAACGGTGAAACCCCGTCTCTACTAAAAATACAAAAAATTAGCCGGGCGTAGTGGCGGGCGCCTGTAGTCCCAGCTACTTGGGAGGCTGAGGCAGGAGAATGGCGTGAACCCGGGAGGCGGAGCTTGCAGTGAGCCGAGATCCTGCCACTGCACTCCAGCCTGGGCGACAGAGCGAGACTCCGTCTCAAAAAAAAAAAAAAAAAAAAAAAAAAGACAGATGATATTAGACCCTTGACAGCAACAAGGGTCATGTCACTTGCCCTTTGGGATGCATCCCCCAGCATCTCATCTCCCTAGAGCATGATGGAGAACAGCCAGCCACGGAAGAGAGGCAAAGCCACACCAAGACCAATGGCAGATGGTGACCACTGGCTTCTCTGCTGCCTGTGGCCTTGCATGCTGAGATTCCAGCTCCTCCCCCTCCTCAATCAAATGACTACACATCGGGAACTTTCAGGGCCTTGGACAAATTGTCAGAACAGAGGATATCACATCTCTGAGAGGCTACTGCATCCCCCACAAAGCTGCAGAAGAGAAAACAAGCTGATGAACATTTCAACATTCACAGCGTGTAGATTTAGCTTTCATTTTATTTTAGTTATAAAACGATTGCCAAAACACAAAGTTTTAGAAAAACACACAAACACAAGTTTTTATTCCTTTTTTAGTTGCAGAAAATAAATACAATCACATATTCCATATGCTTGTCTACAAAAGCATCTCTAAAAATGTCATTTACTGGACTTGACAGTATAATCTTTTCGGCTTTTCAATTGCAGGTATCATACAGATCATTTTATTTTATTAACTTTTTAAGCACTTGGCTCAAGCAACTTTGGAAGAAGGCTTTGTGAGCTTACAAATCTTATTCCAAGTGTTATTTTTTAAACAGTTACAACTAAAACGAGGTCTTACCTTTTCAAAAGAGGAGAATAAAGTTTTTCTTTTATAAAAATTGCTCCCCAAACTCACAAACACCCAAACCGACATAAAAAGTTGGTCTATCTTCTTAGGAATCAATAAGAAGTGAGGTTACAGGGGAGAGGGAGGAACAAGCATGACGGTTCCTGTGAAATCCATCCCACCGAGCAGTCACTCTTATGTTTCCAGTTTGGCCCTCGGGAGTTTTCCTAAAGGAAAACTCAGTCATCTAAGCCTATGTTTCTGAAAAGGTAGGACATGGACTCCCCATTGTGGATCCGACGGATCGCCTCTGAAAGGATCATGCTGATATCCACAGTTTTAATCTTGGGGCACTGGAGCTTCTGGACTTCATGTGGAATTGTATTGGTGACCACCACCTGTGAAGCAAAAGAAAAAAAACCACAGCATCAGAAAGCCAAGTAGCTTCATGGTTTGATCTGGAAATGTGACAGCTTCTCAAATCTGAGGCTTGCCACGACAGGAAAACACAGTGGATCTATGTCTCAAGTCAATGTTTCAATTATTTATTTATTTATTTATTTTTAGACGGAGTCTTGCTCTGTCGCTCAGCCTGGAGTGCAGTGATGCCATCTCAGCTCACTGCAAGCTCTGCCTCCTGGGTTCATGCCATTCTCCTGCTTCAGCCTCCCAAGTAAGCTGGGACGACAGGCGCCCGCCACCACGCTCAAGTAATTTTTTTGTATTTTTAGTAGAGACGGGGTTTCACCGCGTTAGCCAGGATGGTCTCGACCTCCTGACCTCATGATCCACCGGCCTCGGCCTCCCAAAGTGCTGGGATTACAGGCGTGAGCCACCGCGCCCAGCCTGTGTTTCTTAGGTTAAGATTTGATAACCTCACACCCACTAGGATAGGTATGGCAAAAAAGATAATAACAAGTACTGGAGGGATGCAGAGAAACTGGAGCCCCCCCCCAACTCACGGCTGTGGGAATGTAAAATGGCGCAGCTGCTTTGAAAAACAGTCTGGCAGCTCCTTGAAAGTTTAAACATGAAGTTACTGTATGACCTGGCAGTTCTAAACCTAGGTACGTATCCAAGAGAAGAGAAAACACATGTCCACACAAAAACTTGTACACAAATGTTTACTGCAGCACCATTCATAAGTTAAAAAGTAGAAAAAAAATTTTTTCTATCAACATGAAATACGAAGAGAGAGACAAAATGTGGACTATCCATGTAACACAGCATTATTTGATCATAAAATGAAGTATTGATTCATGCTCCAACATGGATGAACCTTGAAAATATTATGTTGAGTGAAGACAGCCAGACACAAAAGACCACACATTGTATAATCTCATTTATATGAAATGTCCAGAACAGGCAAATCTAGAGAGACAGAAAGCAGATTAGTGGTTCCCAGGGACTAATGGCAGTGAGAGAAAATGTGAAGTGACAGCTAATGGGTATGGGGTTCCTTTCTAGGAAGAAGAAAATGTTCTAAAACCAACTATGGTAATGACTGCACAACTCTGAACATTCTAAAAACCAATGAGTTGTACACATTATTATTATTATTATTATTATTATTATTATTTGAGACAAGAGTCTCATTCTGTCACCCAGGCTGGAATGCAGTGGCACAATCTCGGCTCACTGCAGCCACTGCCCTCTGGGTTCCAGTGATTCTCTTGCCTCAGCCTCCCAAGTAGCTGGGATTACAGGTGTGTGCCACCACGCCCGGCTAATTTTTGTATTTTTAGTAGAGACGGGGTTTCACCCTGTTGGCCAGGCTGGTCTCCAACTCCTGACCTCAGGTAATCCACCTGCCTCGGCCTCCCAAAGTGCTGGGATTACAGGCGTGAACCACTGCACCCAGCCCTTGAATCGTTTCTCAGCCACAAAAGATCTCAGTCTTGTCCTGACTCTCTGTAACTAAAGATCAAGATGTGCCAAAAGCCCAGGCAGCTGTACCCACACACACCCAGACCCTGTTACCTCATCAATGGCAGACTCTTCAATCCGCCGGGGGGCGTCAGAAGACAACAAGCCATGAGTTGCCATCACAAAGATCTTATATGCACCTCTTTCCTTCAGGGTCTCTGCTGCAGCAAGAAAGCTGTCAACATCATCAATGATGTCATCCTGCCAAAGCACAGATGGAAAAGAATGTATATGAGCACTTCTACAATAATAGGTTAGACAACCAGGAAAAAAAAAGGGTCTGCCTACATTTACCGTGAAAAATCTGCTCTTCCACTTGGCCTTGTGCAGACGGCATGGCCCCATGTCCCCATCACCGTGCCCCATGGCAGCCCTCCAGTACTTTCACACGAGCCTCTTCCTGCACAGCACCTGCCACTATTGGAGCTATCTCCCACCACACTCCAGGCTCCCAGGGGTAGCACTGTTTTCTGCACCATAACTGGCCAACATTGTGCTGTCACAATGCAGGTCACACCAGAAATGATGGAGGTATAATTTTCTTTTTTTGTTTTTAATGCACAGAAAAAGTGTTAAAAGATGTTTTTGACTCTGGGTAATAGAATTATGGGTGCCTCTTTCCCCCCACTTCTTCTTGCTACTTTCCTTATTTCCAAATTTTCTCCACTGAGCATATGGGAAATATGTTTTTTTACATGTTATTACAATGGAAAAAATAATAATGATTATTGTTTTTAATAATAAAATACCCAGTTCAGTGGTTTCCAATCTAGAGACTAGATTCCCAGGCTCCCAGAGTTATTTTAAACCCATTATGGCATCAAACGTTGTCTAGAGTTGAATAAATATTCGTGTCTTTATTTTACATACATATTATTACTCTTTAATTGCATACTGATGTTACTATGATCAAAAATATACATATAAAGGCCAGGCGTGGTGGCTCATGCCTGTAGTCCCAGCACTTTGGGAGGCTGAGGTGGGAGGATTGCTTGAGCTCAGGGGTTCAAGACCAGCCTGAGCAACATGACGAAACCCAGTCTCTACAAAAACAGAAAAGCAAAAATTAGCCATGCATGGAGGTACGCACCTGTAGTCCTAGCTACTTGGGAGGCTGAGGCAGGAGGATTGCTTTAGCCAGGAGGTAGAAGTTGCAGTGATCTGTGATCAAGCCACTGCACTCCAACCTGGGCAGCAGACCCAGACCATACCTCAAAAAAAATACATACACACACACACACGCTACTTTAAAAGTCCTACTAGTAAAATGGTACAGCCACTTTGGAAAACAGTTTGACAGTCTCTTATAAGAGTATATCTGCAACTACCATGCAAACCAACAACTGCATTTGTAAGTGCAATTATCCCAGAGAAATTAAAACTCTGTTCACACAAAAACCTATACATGAATGTACATAGCGAGTTTTATGTATAATAGCCCCAACCTGGAAATCATCCAAATGTCCTTCAACAAATAAACTCTGGTACCTCTATACCATGGGATACTGCCCAGCAATAAAAAGGAATAACATATTAATATACAAAACAACCTGGATGGATCTCAGGGGAATCATGGTAGGTTAAACAAAACTCAAAAGGTTATATACCATAGATTCCATTTATATGACATTCTTGAAATAATAATTAGAAAGACAGGGGACAGATCAGTGGTTGCCAGTGCTGTGGCTTGAATGTTTTTGTCCCTCCAAAATTCATGTGTTGGAAACTTATTCCCCAGTGCAACAGTGTTGGGTGGTGGGGTCTTTGGGAAAGTGTTTAGGTTGTGAGGGATCCACCATCAGGAATGAATTCATGTCGCTATAAAAAGGCTTGTGGGAGTGGGTTAACCTCTTTCCTGGCCTTCTGAAGGAAAGTTCATTCCTTTTTGTCCTTCTGCCTTATGCCATGTGAGGACACAGCAAGAAGGCCCTCACCAGACCAAATGCTGGTGCCATGATTTGGACTTACAGCCTCTAGAGCTGTTAGAGAATAAATTTCTTCTATTCTTTATAAACAACCTAGTCTCAGGTGTTACAGCAGCACAAAGTGGACAAAGACACAAGGGGTTGCAGATTGGGTGGGAAGGATGTCAGTGTAGCTATGAAAGGAAGCATGAGGGTGCCTTGCAGTGAAGGAGCAATTCTGTGTCCTGACTGTGGTGGTGGTTCCACAAAGCTACCCATGGTAAGACTGCATTCACAAACACAAACACACACACACACACACACACACACTCACACTCACTACATGCACAACTGGTGCTGTCTGAAGGACCTCTGTGGCTGTGGCACCGAGAATTTTCAGTCTGTGTTATTGTACTATAGTTAAGCAAGATGGAGGATGCTGGGTAATGAATACACAGGATGTCCCTGTGTATTGCCCCCTACTTCCTGTGGATCTATAATTACTTCAAAATAAAAACGTTTTTTTAAAAAATGCACTGGCGGCTGGGTGCAGTGGCTTGCGCCTGTAATCCCAGCACTTTGGGAGGCCAAGGCGGGCAGATCACGAGGTCAGGAGTTCGAAACCAGCCTGGTGAATATGGTGAAACCCCGTCTCTACAAAAAAAATACAAAAATTAGCCGGACGTGGTGGCGTGCACCTGTAGTCCCAGCTACTTGGGAGGCTGAGGCAGGAGAATTGCTGGAACCCAGGAGGTGGAGGTTGCAGTGAGCTGAGATCACGCCACTGCACTCCAGCCTGGGTGACAGAGCGAGACTTTGTCTCAAAAAAAAAAATAGAAATAAATAAATAAATAAATAAATAAATAAATAATGCAGTGGCACTAGAACGGGGGGAAAGGTGCTACTGAATCCACAGCACCTTGTTACTATAGACTTTGCCAACTAAGGAATAAGTAATGGACAGCTATTACCCTGGAGGGTGACGTGAGAGATTTTCTTATTTTTTTTTTGAGACAGAGTCTTGCTCAGTCGCCTGGGCTGGAGTGCAGTGGCACGATCTCGGCTCACTGCAAGCTCCGCCTCTCATGCCATCTCCTGCCTCAGCCTCCCGAGTAGCTGGGACTACAGGAGCCCACCACTACGCCCGGCTAATTTTTTGTATTTTTAGTAGAGACAAGGTTTCACCGTGTTAGCCAGGATGGTCTCGATCTCCTGACCTACACCCGTCTCGGCCTCCCAAAGTGCTGGGATTACAGAAGTGAGCCACCGTGCCCGGCCCCAGAGAGATTTTCTAACCTGAAAAGGGTGCGTACAAAATTATCAAGCACTGGGGATAATGTGGGGCACCCACTATGGAACTTGGGAAATGGGTGTGACCACTTTGGAAACAATTTGGCAGCACCTTGTAAAGTTAAAAATGTGCATACCTTCAGACCCAACAACCCCACTCCCAGGCACCTTGAAACTCTCACACTTTTGCACCAGAAAATAGGCACGAGGATGTTCAAAGCAGTACCATTGCCTCAATCAGTTGTGTAGCAGTTATACCAAAGACACAACACATAGCAGTGAAAAAGAATGAAGTACAACTTCCTGCCACTACACAGGTAAATTTCAATAACAGTGTTGAGCAAGAAAGTCCCAAAGTACACAAAGACATCATTTACATAAACATCAAAGACAAGAAAAAAAGGCAGCATTTAAGGCCACAAGCCCTCATGGCTGACTACAGGATCAAGATGGGCAGCTTTCACATCAGTGACAACCTCTGAGGCAAAGAGACCAGGGTAAGCCCAGAGGAGGCCTCTAGGTACCTGGTGATGATCTATGCCTCAAGTGAGCTAGCGGGTACCCAGTGTTCATTCTATTCTTTAAAATATACAGGCATGAAGTGCACTCTTTTTGTGCACTGGTCTTATGATGTGTGAAAGGATGCATGTTTCAAACAGTTATAATCAACTTTGTAGTTTACTTTTTTTTTTTCTTTTGAGATGGAATCTCACTCTTTCGCCCAGGCTAGAGTGCAGTGGCACAATCTTGGCTCACTGCAACCTCCGCCTCCCAGATTCAAGCGATTCTCCAAGATCAGCCTCCCAAGTAGCTGGGATTACAGGTGTGCGCCAACATGTCCAGCTAATTTTTGTATTTTCAGTAGAGATGGGGTTTCACCATGTTGGCCAGGCTGGTCTTCAACTCCTGACCTCAGGTGATCTGCCTGCCTTGGCCTCCCAAAGTGCTGGGATTATAGGCATGAGCCACTGTGCCCAGCTTGTACTTTACTTTGATCACAGAACAATATCTCATGTTATGACAGGATGACTTTTTTTTTTTTTTTTTTTGAGACACAGCCTCACCCTGTCACCCAGGCTGGAGTGCAGTGGCATGATCTCGGCTCACTGCAACCTCTGAGCCCCAGGCTCAAGTGATCCTCCCGCCTCAGCCTCTCAAGTAGCTGGGACTGCAGGTATGTGCCACCAAGTTCAGCTAATTTTTGTATTTTTTGTAGAGACAGGGTTTCACCATGTTGTCCAAGCTGGTCTTGAACTCCTGAGCCCAAGCGATTGGCCTGCCTTGGCGTCCCAAAGTGCTGGGATTACAGGCATGAGCCAACGCGCCCAGCCAGTAGTGAGCAATTTTAAAATAAACAATAGCATTTTCCAATTTCTGGGCCAAAGCAAACATTTAGCACAAGGCACAAATTTAATAAGAATTATCTGGCCATACTACTATCCTTAGGCCTTTATATGCCCAGAATTAACAAATAAATTGGCCAGGTGCAGTGGCTCACGCCTGTAATCCCAACACTTTGGGAGGCCGAGGCAGGTGGATCACTTAAGTTCAGGAGCTTGAGACCAGCCTGGCCAACATGGTGAAACCCCATCTCTACTAAAAATACAAAAATTAGCCAGGCGTGGTAGCAGGCACCTGTAATTCCAGCTACTTGGGAGGCTGAGGCAGGAGAATCGTTTGAACCTGGGAGGCAGAAGTTGCAGTGAGCCGAGATTGTGCCACTGCACTCCAGCCTGGGCGACAGTGAGTCTCTGTAATAAAATCAATCAATCAATCAATCAACAGAATAACAATGGCAAATACTAGAATTAATAATAAAAGAGGTCTACATACCACGATGATGGCAATCCTTCCTCCAACATCACCCACAACCGTGATTGGGGGCTTTTCTTTAGGAATCAGCACTGGTTGGAATAAAACACACACACCAAAATTTTTATATTAAAAAGTAAAACAAAACTTTAAAGAAGTTAATATCTCAAGATAAAAACATTCAACCAACTAGGAATACAAGGGAATTTCCTCAATCTGATTAAGGGCAACTACAAAAACCCACAGCTAACTTGATACTTTATGGCCGAAGGCCAAAAGCTTTCCCCTAAGATCAGCAACAAGACAAGGATGCCCACTGCACCACTGCCATTCACCATCATACTGGATACTCTAGCAAGGGTAATTAGACAAGAAAACGAAATGAAAGGCATCCAGATCAGAAAGGAAAAGTAAAACTATCTCTATTAGCAGATGACATGTTCCTACATATTGAAAATACCCAAGAATCCACAAATCCACCTACCAAAGCTAATAATATATGAATTCAGCCAAGTTGCCAAGTACAAAATCAACACACAAAATCAGCTGCTACACAGCAGCACTGAACAATCAAAAGAGGGAATTGAGAAAGCAATTCCACGCCAGGCGTGGTGGCTCACGCCTGTAATCCCAGCCCTTTGGGAGGCTGAGGCGGGCGGATCACGAGGTCAGGAGATCGGGACCTTCCTGGCTAACATGGTGAAACCCTGTCTCTACTAAAAATACAAAAAAAAAAAAAAAAAAAAAAATTAGCCAAGTGTGCTAGTGGGCGCCTGTAGTCCCAGCTACTTGGGAGGCTGAGGCAGGAGAATGGCGTGAACCTGAGATGTGGAGCTTGCAGTGAGCCGAGATCATGCCACTGCACTCTAGCCTGGGTGACAGAGCGAGACTCTGTCTCAAAAAATAAATAAATAAAAATAAATAAATAGATAAAAATAAAAAAGTAAAAAAAACCCCTACAGAATGGCAGAAAATATTTGCATATCATGTATCTGGTAAGAGTCTAGTATCCAAAATATATAAAGTAGGCTGGGCATGGTGGCTCATGCCTGTAATCCCAGTACTTTGGGAGGCCGAGGTGGACAGATTGCCTGCCTGAGTTCAGGAGTTTGAGACCAGCCTGAGCAACATGGCGAAACCCTGTCTCTATAAAAAAATACAAAAATTAGCAGGGCGTGGTGGTGCATGACAGTAGTCACAGCTACTTAGGGGGCTGAGGTGAGAGGATCACTTGGGCCCGGGAGGTCAAGGCTCCAGTGAGCCACGATTGCACCACTGCACTCCAGCCTGGGTGAGAGAGTGAGGCCCTGTCGCAAAAAAAAAAAAAAAAAAAAAAATTATATATATATATATGCGCCATATGCCAAAATATATAAAGAACTTTTATAATTCAACAAAAAAAGACAAACCTAGTTCAAAAATGGGCAAAGGATTTCAACAGATATTTCTCCAAAGAAGATATACAAATGAAGTCATTAGCCATTAGGGAAATGTTTATCAAAATCACAATGAGATGCCACTTTATGCCCACTGGGCTGGCTACAATAAAAAGTAGAAAATAAGTGTTGATGAGGATGTGGAGAAACTGAAATCTTTGTACATTACTGGTAGGAATATAAAATGGTGCAGCTGCTGTGAAAAAAGAGTCTGGCAGTTCCTCAAAAAGTTAAACATACACCAAGTGACGCAGCAATTCCGATACCAGGTATAGACCATGAGAAATGAATCATCTATCCACACAGAAAACTCATACATGAATATACAGAGCAGCATAGCCAAAAGTGGAAACAACCCAAATTCCTTTCAAATGCTGACAATGAAATATTATCCAGCCACCAAAAGCAATGAAGTACTGACAAGTGCTATCACATGGATGAACCTCAAAAACATGCTCAAAGAAAGAAGCCAGATACAAAAGCCCACATATTATATGATTCCGTTTATATGAAGTGTCCAGATTAGGCAAACATCCACAGAAACAGAAAAGAGGTAAGTGGTTGCCAGGGGCTGGGGGATGGGGGCATGGTGAAACTACTTAATGGGTGCAGGGTGTTCTTCCGGGGTAATGAGAAGTTTTGAAACTAGAAAGAAATGGTAACTGCACAAAACTGTGAATATACTGAAAGCCAGTAAATTTTATACTTTAAAATGGTTAATTCTATGTTATGTGACTTTGACTTCAATTTTCTTTTAAGGCAATGTCACAAAAAGAAAAAGTTAAAATACTGTTCTAGATTGGGACTTTTCAACTGCTGAGATCTTGGGCCAGACACGTTTATGCTGCAAGGGACCACCCTACGTACTGTGAGAAGTTTAGCAGCATGTTTGGCCTCTACTCACTAGATGCCAGTAGCCACCCCCTTGATTCTGACAATCAAAACTATCTCCAGACATTTCCAAATGACCTCTAGGAGACAATATCCACTCCCTAATTGAGAACCACTGCTCTAGATTGAAAGAGATGAAAGACATATGACAACCAGAGGCAATGTGTGACCCCAGGTGAGCATCAGGAGAGGGCAAAAAAGTGTAACAAAACAAAGCAAAGCAAGATAAATTCCAGAACTGAAGTGACTTTTTACATTTTCAACAGTCCTACTCCCAGGACACTTGACCTCAATGCCGGTGAAAAAGTATAATGAATCACCCTCTAGGAAATCAATTTGACAAAAAGCCTTATATTCATACCTTCTGACTCATTAATCTCACTTTTAGAAGCTTGAAATGAAATAAGCCAAAGTATGGGAAAAGTGTTTTATCCACATATATTTCCTGCCACATTATAAGGGCAAAGAACAGAAGAAAACATAAAAACCCCAAATTAGGCTGTGGTTGGGCAGTCTAAGCCACATTCATACGATGGGTTATTAGCCATAAAAATGCTGTTTACAAGAGGCTGAGGTGGACAAATCGCTTGAGCCTGGGAGGTCAAGGTTGCAGTGAGCCGTGATTGTCACTGCACTCCAGCCTGGGTGACAAAGTGAGACCCAGTCTCAAAGAAAAAAAAAAGAAATTGCTGTTTCCTGTCAAAGTTTCTGGTGACCTGAGATGACACGTCGGGCAGCTGGGAGAAGGAGGCAGCAACATGCACAATTATGTATGAAGCATGCATCGCAGCTTTATGAAAATAAGGGTGAAAAACCAAAAAGAGGCTCACCAAATTAAAGTGGTGTGTCTTTGAATAGTGGCATCAAGCACTAATTATTATTTTCTTCTAACTTTTATGGATAATATTTTCAAATATTATATATAGTGCTTATATTCTGAAAAAGTATTTTCATTGTTTTTTAGTAGGCATATTTTCATCTATAAGAAATCAGAGGATACAAAATAATTTTTAAAATCTAATACTAAATAACAAAATCTTTATATTCGAGATGCTACAGGAAGAATGCTTTCTTTTCCCTTCATATATTATTTGCTAGTACCTTAAAAAAGTATTCTATGTAGGGTGTCCAATCATCAAATGTATAAAAACAATCAAATATTTAGGATCTATGAAACTAAAATTCTACTGCATTCCCAAAGACGGCCTGTAGTGATCACTACTTGAGTCAAAACATAAACATAGAAACATTATAATTAAAATTATGAATGAAACATAAAGATCCCACGAGTAAAGAAATATTAGAAAGAACATAGAGATCATCCAGTCCTATGAACTCATTTCCAGATGGGAAACCTGTAGTTCAGTGTCTGCAGTCCAGAGTCCACTCCCAAAGGCCACACCAAAAGCTAACACCCAGCAAGTTCCAAAGAAGCAGCGTTCATCTAAAGACTGCCAACGCGTTCCTCATCACAGCCCATGTGCTTACAGGACTGAAGAGGAACATATATTCTTCCATGCTCCCGGGCATGGCTCATCTCACCAATGGTCCCAGCCAGCCCTTGCAGGGTTCTGCTGAGGTTCCTAGACACAAGCCCCTCTGAGGCCAGGCAAGGATTCTGAAAGGGAGCGGCAGCCCCAGGCCTACCCCCCAGCACCAACAGCCTGGGCACGTGAGGCTGTGAGAAATGCACACACAAGCAAAAGGCTTTGAGGTCCTGAGCCAAACGCTTTATTAACACCCTCCCAGCCCCAAATCCTGAACCCTGGCTCTATCTCACTGCCTTCCTCCTCCTTAAATCCCCATTACTAAGTCCAAGAGACCCAAGAACACAGTGGAAAAAGCACAGGTTTTAGTCAGACATGTCCAGCTTGTCACTATGTGACTGCAGGGAAGTCGCTTTCTCTTTCTGATCCTGTTTATCTATAAAGTGGAAAATCATCACTCAATTAAAAGGGCTGTACTGGAGACTAATACACTAAAAATGTTCATTCCCTCCTGCTATCTTTTTTAGAGACAGGGTCTCACTCTGTCACACAGGCTGGAGTGCAGTGGCACCATCATGGCTCACTGCAGCCTCGACTTCCTGGGTTCAAGTGATCCTTTCACCTCACTCTCAAGTAGCTGGGATTACAGGCACACCACCATGCCTGGCTAATTTTTTTTTTTTTGAGAGGTAGTCTCACTGTGTTGCCCAGGCTGGAGTGCAGTGGCACAATCTCAGCTCACTGCAACCTCTGCCTCCTGGGTTCAAGTGATTCTCCTGCCTCAGCCTCCTGAGTAGCTGCGATTACAGGCACGAACCACCACACCTGGCTAATTTTTATATTTTTTAGTAGAGACAGCGTTTCGCCATCTTGGTCAGTTTGATCTTGAACTCCTGACCTCATGATCCACCCACCTCGGCCTCCCAAAGTGCTGGGATTACAGGTGTGAGCCACTGCGCCCAGCCGCCTGGCTAATTTTTAAACTTTTTGTAGAAACGGGGTTGTGCTATGTTGCCCAGGCTGGTCTCAAACTCCTGGGCTCAAGCAAACCTTCCACCTTAGCCTTCCACAGTGCTGGGATTAAAGGAGTGCGCCAAAGTACCTGGCCTCCCTCCCATCGTCTTTTTAACATTTCTCAATGTGCTCTGTCACTTTCATTCCCATTGTTACCAACCCCTAGAGCAATAACGCACAACAGAAATGAAAGCCACATATGCAATTTCAGATTTTCTAGTAGCCACATTACAAAAGCACAAAAAAAGGTAAAATTAATTTTAATAACATGTTTGATTTGATTCAACATATCAAAATATTACCATTTTAACACAGAGTCAATAAAACTTCACTAATGAGATACTTACATTAAAGTTTTCAGATTAGGGGTGTGTCCTTCACACTCCCACTGCTCCCCACCCCGTTCCCAGTGTGCAGGAGCCACATGTAGCCAGTGGCCACCCGACTGGACAGCATAGCCCAAGAGATCAAGCTCTCCTCCCATGTGCCTGCTCAACTTCATCAGCCTCCCGGATCTGGCCTCTGCACTTGCAGCCCTATCCCAAACACAGATGCAGGCCTGGCCTGCTGAACACTAAATGGCCCGGATCGAGAGCCTTTGTGGGCTGCCTTCTAGGACACGAGTGTATTTACTGGTATTCAAAGTCCTCCTTGGTTGGCTCCCCGCAGATACTGCTATCTTAGTCCATCTCTTCCCTCCAGGGGCCTCCTGGTAGTCAGGCTAGTGTCTTCCTGGCCACACCATGGCCCATCACTGAACGTCTCACCACTGCAGTCCTATCTCACTCACATAAGGCAGGCAGTGCTGGGTCCTGAGGGCTCGTCCTGGGCTTTCCACCATCTTGGCCTATCATGGGTCCACTCTGAGGATGGCCTCTTGCTGTCGCTCTTTTTCAGAAAAACAACAGGCCCAAGAACACACAGCTGATAAGTGATGGAGCCAGATGCAAACTCAAGCTCAGTCCCCCACCCCTTAGGAGATTTAACCCCTGCCCAGATGGCCTTCCCTTTCCACCTCAGTTGGGATCTACAAAGTATAGCTGGAATCCCAGCTGCGTGCATGGCTATCCCAACCACACTAGTTCCTTCTCTGGTTTTTTTTTCCCTCTATTTATAAATGAGCAAACTCCTGGGCAAGGCAAAAACCTAACAGTCCAGAATATACCTCTGTGACCTAAAAATTATTTTGAGCTGAAAGCATTTGAGTTCCTGAAGTCCCTTATATGCTGAAAAGCAGAGCCTCACAAAATAACTCCAAAGAACTCAACTGTGATAAATCTCCTCCCTGGGAACACCAGGGAAGACTGACTCTTATCGCTTAAGACCAGAAGAAGTCCAGACCACACCTAAACAGACGCTGTCAAAAACTAGCCTCTCTCCCATCTTTTCTCCTCAGCGCCCACTTCCCATCAGTCCCCTCCCTCCTCCTCTTCCCCTATTAAGGAGTCATCTTGGCCGGGCGCCTGTAATCCCAGCACATTGGGAGGCCGAGGCGGGCGAATCACTTGCAGTCAGTTCGAGGCCAGCCTGGCCAACATGGCGAAACCCTGTCTCTACTAAAAAAAAAAAAAAAAAAAAAAAAAAAAAAAAAAATAATAATAATAATAATAATAATAATAATAATAATAATACCAAAATTACCTGGGCATGGTGGCATGTACCGGTAGTCCCAGCTACCCAGGAGAATCGCCTGAACCTGGGAGGCCGAGGTTGCAGTGTGCCATGATTGCACCACTGCACTCCAGGCTGGGCAAAAGAGCGTTTCAAAAAAAAAAAAAAAGAAGTCATCTGTTTTCCCACAGGGGCCTTTTCTGCCCCTCCTGTTCCCCTATTAAGATGCTATATAAGCCCCAAATTGTAACCACTTCGAGTCACATTTTTGTGACTCACAAAAGAGTTTAATCACACACATCTGTATGTATGTGATTAAACTGCCTTTCCTCTTCCTCATCTGTCTTTTGCCAGTTTAGTCCATATGCCACCAAACACTGAATCTATGAGGGCAGGGGGTTAGGGTTCTTCCCCAACAACTCGAAGGTGGCATTTTTTTTTTTAATTAAGAAGATGTTATTAAGGCATGGGGAAGTTTCTTAAACACAAAAACAAATTCATGCATAACTCTACCACCCCAACCCAACTACATTCATTCTTCCTATTTCCTCCTGGTCTTTGCATAGACAAAGAGAGTGCTGTGGTCTGAAGATGGTGTCCTCTCAAAATGCTATGTTGGAACTTAATACCCAATGTGATAGTATTAACAGTGGGGCCTTTGGGAAATGATTAAGGCTCAAGGCCTCTGCCTTCATGAACAGGATTAGTGCCCTTACAGAGAGCTGCCTTGCTCCTTCCACCATCTGAGGACACAGTAACAAGGTGCCACCTCAGGAGCAGAGTGAGCCCTCATCAGACACCAATCTGCTGGTGCCTTGATCCAGGACTTCCCAGTCTCCAGAACTGTGAGCAATGAATTTCTGTTGTTTATAAATTACCCAGTCTGGCCGGGTGCAGTGGCTCATGCCTGTAATTCCAGTACTTTGGGAGGCTGAGGTGGACGGATCACCTGAAGTCAGGGGTTCGCGACCAGCCTGACCATCATGGAGAAACTCTGTCTCTACTAAAAATACAAAAATTAGCCAGTCGTGGTGGTGCGCGCCTGTAATCCCAGCTACTCAGGAGGCTGAGGCAGGAGAATCGCTTGAACCCGGGAGGTGGAGGTGGAAGTTGCGGTGAGCCAAGATCGTGTCATTGCACTCCAGCCTGGGCAACAAGAGCGAAATTCCGTCTCAAAAAAAAAAAAAAAATACCAAGTCTAAGGTATTTTGTTATAGTAGCCTTAACAAACTAAGACAGAAATTGGTACTGAGAAGTGAGTTGCTGCTGTATTAAATACCCACCAATGCAGGAGTGGCTTTGGAACTGGGTAATGGGCAGAGGCTGGAAGAGGAAAAGGCTAGAAAAAGACTGTATTGCTATGTACAGACCGTAAAGGGGAGCTCTGGTGAGAGTTCTGCTTTGGTTTGGATGTAGTTTGTCTCCACTAAAACTTATGTTAAAAATTTGGGCCAGGCGCAGTGGCTCACGCCTGTAATCCCAGCACTTTGGGAGGCCGAGGTAGGCAGATTGCCTGAGCTCAGGAGTTCAACCAGCCTGGGCAACAAGGTGAAACCCCATCTCTACTAAAATACAAAAAATTAGCCGGGTGTGGTGGCATGCACCTGTAGTCCCAGCTACTCGGGAGGCTGAGGCAGGAGAACTGCTTGAACCCAGGAGGTGGAGCTTGCAGTGAGCCAAAATCGTACCACTGCACTCCAGCCTGGGCGACAGAGCAAGACTCCGTCTCAAAAAAAAAAAAAAATTGATCCCCAGTGTGCGCTATTGAGAGGTGGGGCCTAGTGGGAGATGTTTGGGTCACAGAGGCAGATCCTTCATGAATGGATTAATGCCTTCCTATGGGGGTGAGTGAGTTCTTGCTCTCAGGGCACTTAGTTCCCATGAGAACAGGTTGTTATAAAAATGAGTTTGGCTTCCCAGGCTCTCTCGTTTCCTCTCTTGCCATGTGATTTCTCTGCACCCGCCTGCTCACTTTTCTTCTCCACCATGTTTCAACCTAGTGTGTGGCCCTCACCAGAAACTGCCAGATGTGATGCTATGCTCTTTAACTTACCAGCCCGAAGAACTGTGAGCTAAATAAAGTGTCTTCTTTATAGAATACCCAGTCTTATATAGTCTGTTATAGCAACACAAAACAGACTAAGACAGGCTCAGAAGAAAACAGCTGTAAAGAAAGCCTCAATCTTCTTAGAAATGATCTAAGTGGTCATGATCACAATGCTAGTAGAAAAACAGACAGTAGGCTGGTCATGGTGGCTCACACCTGTAATTTCAGCACTTTGGGAGGCTGAGGTGGAAGGATCGCTTTGAGCCCAAGAGTTCAAAACCAACCTGGGCAACATGGCAAAACTCCATCTCTACATAAAATACAAAAATTAGCCAGACATGGTGGCACATGCCTGCAGTCCCAGCTATTTGGGAGGCTGAGGTGGGAGGATCGATTGAGCCCAGGAGGTCAAGGCTGCTGTGAGCTGTGATCACACCACTGCACTCCAGCCTGAGCAAGAGAGTAAAACACTGTCTCAAAAAAAAAAAAAAAAAGGTCGGGTGCAGTGGTTCATGTCTGTAACCCCAGCACTTTGGGAGGCTGAGGCAGGCGGACCACTTGAGTTCAGGAGTTTTGAGACCAACCTGGCCAACATGGTGGAATGCCATCTCTATTAAAAATACAAAAATGAGCCAGGTGTGGTGGTGTGCACCTGTAGTGCTAGCTACTCAGGAGGCCGAGGCATGAGAATTGCTTGAACCCGGGAGCTGGAGGTTGCAGTGAGCCGAGATTGCACCACTGCATTCCAGCCTGGGTGACAGAGTGAGACTCCATCTCAAAAAAAAAAAAAGGGCAGTGAAATAGAATCTTTGGCAAAAGAGGGTGCATGGCTGCTCTTGACTGCTTATACTAAAATCCAAGAAGATGAATTAAAGATGAGATTTATCATCAAAGGGGAGGTAGAACTTAAATATTTGGAAAATTATCAGCCTGGCCATCTTGTAAAGAATGTAAAAGCAAGGCTGGATGCAATGGCTCAGGCCTATAAGCCCAAGAGTTTGGGAGGCCAAGGAGGGAGGATTGCTTGAGCCCAAGAGTTTGTGACCAACCTAGGCAACAAAGCAAGACCCCGTCTCTACCAAAAAAAAAAAAAAAATTAGCCAGGCCTGGTGCACACATCTATAGTCCCAGCTACTTGGGAGGCTGAGGTAGGAGAATGGCTTGGGCCCGGGAGGTGGAGGCTGCAGTGAGATCTGATCGCACCACTGTACTCCAGCCTGGAAGACAGATCAAGACTCTGTCTCAAAAAAAAAAAAAAAAAAAAAAAAAAGCAAAAACATGTTCAGGACAGAACTCCAAGTGTGTAGCCAAGCAAACTTTTCTTTTTTCTTTTTTTTTTTGAGATGGTGTCTCACTCTGTTGCCATGCTGGAGTACGGTGGCACAGTCTTGGATCTCAGCTCACTGCAACCTCCAACTCCCTGGTTCAAGTGATTCTCCTGCCTTAGCCTCCCGAGTAGTTGGGATTTAAGGCACGCACCACCATGCCCAGCTAATTTTTGTATTTTTTGTAGAGACGGGGTTTCATCATGTTGGCCAGGCTGGTCTTGATCTCCTGACCTCGTGATCCACCTGCCTCGGCCTCCCAAAGTGCTGGGATTATAGGTGTGAGCCGCCGCGCCCAGCCACCAAGCAAACATTTGATAAGGAGATTAGTATGGATAGAAAGAAGCCAGACGGCCAGGAGTGGTGGCTCACACCTGTAAGCACTTTGGGAGGTTAAGGCGGGTGGATCACTTGAGCTCAGGAGTTCAAGACCAGCCTGGGCAACATGGTAAAACTTTGTCTCTACAAAAAATACAAAAATTAGCCAGGTGCGGTGGCAAGTGCTTGTAGTTCCATCTACTCATGAGGCTGAAGTGGGAGGACTGCTTGGGCCCAGGAGGTGAGACTGCAATGAGCCATGATCGCACAACTGCACTCCAGCCTGGGTGACAGAGTGAGACCTTGTCTCAAAAAAAAAAAAAAAAAAAAAAAAAGAACCAGACGCTATTCATCAAGACAGTGACTCAATGACCCCAAAGGCATTTCTGAGATCTTTGTGACTGCCCATCTCATCATAAGCCTAGAATGCCAGGGTCTTGGGGGCAGAACGATTTCAAGGCTCCACTTCCCACATTCCAGAATACTCCTTACCCACTCCAGCTATAGCTCAAGCAGGTCCAACTATAGCTCGGGCCACCCCTCTGGAAGGCACAGGCAACAAACCACAGTGGTGTCCGTGCAGGGCCATCTCCACAGTGCACAGAGTGAATGAGCTGTGGGGGCACATCTACCTCTACCCAGACTTCAAAGGATGCCCCAAAGAGTGCCAGGGCCCAAGCAGAGAACTGTCACAAGGGCAGGGCCACCAGAGAGACCCCACTAGGGCAATGCCCAGTGGAGTTGTGGGGCAAGACCACCCCAAGACCCAAGACTGGTAGAACCACTAGAGTGCAACTCCAGCCTGAGAGATGCAGGCATGAGAATCCAGTGACTGAGAGCTGCTGCATGGGCTGCTCCCAGCAAAGCTGTGGGAGTGGGGCCATCCAGAGCTTTGCAAGACCAACCCCTGCCCCAGTTTTTGTGGAAGGCGGGGCTTTGAGTCAACTTAAGCCTTAAGATTTAATGTTGTTTGTCTGGTTGGGTTTTAGACTTGGTCAGGACCTGTCACTCCTTTCTTTCTTCCTACTTCTCCCTTTTGGTCTCGAACTCCTGGCCTCAAGCAACCCTCCCACCTTGGCTACCCAAAACGCTGGGACTACAAGCGTGAACCACCACACTGGGCCTCACTTCTCCTTTTTGGAATGGGAATGTCTATCCAATGTCTGTCCCACCATTGCATTTTGGAAGCATACAACCTGTTTGATTTCACAGGCTCACAGCCGGAGAGAAACGTGCGTCAGAGTGAATCCCAGAGCTGGAGTCTTACCCATATTTGATTTAGATGATATTTAGATGGGACTTTGGACTTCAGACTTTTGAGGTGATGCTGAAATTAAGTTAAGACTTACCCGGAGTTAACATTTTGGGGGCTATTAGGATAGAATGAATGTATTTTGCACGTAAGATGAACATGAATTTTGAGGGGCCGGGGCAAAATGCTATGGTCTGAATTTTTGTGTCCTTCCAAATTCATGCTGGAACCCACTGTGGTGGTATTAAGAGGTAGGGCTTTTAGGTGACTAGTTTGTTAGGACTCTGCTCTACGAAGGGGGTCAGTGCCCTTGTCAGAGAGGCTTGAGGGAGTCTTCCACCTTTCTCCACCACATGAGGATGCAGCAAGAAGGTACCATCTACGAGGAACAGGCCCTCGACAGACACCAAATCTGCTGGCGCCTTTATCTTTTTTTTTTTCTGAGAAGGAGTTTCACTCTTGTTGCCCAGGCTGGAGTGCAATGGCGCGATCTCGGCTCACCACAACCTCTGTCTCCCGGGTTCAAGCGATTCTCCTGCCTCAGCCTCCCAAGGAGCTGGGATTACAGGCATACGCCACCACACTTGGCTAATTTTGTATTTTTAGTAGAGAGGGGGTTTCTCCATGTGGATCAGGCTGGTCTCGAACTCCTGACCTCAGGTGATTCACCCGCCTCGGCCTCCCAAAGTGTTGGGATTACAGGCGTGAGCCACCGTGCCCGGCCCATCACGGGGTCAGTGCTGGCGCCTTTATCTTGACCTTCACAGCCTCTAGAACTGTGAGCAATAAATTTGTTGTTTATATTACCCAGTCTAAGGTATTTCATCACAGCAGCCTGAACTAAGACAAATAGGTATACAATCTTATATTCTGCCTTGTTCATATATATTCCATATATTTTTCTCGTTTCCAGATAGTCTTGATTATTTCAAAGGGCTGCATAATTAGCTGTACTGACACAGTATAATTTACCAAGCCCTACACTCTGGTAAACCATTTAAACCTTTCTAATATTTTGCATTAAAAACAACATCACAGTCAATAACTTTGTATATAAAAAGCTTTTTGCTTATGTTAAACTACACTCTAGTATATACTGCTGAATGAATGAATGGACTTCCCTGAAGCATTGCAACTGTCTCAATAGTCCAAACATTTTCACAGGTCTTGCAAAGAAGGACAGACTGCTTCTAAACGGCCTTACAATTTACAAGGTAATCAGAAATGCATTCGCTACTATCTGGCCAAGAAAGGTGTTAATGAGTTTTTGCCAACTAAAAAAAAACGAAGAATGAGGAAAAAAACCACACAGACAACAGTGTAGTCAGCCTTAAAATCAGAGGAAAGTGGGAAAGAGGCAGCAGCACACTTACTGGGGATCTCCAGGCTGGGGTGGATGGCAGCCACACTTCTGACCATGGGTGGGGAATGCCGTCCATCCACCAAGTCCGACTCGGCATCCTGCGCCTCTCCATGAATCACTGCAATTCCCAGGCGCAGGCGCTCAGCAAAAGACTGTGCCCTGAGGGAAAACACCAGACACAAGCTCAAAACTCATGCAGCCCTTGGTTCTGCTAATGCCTAGGGGACAAAACATTAAGAGAACATAAGTAGAATGTTGTCTCCCAAAGGACTAAAGAAAAGAGAGAATAAAACAGCCTTAGACTCTTAGAAACCAGGACTAACTGTAGAGACCCCACATGCCAAACACTTCCCTCTGCAGCAGCACCAAAGAAGGGCAGCAGCCTGGCCTGGTCTGCAAGCCACTGGCCGGGAGAGCCTGACTGAGTGAAGGAACCTCCGCTCAGCTCTGTCTCACCTAAAGCTGCTAATTCTACCTGCCTGCCTACCTACCAGTGAGAACCAACTACATGGGGCAAAGGGCATAAAATGCTCACCAAAGTATTAAGCACAAATTTCTTAATAGTTTTAGGGAGGTAAAACTGAGATATGAGAAACTGTGCATATCTAAAGTATATAATTTCATGAGCTCTGAAGGCTGTATGTGCCCATATAAGCATTAGCACAATCAAGATAAGGAACGTCATCACCACAAGCATCTCCTTATGCCCCTTAGTGATTTTTCACTAAGTGTTGCCCCAGGCAACAGCTGATCTGCTTTCTGTCACTATAGTTTCACCTATCTAGAATTTCACGTAAGTGAAATCATAAAGTTGCCTTTTTTTGTCTGATTTTTTTTTGAGATGGAGTCTTGCTCTGTCGCCCAGACTGAAGTGTGGTGGCAGGATTTCTCAGTTCACTGCAACCTCTGCCTCCCGGGTTCAAGCGATTCTCCTGCCTCAGCCTCTCAAATAGCCAGAACTACAGTCATGCACCACCACATCTGGCTAACTTTTTTGTATTTTTAGTACAGATGGGGTTTTACCATGTTAGCCAGACTGGTCTCGAACTCCTGACCTGAAATGATCCACCCACCTCGACCTCCCAAAGTGCTGGGATTACAGGTGTGAGCCACTTGCGCCTGGCCATTTTGTCTTATTTTACGCAGCACATGTTTTGGAGATTCATCCATGGAATAACATATCAATAGTTCATTCCCTTTCATTGCTGAGTAATATTCTGCTGGGTGAATATATCACAGTGTATCCATTTATGTATTGCTGAGCTTTCCGGTTGTTTCTAGTTTTTGGCTGTCACAAAGCTGCTGTGAACATTCATACACAGATCTCTGTATGGGCACATGCTTTCTTTCCTTCTTTCTTTCTTTTTCTTTTGAGACAGAGTCTCACTCTGTTGCTCAGGCTGGAGTGCAGTGGTGTGAACCTCCACCTCCCAGATTCAAGCTATTCTCCTGCCTCAACCTCCCAAGTAGCTGGGATTATAGGCACGTGCCACCACGCCTGGCTAATTTTTGTATTTTTTGTAGAGACGGGGTTTTGTCATGTTGGCCAGGCTGGTCTTCAACTCCTGACCTCAGATGATCTGCCCACCGTGGCCTCCCAAAGTGCTGGAATTACGTGTCCAGCCACATGCTTTCTTATCTCCTGATAAATTCCTAAGAGTGGAATGGCTGGATCATATAGTAGGTGTATATTTAACTCTTTATAAAAAGGCCACATAGGCCGGGCGCAGTGGCTCACGCCTGTAATCCCAGCACTTTGGGAGGCCAAGGTGGGCGGATCATGAGGTCAGGAGATCAAGACCATCCTGGCTAACACGGTGAAACCCCGTCTCTACTAAAAAAATACAAAAAAATTAGCCGGACTGGGTGGCAGGCACCTGTAATCCCAGCTACTCAGGAGGCTGAGGCAGGAGAATGGCGTGAACCTGGAAGGCGGAGCTCGCAGTGAGTGGAGATAGTGCCAATGCACTCCAGCCTGGGCGACAGAGCGAGACTCCATCTCAAAAAAAAAAAAAAAAAAAGGCCACACTGTTTTCCAAAGTGGTTATACCATATTACAGTCCCATGAGCAGAACATGAGAGATCCAGTTCCTCCACATCTTCACCAACACTTGGTACGGTAGGTAATTTGTGTCTTGTTTTCTCCTAACCAGTCTGGATAAAGGTTTATCAATTGCATTGATTTTCTCAAAGAATCAGCTTTTTAGCTTTTTTCTGGTTTTTGTTTTCTATTTCATTGATTTATGCTTTAATCTTTTTTTTTGAATGTTGAATTCAGTTCTTTATATAACATCCCTTGTAAAAACAAAACAGAATAAAAACAAACCGAAAAGGAGGGGCAGGGTAAAATTTGAAAAGGAAAGGAAAGGGAGGAAAAGGAAATAAAATAAGATGATTTATTGCTTCTCCTCAGCATCCTCCTTGGTTTCCTCCTCCACCAAAAGAGCTTCTAGCTTTTCCGCCACTTTTTTTGGCATGATCGTTTTTGCCCGATCCTTTCTTTTCTCTCCGATCTCTTTCTTGCATTCTTCAAACTTTGTTTTGAATTTCTGTGCATTCTCAATATTCAGGAAGTGGATGGCCAGCAGCTCTGGCTTGGGGCACTCGTTGGCGAAGTCGGCGTGGGTGTTCCAGACCCAGGCATGGTCACTACCCATGTTGGGCTTCAGCTCCATTATCAGCGTGAAGAGTGGTTAGCACAGATCTTCAGGGTCTTGTCCCTCCGCATGAGGAGGCAGATGGTCCCTTTCTCCTTGTGTTTCAGGAGCTTGACGTTGCCGGTGCCTCACTCCTTCCATTCTGGGAGATCCTTCTCTGAGGCAAATCAGAACAGTTTCGTCTGCATTTTTAAAAGTTCTTCATCTTCCTCCAGTGTTTTAATTTCTTGCTCAGGAAGAGAAACTATTGGCTCAAACTGAGGGTCATGGTTGGACTCATCTGCATTCTCAGTGGAAGTATCATGGTCCTCATGAGTGTCCTTGGCGTGCTGCGAAAGCGGCAGCTCGGCTGAGTGGGTCGTCACTGGCTTCAAGGCCTCCCGTCGCTGGCTCCGTGGCCTCTTGCAGGAGCTTCTTCCCACCGCATCTGGCTTTTTTTTGTTGTTGAGATGGAGTCTTGCTCTGTCGCCCAGGCTGGAGTGCAGTGGCGTGATCTTGGCTAGTGCGGTCACATGATCTCGGCTCACTGCAGCCTCCACCTCTGGATCAAGTGATTCTCCTGTCTCAGCCTCCCGAGTAGCTGGGATTACAGGGTGTGCCACCACGCTCGGCTAATTTTGTATTTTTTGTAGAGATGGGGTTTCATCATCATATTGGCCAGGCTGGTCTTGAACTCCTGACCTTAGGTAATCTGCCGGCCTTGGCATCCCAAAGTGTTGGGAATACAGGCATGAGCCACCGCGCCTGGCCTGTGTCTTCATTTTCATTTGGTTCTAAATACTTTTTAATTTCACTTTTGACTTCTTCTTTGACCTATGGGTTATCTAAAAGTATGTTATTTAGTTACTAAATATTCAGGACATTTCCAAAGATACTTCTGTTATTAGAATTATTCTTAATTCCACTGTGGTCAGAGAATATATTTTGTATGGCTTGCATAATTATCAATTTGGGGCTTATTTTATGGCTCACAAGAATATGATCTATCTTTGTGTTTATACTAAAAAAGAACTACATTCTGCTCTCTCTGGATGGTGTGCTATGACTGTCAGTCAGATCCAGCAGGCTGAAGGGGTTGTTCAAGTCTCCCGCATCCTTAATGATTTTCAGTCTCCTTATTCTATCAATTACTAAGAGAAGAATAATGGAATCACTATCATTATGGATATATCTATTTCTCCTTGCAGTTATCAGTGTTTGCTTCATATACTTTGAAACACTGTCATTTAGTTTATAAATGTTTAGAACTGTTTTGTCCTCTTGAAGAACTGACCCCTTTATCATTAGGAAAAGACCTTCTTCAACCATGGCAAAATTATTTGCCTTGATTTGTCTGATATTAATACAGCCACTCCTGATTCCTGGGGGCCATGCTGAGTCTTACTCTTTTTTCCATCCTCAGCACCTAATGCATGGTAAATGTTCAAGTGTTTAAGAATCCAACAAGTTCTCGCAGTCTTGGCTTACCAGCACCAAAAATTCAAAACAAGTTCTTAACTAACTGCTTACAAGAATTACTAAAAACAAACAAAAAATTAAGGATTATACTGAATCCCACTAGTACTATCTATACTAGATACAGCCAAGGCATTTACATGACATATGAAGAGCAGGGCACTAGAAAGTACTAAATACTATTAGTATGTAGACTCTTATGAGCTGTTAGAAATTTCACATCAACCTGGTTTCCTATATGCACTACACAACAAAGGAAAGCTTTGCTACAGTGTTAGCAATTATTTCAAGAAATTTAAATTTGGCTGGGCACGGCAGCTCACGCCTGTAATCCCAGCACTTTGGGAGGCTAAGGCGGGCAGATCACTTGGGACAAGGAGTTCAAGACCAGCCTGGCCAACATGGTGAAACTCCATCTCTACTGAAAAACGAACAAACAAACAAACAAACACACAAAAAACTCATGCTTAAATCATCCTATTTTCAATATACTTTTTAAAGCTGGGTGATGGCTCACACCTGTAATCCCAGCACTTTGAGACGAAGGCAGGAGAATGGCTTGAGCCCAGGGGTTTGAGACCAGCCTGGGCAACACAGGGAGACCTCGTCTCTACAAAAATAAAAAAAAATTAGCTGGCCCAGGCACAGTGACTCACGCCTGTAATCCCAGCACTTTGGGAGGCTGAGGCGGGTGGATCGCAAGGTCAAGAGATCGAAACTATCCTGGCCAACATGGTGAAACCCTGTCTCTACTAAAAATACAAAAATTAGCTGGGCGTGGTAGCACGCGCCTGTAGTCCCAGCTACTTGGGAGGCTGAGGTGGGAGAATCACTTGAGCCCAGAAGGTCAAGGCTGCACTGAGCTATAATTGCACCACTGCACTCCTGCCTGGGCAACAGAGAAAGACCCTGTCTCAAATAAACAAACAAACAAACAAACAAACAATCTCAGACACACGTAAGTAAACATTTATTGGTCTGGTCCTATCTATGAGGAATGTAATTTATATTTCCAAGGAAAAGATGATAAACCTTCACAGGAGCAAGACTGTTCAGGTCAAAAACAGTGAAGTCAGTAAAATATATTTATCTATGTGTGTGTAAGACAGAATATTTGTCCTAAGGGAAAAGAGGGAGCATCATAAACACAGAATATTTTAATAACATTTGATAAATATCCCAAGATGTAAGATTTAGTATTCATATAACTTTGAATTCATCCTTACAAAAAAAATCAAAATAGTTTTTAAAAAATTATCAAGAGAGTGGCCAGGAGCAGTGGCTCACGCCTGTAATCCCAGCACTTTGGGAGGCCGAGGCGGGCAGATCACCTGAGGCTGGGAGTTTGGGGCCAGCCTGACCAACATGGAGAAACCCTGTCTTTACTAAAAACACAAACAAATTAGCCGGGTGTGGTGGCACATGCCTGTAATCCCCAGCTACTTGGGAGGCTGAGGTGGGAGAATCACTTGAACCCGGGAGGCGGAGATTGCGGTGAGCCGAGATCGCACCATTGCACTCTAGCCTGGGCAACAAGAGCGAAACTCCGTCTCAAAAAAAAAAAAAATTCTCAAGAGAAAAAAATTTCAGACAGAACAATGGGGCAGAGTCTTCAAAAGAGTTGGCATCACATAGATTATTAGTTCCTCCTTGAAATTCAAGATTGGCTTTGCAAACAAAATTGGCCAAATGACTGACCTGTTAGTTATCCTCTAAGGAAGTCTTTTCCATCTGGGATCTGTGGAGGTTTGCCAATTCCTAGAATAATATTTCAATTATACCAACCTCTACAAAGCACAATGCTCTTAAGATAAATAAAATCATGGCCGGGTGCGGTGGCTCACACTTGTAATCCCAGCACTTTGGGAGGCCAAGGCAGGTGGATCACCTGAGGTCAGGAGTTTGAGACCAGCCTGGCCAACGTGGTGAAACCCCGTCTCTACTAAAAATACAAAAAAATTACCCAGGCATGGTGGCAGGCACCTGTAATCTCAGCTAATCGGGAGGCTAAGGCAGGAGAATTGCTAAAATCCGGGAGGCGAAGGTTGCAGTGAGCCGAGATCGTGCCATTGCATGCCAGCCCAGGCGACAACAGCAAGACTCTGTCTCAAAAAAATAAATAAGTAAAATAATAAATAAATAAAATTATTACCTGCACAGCAATGGGAGTTTCTGGATACTCCATATAACTTAATCAGATACTTTGCATTCCCATCTAATTCCAAAATCAATCAGGATGGTTTCTCTGTGTCATTTTGTTTCATGCACTGACAGAGAGGAATTCTAAAGCAACTTGATCCTGATTGTACGATAATGAGTTAATTTACATCATGGGTGAGAAAGAACAAGACACAGGGCCTCAGCTATCCTTTTGTTTCCTATTCACTCAGTTATTCAGAGAAAACAATTTCAAACAACTCATTCAAGCAAGTTCTGTTCCTTACAAAAGCAACACTTTCTCTGATGATCCCTTTTAGTCAAAACAACTGCTCATTGTCAAACAACTCCAAAACAATAGCTCTGGACTTCGACCTATTCATCAATAACTTCAGGATTCTAAAGGCACTAACCACTAAACACAGTGGCTCACGCCTGTTATCCCAACAGTGGCTCACGTCTGTTATCCCAACACTTTGGGAGGCCGAGGCAGGCAGATCACTTGAGGTCAGGAGTTCGAGAAGAGCCTTACCAGCATGGTGAAACCCCATGTCTACCAAAAATACAAAAATTAGCTGGGCATGGTGGCGCACGTCTGTAATCCCAGCTACTTAGGAGGCTGAGGCAAGAGAATCGCTTGAATCCAGGAGGTGGAGGTTGTAGTGAGCCGAGATCACACCACTGCACTCCAGACTGGGCGACAGAGGGAGACCCTGTCTCAAAAAATAAATAAATAAAGGCACTAACCACCACCATTCTACATAATGGTATTTAATTTATAAAGTCCTTCAGTAAGTTCTTTGATGCTTATTAACTCTGTAAGATAAGCCAAGCAGGTGTTATCCCCAGGAAACTGAGGCTTGGAGAGACAGCCTTGACCAAGGTTCTCACAAAGACTGGCTAAGGCACAAGTGGAAGCCCAAGTCTTGGACTGCTAATTTAATACCTTCCTGACTGATAAAAGTCAGCCCCAGTCTGACTTCTACATTGATTACAGCTATTTTCTAAGGTTGGCTGCCAAATGAAAAACTTGGAGGAGGGAACTAGAAATAATAGGATCAGAATTTGCATGTGGCTGAGCCAGAAAGTGCCATCTCCTGCTCGAAGTCTGGGTGAATGTGTTTATCAGGACATTAGAACACAAGAAAATCACCACCACATAGCTACGGGATATAAGACAACCAGAACTGACTTTACTGTGTTGATGCCATGTCGACAGAGCTCTTGCTCACAATACCTTTTTATTTTACTTTGTTTTTTTGAGACAGGGTCTGGCTGTCACCCAGGCTGGAGTGCAGTGGTGTGATCTCACCTCACTGCAACCTCCACCTACTGGGCTGAAGTGATCCTCCCACCTCAGCCTCCTGAGTAGCTGGGACTAGAGGCACACGCCACCACACCCGGCTAATTTTTGTATTTTTGGTAGAGATGGGGTTTCAACATGTTGCCCAGGCTGTTCTTGAACTCCTGGACTCAAATGATCTTCCAACCTCAGCCTCCCAAAGTGCTGGGATTACAGGTGTGAGCCATCGAGCCTAGCCCACTCACAATACCTTAAACTCACAGACCAAACTCCTAAGCCTTGACTGTGTTATTTTACTACCTGTTCCATATAAAACTGAACCTTTTGTAGCACTCATCTCCATACTAAAACACACGTTCATTCATTCATTTATTTATTTGATGGAGTTTTGCTCTTGTTGCCTAGGCTGGAGTGCAATGGCACGATCTGGGCTCACCGCAACCTCCGCCTCCCGGGTTCAAGCAATTCTCCTGACCTCAGGAGATCCACCCATCTCGGCCTCCCAAAGTGCTGGGATTACAGGGGTGAGCCAATGCGCCCAGCCTCTAAAACATTCATTTAATGTAGTATGATCTATGTGGATTCAATTACTGAAACTGGGAGAAAAAGAGACTGGGTCTTTCGTTCCAATCTACCCAACTGACCTACCAGTCAAAGAGCACATGAGGGCAGTCTGCAAGTGCCATGGGAACACAGCCCTGCCTGCACTGGTCACCACCACATCCACGATGGCTGGCACAGCAGCACTCAAATATGTACTCGGTAAAGACTGAGTGGAGGGGGGCAAGTCAATTTCTTTTTTTTTTTTTTTTTTTTTTTTGAGATGGAGTTTTGCTCTTGTCACCCAGGCTGGAGTACAATGGCGCAATCCTGACTAACTGCAACCTCTGCCTCCCAGGTTCAAGCAATTCTCCTGCCTCAGCCTCCCAAGTAGCTGGGATTACAGGCGTGCGCCACCATGCCCCGCTAATTTTGTATTTTTAGTAGAGACAGGGCTTCACTAAGTTGGTCAGGGTGGTCTCAAACTCCTGACCTCAAGTGATCCACCCCCCTCGGCCTCCCAAAGTGCTGGGATTACAGGTGTGACACCGCACCTGGCCCAATTTCAATCATATTTGGCCAACACTCAAGTCCCCTAATCACTGGTATAGAAAACATTCTTGGAAGTAAATAGTTGCCCCACTACCTTCAAGGAAACAACATTTGGTGGAACTACCTTGGTTCCTTCATCTCTGTGGGTCTGTTTCCTCATCTATGAGAGATTATAACTGCTGACTTCCAAAGTTGCAAAGATCAAATAACATAACATAGATAAAAAACATCTGACGCTACACATGCATTCCTACAGGGCATCTTCCTAGGCCTCATCAGCCCCAGCAAAATAGGTTCTCAATAAACATTTGAACAGATGAATGACAAACATCACTGACAAAAGCCAAAGAAACTGAGCAAAAGGCTACTACATCCATCCCTCTGTGAACAGGTGGGTGACAGAAGTAAACTGAGGACTCTAGAGGTTACTAAAAGTCCACCCAGATGGGAAAGTCAACAGAAAATTCATCATGTTCTTCTGGTATTTAGTGGGAAAGAAAAAAAAATGTATCAAGGCCAGATGCAGTGGCTCATGCCTGTAATCCCGGAACTTTAGGAGGCCAAGGCAGGAGGATTACTTGTACCCTAGAGTTAGAGACCAGACCTGGCAACATAGGGAGATCCCGTTGCTACAAAAATAAGGAAAAAACCAGCTGGGCATGGTGGCACATGCCTGCAGTCCCAGCTACTCAGGAGACTAAGGCAGGAGGATCTCTTGAGCCCAGGAGATGGAGGCTACAGTGAGCCGTGGTTGTACCACTGCACTCCAGCCTGGATGACAGAGCAAGAACCTGTCTCAAGGAAAAAAAAGTATCAAAACATTGTCACTTCTGCTTCCACTAGGAAGGATTATTAATACTCCTTCTGCCACCCACAACTAAAACCCCTGGATGTTACATACAAACAAAAATGAGAAGACTCTGGCCAGGCGCAGTGGCTCATGCCTGTAATCCTAGCACTCTGGGAGGCTGAGGCAGGCAGATCACGAGGTCAGGAGATAGAGACCATCCTTGCTAACATGGTGAAACTGTCTCCACTAAAAATACAAAAATTAGCCAGGCATAGTGGCAGACGCCTGTAGTCCCAGCTACTCGGGAGGCTGAGGCAGGAGAATGGCATGAACCCGGGAGGCGGAGTTTGCAGTGAGCCAAGATCGTGCCACTGCACTCCAGCCTGGGTGACAGAGCGAGATTCCGTCTCAAAAAAAAATGAGAAGACACTAAAAGGTAGAGAGAAGGCAGACTAGCAAGGGACCTCAGGACCTGAGCAACGTCACGGTGGTGGCTTCCTTGGGCATTCCTTTTGCCTTATTATCCCAGATTTGTAGCTGGAGAAGAAGCGACCCAAAAATGCCAGTGGGCAAAGACAAGAAAAGCTCCAACAAAGGTCGGCTCTCCCTAGTCAAAGGACTAAGAAAAGGGCAACCTAGTGAGTGAGAAAATATTTAGACAATAACTGCCTTACTCTAGCCACACAGGCAGGAAAGCCACAGCCCACGTTTCCGCCACATTTCCGCCGCATGAGTAAAGGTTGAGGGGTGAGCCTGTACTTCCTGGCTTGTCAGGCTATAATGAGGCACCCCAAACCCAATGGGGTGGTTTCACAGAAGGCCAAACAGGGAGCTGGGACTTTCACCCTCACTCAGCAGTAAGGAGCAACTGCCAGAGTCAGTGGAGAGTGAAATCTGGACTTCTACCCCCAACTCAGCAGTAAAGAGGTGCCCCTCCCCTCTCCATTGCAGTGGTATCAGAGGCAGCCTGGTGGAGTCAGGAATTCCACCACCACCCAATGAGAATGATGCTACTTTTCCTTGGCGTCAGCGGAGGACATGGAGGGAGCATTTCCACCCATGAGTAACAAGGACCACCTTAGGTGGTCCACACAAGGCCTGGTGGTGAATCTCGACTTCTACCCTTACCTAGCAGAAACGAGCCCCAACACCACCACTTTCCCTGCCAGAGTCCTGAGAAGCCAGCAAAATCAGAAGGCCTAAATGAGACCCAGAGTCTCACACACAATATCTAAAAGTCCAGATTCCAATCAGAAGCCACTCGCCACACTAAAGGCCAGTGAAATCTCAATATGAATGAAAAAAGACAATTAACAGATGCCAACACCAAGATGACAGACATGCTGAAACTGTATAACAAAGATTTTAGAGCAGCCATCAGAAAAGTGCTACAAGCAGCAATTATGAGCATGTGTGAAATAAAAAACAAGAAGTCTAAACAAAGAAAGTATTGACAAAAAAATAGAAGGTATAAAAAAAGACCCAAGGCCAGGCGTAGTGTCTCATGACTGTAATTCCAGTACTTTGGGAGGCCGAGGCAGGCAGATCACTTGAGGCCAGGAGTTTGAAACCAGCCTGGCCAACATGGCAAAACCCCGTCTCTACTAAAAATACAAAATTAGCAGCCAGGCACGGTGGCTCACGCCTGTAATCCCAGCAGTCTGGGAGGCTGAGGCGGGCAGATCACGAGGTCAGAAGTTCAAGACCAGCCTGACCAACATGGTGAAACCCCATCTCTACTAAAAATACAAAAATTAGCCGGGCGTGGTGGCAGATGCCTGTAATCCCAGCTCCTCAGGAGGCTGAGGCATAAGGATCACTTGAACCCAGGGAGCGGAGGTTGCAGTGAGCTGTGATAACACCACTGTACTCCAGCCTGGGCAACAGAGCGAGACTCAGTCTCAAAAAAAGAGAACCAAAAACTTATTTTAGAACTTAAAAAATACAATAACCAAATTAAAAAGCTCAGTTGGGCTGGGGGTGGTGGCTCACACCTGTAATCCCAGCACTTTAGAGAAGCTGAGGTGGGCAGATCACTTGAGCTCAGGAGTTCAAGACCAGCCTGGGCAATATGGTAAAATCCCCGTCTCTACCAAAAATACCAAAAATAAATTCGCAAGACACGGTGGCATGCACCTGTAGTCCCAGCTTCTTGGGAGGCGGATGTGGGAGGATTGCTTGAGCCTAGGAGGCAGAGGTTGCAGTGAGCTGTGATCATACCACTACACTCCAGCCTGGGCAACAGAGGTGAGACCCTGTCTCAAAAAAAAAAAAAAAAAAAAAAAAAACTCAGTTGGATATACTCAACAGCAGAATGGAAGTTACAGTGAAAATAATAATGGAGGTCAAGGAAAGAATCAGTGAACTGGAAGACAGACAACAGAAATTAGCCAATTTGGACAACAGAGAGAACAATGGCTGTGGCAGGGCATGGTGGCATGTGCTTGTAGTTTCAGCTACTCTGGAGGCTAAGATGGGAGAATCACTTGAGCCCAGGGGTTCAAGACCAGCCTGAGTAACATAGTGAGACCCACTAAAAAATAAAAATATAAAAGACTAGAAAATAAAAATAAACAGAATCCCATGGACCTGTAACAAAAGATCAGCTGGGCACGGTGGCTCACACCTGTAATCCCAGCACTTTGGGAGGCCAAGGTGGGTGGATCACCTGAGGTCGGAAGTTCAAGACCAGCCTGACCAACATGGAGAAACCCCGTCTCTACTAAATATACAAAAGTAGCTGGGCGTGGTGGTGCATGCCTGTAATCCCAGCTACTTGGGAGGCTGAGGCAGGAGAATCGCTTGAACCCAAGAGGCAGAGGTTGCAACGGTGAGCCAAGATCACGCCATTGCACTCCAGCCTGGGCAACAAGAATGAAACTCCATCTCAAACAAACAAACAAACAAACAAACAAACAAACACCTGACATTTATGTCATAAGAGTCCCAGAAAAAGAGGAGAAAGACGGTAGGACTAAAAAAGTACTCAAAAAGACAATGGCTGAAAGCTTCCCAAATTGGTCAGAGACATAAACCCACAGCTTCAAGAAGTCCAGCAAACACCAAACAGGATAAACCCAAAGCAATCTCAAGATATATCATAATTAAACTTTTGAAAACTAAAGACAAAGAAATAATCTTGAAAAATAATTCATGATAACCAACTTCTCATCAGAAACCACAGTGACCAAAAGAAAGTGACACAAAAACTTTTCAGGTGCTGAGAGAAAAGAACCGTTACTCCAGAATCCTATACCCAGCAACGATGTCCTTCAAGAATGAAAAGGAACTCTAGACATTCTCAAATGAAGGAAAACCAGCAAAATGTGTTACCAACAGAACTATTATTTAAAAGCGGCAAAAGGAGGTACTCTAAACAGAAAGGAAACAATAAACTAAACTTTGGAATATCAGCAAGGAAGAAGGAAACAAAAATACCTGTAAATATAATAAGCTTTTCTTCATTTCTGACTTTTCTAAATTATGTTTGATGTTTAAAAGCAAAAATTCTGGCTGGGTGTGGTGGCTCAAGCCTGTAATCCCAGCACTTTGGGAGGCCGCGGTGGGCAGATTGCGAGGTCAAGAGATGGAGACCACCCTGGCCAACACAGTGAAACCCCATCTCTACTAAAAATACAAAAATTAGCTGGGCGTGGTGGCGCTCGCCTATAGTCCCAGCTACTTGGGAGGCTGAGACAGGAGAATCACTTGAACCCGGGAGGCGGAGGTTACCAAGAGCTAAGATTGCACCACTGCACTCCAACCTGGTGACAGAGCGAGACACTGCCTCAAAAAAAAAAAAAAAAAAAAAAAAAAGCAAAAATTCTAACAGCCTGATACTGCTATAAATGTATGTATAGAAATATTTAAGACAAATATATTAAAAACAGGGGGAGTAAAGAGACACAGAGAGGTATGACTTCTATATTTCACTCAGGCTGATAAAATGACATCAGTATATTGTAATATGTTTTGTATATGTAATAAAATACTTAGAACAACTATTAAAACAGCTATATAAGGTGATATTCAAAACACTATAGAGGGCCGGGCGTGGTGGCTCACGCCTGTAATCCCAGCATTTTGGGAGGCCAAGGCAGGCAGATTACCTGAGGTCAGGAATTCCAGACCAGCCTGGCCAACATAGTGAAAACTCCATCTCTACTAAGAATACAAAAATTAGCTGGGTGTGAAGATGGGAGCCTGTAATCCCAGCTACTCAGGAGGCTGAGACAGGAGAATCGCTTGAACCTGGGAGGTGGAGGCTGCAGTGAGCCAAGATGGCACCATTGCACTCCAGCCTAAGTGACAAGTATAAAAATCCGTCTAAACAACAACAACAACAACAACAACACCACTATAGAGAAGCACCACTCTAGAATGGCAGAATAAGGACCCTAAAAAATCTGCTCCTCCATGAAAGAAAGAAAAACTCTAAAAAATTTTGCAAAAATTAACTTTTACATAACTGTGGAAGTTAACCAACAGCTTGCAACAATCTGAGGAGTGTTTAAGAAAAACAGCTGAATCTTGTTAAAGAGCAAACTTTGGGCTGGGCATGCTGGTTCACGACTATCATCCCAACACTTTGGGAGGCTGAGATGGGCAGATCACTTGAGGCCACGAGTTGGAGACCAGCCTGGGCAATATAGTGAGACCCCATCTCTACAAAAAAAACATGAGAATTAGCCAGGCATGGTGCTGCATGCCTGTGGTCTCAGCTACTTGGGAGGCTGAGGTGGATCACCTGAGCCCAGGAAGTCCAGGCTGCAGTAAACCATAATGATGCCACTGCACTCCAGCCTGGGCATCAGAGTGAGACCCTGTCTCAAAAAAAAGAAACTGTGTGTGTTTTAACTTGCCCCATTCCCATTATTCCATTATTCCCATGCCTCTCTCTCCAGTTCTGCAAAAGACAAAAATTGGAAACCTCATAATCATGGTGGCCATGAGAAACAGAAGACTAGCAACCACTGGTGGGAAAAGAACAGGTTTGGAGCTTCTCAAGAAGCCCATTCTCAGGTAACCATCACTATTATGCCTATCTGGCAGCTTGCTGAGACTCAGGGCTGGAGAATATGATCAAACTTAGAGTCACTCTGTGTGAATAGTCCCATCCCCAGAGTAGATGAGCAATCAACAGCAACTGTTTAACACTGCAGCCGCCTGAAGTGACAATACCAGTTGAGTAAAACAAGGGGCTAGACAAAAAAAAAAAAAAAAAAAAGGAAAATCTGGGGAATGAGATGGCCACATGGGCCTTGAAAAGCTTATTCCTGCATGTAAAGAACATGCGCTTACCCAGGAAGGACCTGAAAAGCCCCTAACCTTGAACCTTGGCTGACCTTAAGGCTCTGTGCAACCAAGAAGTAAAGGCTAAGGCAGAGTTGTAAGCTGCTGGGAGAATTGAAGACATGCACAAACACACACACACAGACCTTGAAGAGAGTGGGAGATTTATTGCTTCAAGGCATTTCAGGAAATCTCTGTCCAATCATTAGCTGGCCAGTAAGCTAACCAACCAGAGACTTCAGTGGCTGAATGCTACAAAGAATACAGACTTTACAGAATTGGCACAGGGTGGCCACTAAACAAACATATCACAGAAACAACAGCAACAACAAACACTGGGAATTGGTGGAGGTAGAATCTGATGCTCAGATTTTTCACATTACATAATTTAAAATGTTGTTTTTAACTAAAATGTACAAGGCATGCAAACAAAAAGGAAAATATGGGCCGGGCATGGTGGCTCACACTTTTAATTCTAGAACTTCAGGAGGCCCAAGGCAGGAAGATTGCTTGAGGCCAGGAGTTTGAGACCAGTCCAGAAACACAGCAAGATCTTGTTTCTGTATTCTTTTTTAAAGTAAGAAGTTTTGGCCAGGCATGGTGGCTCACACCTGTAATCCCAGCATTTTGGGAGGCCAAGATGGGTGGATCACCTGAGGTCAGGAGTTTTGAGACCAGCCCAGCCAACATGGTGAAATCCCGTCTCTACTAAAAATACAAAAATTAGCTGGGTTTGGTGGCACACACCTGTAATCCCAGCTGCTCAGGAGGCTAAGGCAGGAGAATCGCTGGAACCCAGGAGGCAGAGGTCACAGTGAGCTGAGATCATGCCACTGCACTCCAGCCTGGGCAACAGAGCAAGACTCTGTCATAAAATAAAAATAAAAATTAAATTAAATTAAAATAATAAAGTAATAAGTTTTTTTAAACATTAAAAAAAAGAAAAACATGGCCCATACACAGTAAAAAAGCAGTCAACAGAAACGATCTCTGAAAAAGCCCAATGTCAGAATAACTAGACACAATAAATTAGCTATCATAAATATGTTCACAGAACTAAAGAAAACAATGTCTAAAAAATTAAGGGATACCCAAAGAAATGAAATATTTATTTAGGCATAAATATAACAAAATATGGGCTGGAAGTGATGGCTCATGCCTGCAATCCCAACACTGGGAGGCTGAGCCTAGGAGTTAGAGACCAGCCTAGGCAACACAGTCAGACCCCCGTCTCTAACAAAAAATATATATATATTTTTTTAATTAGCCAGGCATGGTGGTGCACACCTATAGTCCTAGCTACTTAGGAGGCTGAAATGAAAGGATTGCCATGAGCCCAAAAATTCAAGGCTGTAGTGAGCTGTGATGGCACCAGTGCACTCCAGTCTGGGTAAACAGAGCAAGACTTTCTCTTTAAAAAAAAAAAAAAAAAAAGTACACATCTATATGGGGAAAACTACAAAACTCTGATGACAGAAATCAAAGATGAATTTTTAAAAAATGATATCCCATGTTCATGGATAGGAAGACTCAATATTGTCAAGATGCCAGTTCTCCCCAATCTGATCTACAGATTTAATGCAAATCCCAATCTAAATCCCAACAAGTTATTTTGTGTATTTCAAAAAACTGATTCTGAAGTTTATATGGAGAGGCAAAAGACCCAAAATAGCCAACACAATATTGAAGAACAAAGTTGGAGGTGTGACAATACCCAACTTGAAGACTATTAAGGCTGGGCGTGGTGACTCACGCCTGTAATCCCAGCACTTTGGGAGACTGAGGTGGGTGGATCACGAGGTCAGGAGTTCAAGACTGGCCTGGCCAAGATGGTGAAACCCCATCTCTACTAAAAATACAAAAATTAAAAATTAGCTGGGCATGGTGGCAGGTGCCTGCAATCCCAGCTACTCAGGAGGTGAGGCAGAGAATTGCTTAAACCCAGGAGGCGGAGGGTGCAGTGAGCCAAGATTGCACCACTGCACTCCAGCCTGGGCAACAGAGCAAGACTCTGTCTCAAAAAAAAAAAAAAAAAAGACTATTGAAAAGCTACAGAGGGCCGGGCATGGTGGATCATGCCAATAATCCCAACACTTTGGGATGCCGAGGCAGGCAGATCACCTGAGGTCTGGAGTTCAAGACCAGCCTGACCAACATGGAGAAACCCCATCTCTACTAAAAATACAAAATTAGATAGGCGTGGTGGCGCATGCCTGTAATCCCAGCTAGTCAGAAGACTGAGGCAGGAGAATCACTTGAACCCGAGAGGTGGAGGTTGCAGGGTGAGCTGAGATCGTGCCATTGTACCCCAGCCTGGGCAACAAGAGCGAAACTCCGTCTCAAAAGAAAAAAAAAAGCTATAGAGGCCTGCATGGTGGCTCACGTCTGTAATCCCAGCACTTTGGGAGTCAGAGGTGGGTGGATCACCTGAGGTCAGGAGATCAGGTTGGTCACCAGCCTGACCAACATAGTGAAACCCCATCTCTACTAATTAGCCAGGTGAAGTGGTGCACACCTGTAATCCCAGCTACTTGGGAGGCTGAGGCAATAGAATTGCTTGAGCCTGGGAGGCAGAGGTTGCAGTGAGCCAAGATTGTGCAGCCCGGGCAACAAGAGTGAAACTCCATCTCAAAAAAATTAAAAAGCTATGGTGGCTGGGTGCGGTGGCTCATGCCTGTAATCCCAATACTTTGGGATGATCATTTGAGGTCAAGATCACTTGAGGTCAGGAGTTGGAGACCAGTCTGGCCAACATGGCGAAACCCCGTCTCTACTAAAAACACAAAAATTAGCCAGGCAGTGGTGCAATCACGGCTCACTGTAGCCTTGACCTCTTGGGCTCAAGCAATCCTCCCACCTCAGCCACCCAAGTAGCTAGAACCACAGACAAATGCCACCACATCCAGTTAATGTTTTTTTTTTTCTTAAAAACGAGGTCTCACTATATTGCCCTGGCTGGTCTCAAATTCCTGGGCTCAAGTGATCCTTCTGCCTCAGCCTCCCGAAGTGCTGAGATTACAGAAGTGAGCCACTGCACCTGGCCAATGGATTCTTAGACATGACATCAGAAGCAGAGGCAATAACAAACAAAAAAGATAAATTGATTGGGGAGGCCAAGGCAGGCGGATCACGAGGTCAAGAGTTCGAGACCAGCCTGGCCAACATGGTGAAACTCCATCTCTACTAAAAAATACAAAAAATTAGCCGGGTGTGGTGGCGGGCACCTGTAATCCCAGCTACTCAGGAGGCTGAGGCAGGAGACTCGCTTGTACCCGGGAGGCAGAGGTTGCAGTGAGCTGAGACACTGCACTCAAGCCTGGGCAACAGACTGAGACTCCGTCTCAAAAAAAAAAAAAAAAAAAGATAAATTGAACTTTATCAGCATTGAAACCTTTTTGTGTGAAAGAACACCATCAAGACAGTGAAAAGACAATCTGCAGAAAGAGAGAAAATATCTGCAAATCATGTATCTAACAAGGTTTAGTATGTAGAATATATAAAGAGTGCTTATAACTCAACAAAAAGACAACCCAATTATTAAATGGGCAAAGGGTGTGAACAGGCATTTCTCCAAATATATACAAATGGCCAAAAAGCACATAAAAATATACTCAACAGCTAGGCATGGTGGCGCATGCCTGTAATCCCAGCTACTCAGGAGGCTGAGGCAGGAGAATCGCTTAAACCTGGGAGGCGGAGGTTGCAGTGAGCCGAGATCGCGCCACTGCACTCCAGCCTGGGTGACAGAGCGAGACTCTGTCTCAAAAAAATAAATAAATAAATAAATACACACACACACACACACACACACACACACACACACACACTCAACAGGCTGAGGCAGAAGGATTGATTGAGCCCAAGAGTTTGAGCCCAGCCTGAGCAACATACTGAGACCCTGTCTCATTAAAAAAAAAAAAAAGATACTCAACATCATCAATCATTAGGGAAATGCAAATGAAAACCACGATAAGGTAGAATTTCACACCCACTAGGATGATTATAATGAAAAAACTCAGAGAATTAAGTGTTGGTGAAGATGTGGAGAAGTTGGAACCCTCATACTCTGCTGGTGGGAATGTAAAATGGGCAGCTGCAGTGGAAAAGAGACTGATAGTTCCTCAAAACATAAACGAAACTGCCATATGACCCAGCAATTCCAATCCTAATATATATCCACAAGAAAGGAAAAATGAAAACTTATGCCAACACAAAAACTAATCCATGACTGACCATAGGAGTCCTATTCATAATAGCCAAACGGTAAAAAAAAAAAGTGTCCATCAACAGATGAATGGATAAACAAACTAGTATACACATACAATGCAATATTACTCAGCCATCAAAAGGACTGAGGTACTGGCCAAGTGCGGTGGCTCACGCCTGTAATCCCAGCACTTTGGGAGGCCGAGGCAGGCAGATCACAAGGTCAGGAGTTTAAGACCAGCCTGACCAACATGGTGAAACCTCATCTCTACCAGAAATACAAAAATTACCCAGGTGTGGTAGCATGCACCTGTAATTCCAGCTACCTGGGAGGATGAGGCAGGAGAATTGCTTGAACCCAGGAGGCGGAGGTTGCAGTGAGCTGAGATCGTGCCACTGCACTCCAGCCTCGGCAACAGAGTAAGATTTTGTCTCGAACAATAACAGCGACAACAAAACACTGAGATACTACATGCTACACCATAGATGAACCTTGAAAACTGCTAAGTGAAAGAAACCAGACACAGAGGGCCACATACTGTGTGGCTGCCGAGGGACAGAAGGTGAAGGGATAAGGAATGATTGCTGAATGGGTACTAGATGTTCTTCTGGGAAGACGAAAATGTTCTGAAAACAGAGACAGGTGGTGGTTACACAACATTGTGAATGCACTAAATGCCAGTGAATTCTATACTTTAAAATTATTGTATATTATGTGATTTTTCACCTACATTTTTTTAAAGCATGTATATCAGAGAAAAATTATTAAGTAAAATTAATTCAGCCTTTGAAGAAATGTTTGGAAAAGCTATTTGAAATGTTTACATTCTAAAATTCAGTCTGTTTCTTACAATTTAATCAAATGGACAAGAGGAGATCAGGTGATACAACTTCTTGAAGGACACATGGGTGAACACAGGCCCGGCTGGGTTGGGAAAGTCAGCCACAAGAACACAGCCATGTAATGGTTTTATCTCAAATGCCAATTTATTTTATTTAATATACTAAGTCTACATATTAAAGTGCTATTCTTAATTCATAACGTCAATGACTTATGTGAAATACTTTTGAAATCAATGGCTTACTGTGTGCAAGTTCTCCTCCATCCTTCAATACTGCCAGCCCACGAGCCCAGGGTGGAGGCACCCTACACTTTCTTTCATTCCACAGGACTCAACAACAATCCAGTGATCAAAGGTATTCAACTGGAAAATAACTTTAAAAGGGCTTTTTTAGGAAAAAGGCTTTATTCCTACAAGTGATTTTGTTCTTTCCCTCTCCAGTGGAGTGGCTTCTCCACAAAACACTGGTAGTATAAGAAATCCTCTCAACCGACATATAATTTTAAGTATGCAATAGTGACACATCAGTTACTCCAGGTTACATGTAACTCACTCTACTGACTCTCAAGGCTCCCCCTTTGGTACACCTCAGGTTGTGTCAATTTTGTAAAATGTCACCTTTAACATATACAAATAACTGGCCTCTCAGCTGGATAAAATTCTGTTAATCAATTTCTGAGTTCCTCAAATAAGGGGCAGTAAACAACTATGAAGTTGTCTGCTAGTACTGTAAATATTCGCCAGTACTGTAAACGCCAGACTCAAAGACTGACATGTGATTGTCAATCTGGGTCTGGGGAAAACACTAGATCGTATTCCCCAGAACTGGATTGCTTTGGTCAAGAAATATGATTGAGGTCAGGCGCAGTGGCTCATGCCTGTAATCCCAGCACTTTGGGAGGGTAAGGCGGGTGGGTGGATCGTTTGAGCCTCAGTAGTTCAAGACCTGCCTGGACAACATGGCAAAACTCTGTTTCTACTATTAAAAATAAAAATAAGGCCCAGTGTGGTGGCTCACGCCTGTAATCCCAGCACCTTGGGAGGCCAAGGCAGGTGGATCACCTGAAGTCAGGAGTTTGAGACCAGCCTGACCAACATGGTGAAACTTCATCTCTACTAAAAATACAAAAATTAGCCAGGCATGGTGGTGCACGCCTGTAATCCCAGCTACTTGGGAGGCTGAGGCAGGAGAATCGCTTGAACCCAGGAGGTGGAGGTTGTGGTGAGCCGAGATCGCGCCACTGCACTCCAGCTTGGGCAACAAGAGCGAAACTCCATCTCAAAAAATAAAGAAATAAAATAAAATAAATAATAATAATAATAAAAATAAAAGAAAGTGTAAGTGGAAGATAACTTAAAAAAGGAAGTATGTCTGGCAATCATAGAGTGGGATTGGAAAAAAAAGAGAGGAAATTAAAATGTTTACTTAATAAATGGAGTTGACAGAACAATCTTAAAATACCAGTCCATGGAAGAAAAATAAGAGATATCGCTGGGAACCACTGAAGTTCAAATTAGAATGCCTGGAACTCATCACGGATACAATCCTTAGAAGTAGATCCAGAAAGAGGTTGTGAGATTCCCACCTACCTCTTCGCCGAGGCTGGAGACTTGGCCACGATTACTGCATTCCTGTAATCTGGGATCTGTGACAGACAAGAAGTCAGGTATTACTGCATGTCAACAAAAAGGAAAATTCCAACAGACCCAAAAATGCTTGGCTAGTTGAAAGTTTTCCAAAAAAAGAAAAAGTTCAAAGTAAAATTCTCCTTTGGAAAATGAAGAAAGGAACCTGCCTATGAAAAAATATTACTAACTTGTGAGCCACACAGACTTCTTTTAGGAAAAAAGTAGGGATAATTGGTGATTAGCTCTTATCTCTGCCAGCAAATACTAATGATGCAGTGTAAAGATGTTTCTATATATCTCGTCAACAAGAATCCTAATTACATGTAATTTCAAAGTACAAGGATATCCAATTCAATCTGAATACAAGCTGACTGTCAAATTCCAAATTACTGCAGTCCAAACAAATGGCTATTTAACATATCGCAGTCATAACATGTTGAAGCAACCAATTTGTTAAAGGATAATCGGCCCAGCACTATTTTAAAAAAATATATTAACTATATTCTCATTGCTTTTTTCTCACAATTACACCAATGAATTTTAATATGAGCAGTTAATAACACCTAGCAACATGTATAAAACAATGCCTACCATACAACAAGCACTAAATAATAACTACTTAGCAAATGAACAAAAAATGATTAATTTGAATAATTTAGTACAGTTGCCTCCGGCATAATCACATGGCTCAGCTGTATCTACAGGAAAGCCTAATTTATCCAACACTCTCAGGAAGTAAGGCAGTAAAATATATTTCCATTTGGGCACTTTCATTATTTTTGCTGGCAGTCTTTCTAAACTTTTTCATGTATTTCCTTGTCTCATCAAACATCATCAAACATTACCAAACCCAGCCAAGAAAAGACAGAACCAAGAAAACAGTTAATAACAATTAAAGGACCTAAAAGAAAGGACTCTAACAAAAACAAGTCTATTGTCTCTACGGAGGTTAAAATGGGAAATTATATACAACAAGAAAGAACAAGTTGAGGTGAGGGGCGCCTCTGCCCGGCCACCCCTACTGGGAAGTGAGGAGCCCCTCTGCCCGGCCAGCCGCCCCGTCCGCGAGGGAGGTGGGGGGGTCAGCCCCCCGCCCGGCCAGCCGCCCCGTCCGGGAGGGAGGTGGGGGGGGTCAGCCCCCCTGCCCGGCCAGCCGCCCCGTCCGGGAGGGAGGTGGGGGGGGTCAGCCCCCCTGCCCGGCCAGCCGCCCCGTCCGGGAGGTGAGGGGCGCCTCTGCCCGGCCGCCCCTACTGGGAAGTGAGGAGCCCCTCTGCCTGGCCAGCCGCCCCGTCCGGGAGGGAGGTGGGGGGTCAGCCCCCCGACCGGCCAGCCGCCCCGTCCGGGAGGGAGGTGGGGGGGTCAGCCCCCCGCCCGGCCAGCCGCCCCGCCCAGGAGGTGAGGGGCGCCTCTGCCCGGCCGCCCCTACTGGGAAGTGAGGAGCCCCTCTGCCCGGCCACCACCCCGTCTGGGAGGTGTGCCCAACAGCTCATTGAGAACGGGCCAGGATGACAATGGCGGCTTTGTGGAATAGAAAGGCGGGAAAGGTGGGGAAAAGATTGAGAAATCGGATGGTTGCCGTGTCTGTGTAGAAAGAAGTAGACATGGGAGACTTTTCATTTTGTTCTGCACTAAGAAAAATTCCTCTGCCTTGGGATCCTGTTGATCTGTGACCTTACCCCCAACCCTGTGCTCTCTGAAACATGTGCTGTGTCCACTCAGGGTTAAATGGATTAAGGGCGGTGCAAGATGTGCTTTGTTAAACAGATACTTGAAGGCAGCATGCTCGTTAAGAGTCATCACCAATCCCTAATCTCAAGTAATCAGGGACACAAACACTGCGGAAGGCCGCAGGGTCCTCTGCCTAGGAAAACCAGAGACCTTTGTTCACTTGTTTATCTGCTGACCTTCCCTCCACTATTGTCCCATGACCCTGCCAAATCCCCCTCTGTGAGAAACACCCAAGAATTATCAATAAAAAAATAAATTAAAAAAAAAAAAAAGAAAGAACAAGTTATTATGAAAAAGAACCAAAAATAAATCTAGGGGGAAGAAGTTATTATGGTCTAAAGAAACCCAGTAGCTGGCTGGCTTAACAGCAGAATAAACACAACTTTAAGAACAAACCAGGGAAGATCAAGACAAGGAATTTCCCCAGAATGCTATATATAAGTATGCAAAAAGTAAAATAAGTTTTTAAAAGTTATAGAGACTAGATCCAAAATTTTCAGGACCTAATAGTTCCCAAAGGAAAATAATAAAAGAAATAGAAGGGATGAAATACTTAACAGATTAAAAAAAATTCCCAAAGATGGCCAGGCACGGTGGCTCATGCCCATAATCCCAGCACTTTGGGAGGCCAAGGTGGGCAGAACATCTGAGCCAAGACCAGCCTGGCCAGCATGGTGAAACCCCCTCGCTGCTAAAAATGCAAAACAAAATTAGCCAGGCGTGGTGGTGCACACCTGTAATCCAGTTACTCAGGAGGTTGAGGCCGGAGAATTGTTTGAACCCAGGAGAATTGTTTGAACCCATTTAAAATGTCTCCAGAAAGAATTACTATGATTCTTTTCATTAAAATTTTTCATTAAAATGAAAAATTATCAAGCCGGGCACGGTGGCTTCACGCTTGTAATCCCAGTACTCTGGGAGGTTGAGGCGGGTGGATAACCTGAGTTTGGGAGTTCAAGACCAGCCTGACCAACATGGAAAACCCCCTTTCTACTAAAAATACAAAATTAGCCAGGTATGGGGGCCCATGCCTGTAATCCCAGCTACTCGGGAGGCTGAGGCAGGAGAATCGCTTGAACCTGGGAGGCGGAGGTTGTGATGAGCTGAGATTGCGCCACTGCACTCCAGCCTGGGCAACAAGAGCAAAACTCCGTCTCAAAAAAAAAAAAAAAAAAAAAAAAGAAGAAAAGAAAAATTATCATGTATGCAGAAAGACACAGGAAGAGACCATCAGAGTATAATTTGATATTCATGAATCAAATATTCATCACTGGAAAAATGATACAATTCCACATTTTCTTGCAAGGCAACAATCAAATGCTTTATGAAACTTAAGAAAGGAAGATCCCTACCAGTAGGTCAAACTGTGAAAAGGACTGCCTGACACATCCCCAGCAGTGCAGCGGAAGGCAACAGACACTGTCAGACGCCCTCAGAAGAGATGGCAAAAGTTGGCTGGGCGCGGTGGCTCACACCTGTAATCCCAGCACTTTGGGAGGCTGAGGCGGGCAGATCATTAGGTCAGGAGATTGAGACCATCCTGGTTAACACGGTGAAACCCCATCTCTACTAAAACTACAAAAAAATTAGCCAGGCGTGGTGGTAGGTGCCTGTAGTCCCAGCTACTGGGGAGGCTGAGGCCTAGGAGAATGGCGTGAACCCGGGAGGCGGAGCTTGCAGTAAGCTGAGATTGCGCCACTGCACTCCAGCCTGGGCGACAGAGTGAGACTCCGTCTCAAAAAAAAAAAAAAGTATAGATGGCAAAAATTTCAAGGCAACGAGCATCCTAGTACCAGAATGTTCCTTCTGACTCTGGCAGAAGGTGCTTAAATTCCAGTGACAAACACAAGAGATGGAGAAAGCGTCAGCATCAAAACCTGCAGAATAGGATCACTAAGTGACAAGAAGGCACAGTGCCACAGTATAATTAGCAGTGTTTTCTTCTTTCTTGGTGACGTAAAATAATGTAAGCCTGGACTGACAGCACCTTAGATTCAGTGAAACATGAATATCTATCCCCTGCTTTAAGAGGCTCTAACACACGAAAACAAAAGAGACAAGATACGTATACTATAAAAAGGCAATACAGGCCAGGTGTAGTAGCTCATGCCTGTAATACCAGGACTTTGGGAAGCTGAGGCAGGCAGATCACTGGAGTTCAGAAGTTCAAGACCAGCCTGGCCAACACGGTGAAACCCTATCTCTACTAAAAACACAAAAATTAGGCCAAGTGCGGTGGTTCACACCTGTAATCCCAGCACTTTGGGAGGCCAAGGTGGGCAGATCACCTGAGGTCAGGAGTTCGAGACCAGCCTGACCAACAAGGAGAAACCCTGTCTCTACTAAAAATACAAAATTAGCCGGGTGTGGTGGCACATGCCTGTAACCCCAGCTACTCGGGAGGCTGAGGCAGGACAATCACTTGAACCTGGGAGGGGGAGGTTGCTGTGAGCCGAGATCATGCCATTGCACTCCAGCCTGGGCAACAAGAGCGAAACTCCATCTCAAAAAAAAACAAAAAACAAAAATTAGCCAGATATGCTTGCTTGAACCCAGGAGGCGGAGGCTGCAGTAAGCCAAAATCGCACTCCAGCCTGAGTGACAGAGAGAGACTGTCTCCAAAAAAAAGAAAAAAGCAATACACAAAAATTCCTTTTTAACACTGAGTTCCCACATATTAATTTTTTTTTTTTTTTTTTTTTTTTTTGTGAGAAGGAATCTCACTCTGTCGCCCAGATCACGGCTTGATGCAGCCTCGACCACCTGGGCAACTTCAACCTCCCAGGCTCAAGCAATCCTCCCACTTCTCATCCTCTTGAGTAGGGGGGACCACAGGAATGCACCACCACACCTGGTTAATTTTTATATTTTTTGTAGAGACAGGGTTTTGCCATATTGCCGAGGATGGTCTTAAACTCCTGGACTCAACTGATCCAACCTCCTCAGCCTCTCAAAGTGCTGGGATTATAGGTGTGGGCCACCACACTCAGCCCTGACTTCTTCTCAACAATGAAACTAAAATGGGGATTTTTTCAAGTAGAAGGCAGTGTCATCCTCAGGTAGAAGCCTGCACTACAGGCAATGACTAGCGTTAGGCTTCCAGCCTGACCTTGCAACCAGCACAAGGGTGCCCCAGCCTTCGTTCTTTAGGCTCACCCACCGGGCATCCCTTAAGAGGTGCAATTGCCATTTGTGCCTTGAGACATTGGCACACAACATGCCTGTGTCCTGAATGGAAACATCCCCTAAAACAACAAGATGTCGACAGCAACCCACATAAGTCTATAGCGACTGCTCTATTTCTTCCAAAATGACAGGTTTCTCCATGCGGCTGGTTGCTAACTGAACCACGTTCAATGCTCACCCTCTCACTCTCTCTCTGCCTAAACCTCTTCATCCTTCCCTATCAAGACATTTGCCAATTTTATCTCACCTTCTCTCTCAACTAAGAATAATATTCAGGTAAAATTAGGCCAGGCACAGTGGCTCACACCTGTAATCACACTGTTTTGGGAGGCTGAGGCAGGAGGATCGCTTGAGGCCAGGAGTTTGAGACCAGCCTGGGTAACACAGCAAGATTCTGACTCTGGAAATATTTTTTAAAAATTAGCTAGGTGTGGTGGCACACCTCTAGTCTCAGCTACTCAGAAGGCTGAGGTGGGAGAAATCTCTTGAGCCCAGGAGTTCAAGGTTGCAGTGAGCTATCATGGCACTACAGCACTCCAACCTGGGTGACAGAGAAAGACCCTGTCTCAAAAAAAAAACATAAAATTTTTCAGGTAAAATTAAAGTCTCTATTATTTTTTTAATTTGTTAGAGTATTTTTGTTTTCTTTTTTGTTTTTTTGAGATAGTCTCGCTCTGTCACCCAGGCAGGAGTGCCGTGGCACAATCCTGGCTCACTGTAACCTCCACCTCCCAGGTTCAAGCAATTCTCCTGCCTCAGCCTCCCAAGTAACTGGGATTACAGGCACGCGCCACCACATCCAGCTAATTATGTATTTTTAGTAGAGATGGGGTTTCACCATGTTGGCTAGGCTGGTCTGAACTCCTGACCTCAAGTGATCCACCCGCCTCAGACTCCCAAAGTGCTGGGATTATAGGCGTGAGCCACTGCGCCTGGCGTAGAGTTTTTATGTTTCTTGTGTGTAACTTTAAAGAAAAAAAAAAAGCAGAATATTTTACATTTTTCTCTTTCAAAAATACTTAAATTCATTTTCTCTATAAGGACTTATAACAATTGCTGGAGAATGGGGAAGCCCTGTATTCTTACCAGAAAGAAGTTCCTCAGAAACCTATAAACTGCCATCTTTTAAATACAGTACTGTAAAAAGAAGTTATCTTCTTTTAAATACAGTACTGTAAAAAGAAGTTATCTAGAAAAGTTATTAAAGAGAGAAATAATTTATATAAGAAAAACCGCTAAGGCCAGGTGCGGTGGCTCATGCCTGTAATCCCAGCACTTTGGGAGGCCGAGGCAGGCAGATCACGAGGTCAGCGTTCGAGATCAGCCTGGCCAACATGGTGAAACCCCATCTCTACTAAAGATACAAAAAATTAGCCAGCTGTGTTGGCGCATGCCTGTAATCCCAGCTACTCGAGAATTGCTTGAACCCGGGAGGTGGAGGTTTCAGTGGGCTGAGATTGCGCCATTACACTCCAGCCTGGGAGTGACTCCATCACACCCCCCACCAAAAAAAAAAAAAAAGAAAGAAAAACAGCTAAAAGCAAAATAGCTAAGTACAGTATAAATTAACATTTTAAAAGCTTTCTTAAATAGTAAGTCACAAAAATGCTAACTCATATCAAAGAAAAACAAATGTAGCTATATTAAAATTAAACATCTGATTTATCCCAGGATTCAAGGGTGGTAATAAACCACATTAACAGAATGAAGGAAAAAAAATGATCATCTCCACTGATACAGAAAAAGCATCTGACAGATTCAGCACCGCTTCAGGACAGTGGTTCCCTAGGGTGGAAGGAGGCAGGGGGATAGGACAGAGAAGGAGCCCATGAGCAGCTCTAAGTTATGATGATGACTCTAGTTTTCTTGCTGGGAGGTGGGATCATGGATGCTGGCTATTATAACTGGATGGACAGAGAGACAGGATGGATAGATGGATACATAAAACAGAACCAGGATCAAGCATAGACTAGTAATGAGAGTAAATTACTCATTACAATCATATCTAGTCCAATTCTAGGTACTTGAGGTCCAAAAGAAAAAGCAATTTTAAGAGCTTATCTAAAGAAACAAACTGCAGATTCAGAATTCTAAAATGCGTTGGATTATAGCTATAAAGTATAATGGTACTTTAAGTACAATACATCAAGTTTTAATCCTTTAGGGGTATCCTAAGGAAATGGAAATACATCTTTCAACCTTAATCAGAATGTTAAAATAAAAAAGTTTGAGCTAGCTCACCTCTTCTTGAATATACTGTAATAAGAAGGGAGATGCTCTTAAATTGTCAACAGGAATATTGAAGAAGCCCTGAATTTCCTTCTGGTGTAAATCCATAGTAATAAGATGAGTTAGACCTTTGAAAATAAAGCAGACACAAGCAATAAATAGTTTTGTTTTTGTTTTTTTTTTTTAAGATGGGATCCCATTCTGTCACCCAGGCTGGAGTGCAGTGGCATGACCATAGCTAACTGCAGCCTTGAACTCCTAGGCTGAAGCAATCCTCTCACCTCAGCCTTGAAAGTAGCTGGGAATACAGGTGCATGCCACCACGCCCAGATAATTCTGTATTTTTAGTAGAGAAGGGGTTTCATCATATTGGCCAGGTTGGTCTCGAACTCCTGACCTCAAGTAATCCTCCTGCCTCAGCCTCCCAAAGTGCTGGGAATACAGGCATGAGCCACTGCACCCAGCCTATAAACAGTTTAAAAACAAGTTGCACTGTATAAAATAGGTACTACATAAAATACTATATACAATAAGTTACTATTAAAAAATTGCTCTCCAGCCGGGCACTGTGGCTCACGCCTGTAATCCCAGCACTTTGGGAGGGCGAGGTGGGTGGATCACAAGGTCAGGAGTTCAACGCCAGCCTGACCAATATGATGAAACCCCATCTTTACTAAAAATACAAAAATTAGCTGGGCGTGGTGGCGTGTGCCTGTAGTCCCAGCTACTTGGGAGGCTGAGGCAGAAGAATAGCTTGAATCCGGGAGGCAGAGGTTGCAGTGAGCCAAGATCATGCCACTGCACTCCAGCCTGGGTGACAGAGCAAGACTCCGTCTCAAAAAAAAAAAAAAAATTGCTCTCATGGCCGGGCACAGTGGCTCACGCCTGTAATCCTAGCACTTTGAAGGCCAAGGCTGACAAACTGCTTGAGCTCAGGAGTTTGAGATCAGCCTGGGGAACATGGCAAAACCCCGCCTCTACAAAACAAAAATTAGCCAGGCATGGTGGCGCACATCTGTAGTCCCAGATACTCAGGAGGCTAAGGTGGGAGAATCGCTTCAGTGCAGAAGGTCAAGGCTGCAAGTGAGCTGAGATTGAGCCACTGCATTCCAGTCTGGGTGACAGAGTGAGATCTTGCCTCAAAAAAATAAAAAATAAGGCCGGACACGGTGGCTCACGCCTGTAATCCCAGCACTTTGGGAGGCCGAGGCGGGTGGATCACCTGAGGTCAGGAGTTGGAGACCAGCCTGGCCAACATGGCGAAACCTCATCTCTACTAAAAACACAAAAATTAGCCAGGCATGGTGGCACGTGCCCATAATCCCAGCTACTCGGGAGGCTGAGGCAGGAGAATTCGCTTGAACCTGGGGGGGCGGAGGTTGCAGTGAGCCGAGATCGCACCACTTCACTCCGACCTGGGTGAAAGGGGGAGACTTGGTCTCAAAAAAAAAAAGACAAAATTGTTCTACCATCAAAAAAACTCAGCACTTGTATTTTTCAAAAAAAATTTTTTTTTTTTTAGTACTGTGAGATGCCTGATTTTCACATCAATTTAAAGTCTTGGTCAGGTGCGATGGCTCACAGCTGTAATCCCAGCACTTTGGAAGGCTGAGGCAGGCGGATCACCTGAGGTCAGGAGTTCAAGACCAGCCTGGCCAACACGGTGAAACCCCGTCTCTACTAAAAATACAAAAATTAGCCAAGTGTGGTGGCATGTGCCTGTAATCTCAGCTTCTAGGGAGGCTGAGGCAGGAGAATCACTTGAATCCAGGAGGTGGAGGTTGCAGTGAGCTGAGATCATGCCACTGCACTCCAGCCTGGGCGACAGAGCGAGACTCCATCTCGAAAAAATAAATAAATAAAAAATAGTCATAATATAGCAAAGATAACAGTAATACAGAAGAGTCTTTAAAAATTATATTAGAGCAGATCAAATCTTCTTGAAGTTTAACAGGCATGGCAAAGTCCAGTCTTAAGATAACAAGTCAGCCGGGTGTGGTGGCTCATGCCTGTAAACCCAGCACTTTGGGAGGCCGAGGCAGGAGTATCACTTGAGCCCAGGTGTTTGAAAATGGCCTGGGCCACATGGTGAGACTCCATTTCTACTAAAAATACAAAAAACTAGTCAGGTATGGTGATGCATGCCTGTAGTCCCTAGTTACTCTGGAAGCTAAGGTCGGAGGATCACTTGAACCCAGGAGGTCAAGGCTACCTCCTGGTAGTGAGCAGTGATCACACCACTGCACCCCAGCCCGGGCAAGAGGACTGAGACCCATGGGGAAAAAAAAAGATATCAAGACAAACTGCACCAGCCTGGAAATTGGAGAAAACAGAAAACCTTCACCACCTTTGTAACGATCACCAGAAAAGTGTAAGGAAAATTCAGTATGAAAAATTGTTTAAAGCATTACTTGCCCAAAAGAACAGGAAAGTAAGTCTGGAGGCCCATCAAGCAAGGCTGGTAGAGAAGATGGGCCCTTTCCTGAAGATTCAGCAGGCAAGCCTGCTCTCCTCACCAGCTGCCTGTCATAGTGTTTACAATGGGGTAGGCTCCTGAGGTTGCTTCGGGTTGAGTTTTTAATTTTATTTTTATTTTTTTGAGACGGAGTTTTGCTCTTGTTGCCCAGGCTGGAGTGCAACGGCATGATCTTGGTTCACCACAACCTCCACCTCCCGGGTTCAAGCAATTCTCCTGCCTCAGACTCCCGAGTAGCTGGGATTACAGGCATGTGTCACCACACCCGGCTAATTTTGTATTGTTAGTAGAGACGGGGTTTTTCCATGTTGGTTAGGCTGCTCTGAACTCCCAACCTCAGGTGATCGCCCCCTGGTTCTCCCAAAGTGCTGGGATTACAGGCGTGAGCCACCACACCCTGCCTAGTTTTTAAATGTTTGTTTTACGTTTGCCTTTACTGAAAAACTATCTTAGAAAGTTTATTCTGGGCTGGGCGTGGTGGCTCACGCCTGTAATCCCAACACTTTGGGAGGCTGAGGAAGGTGGATCACCTGAGGTCAAGAGTTCGAGACAAGCATGGCCAACATGGTGAAACCTCGTCTCTACTAAAAATACAAAAATTAGCCAGGCGTGGTGGTGGGCGCCAGTAATCCCAGCTACTCAGGAGGCTGAGGCAGGTGAATCGCTTAAACCCAGGAAGTGGAGGTTGCGGTGAGCCGAGATCACGCTACTGCACTCCAGCCTGGATGACAGGTGAGACTCAAAAATAAAAAATAAAAATAATAATAATTAGTTGGGCATGTTGGTGTGTGCCTGCAATCCCAGCTACTCTGGGGGCTGAGGCAGGAGAATTGCTTGAACCCGGGTGGTGGAGGTTGCAGTGAGCCAAGATCACGTCATTGCACTCCAGACTGGGCAACAGAGCAAGACTCCGTCTCAAAAAACAAACAAAAAAAAAGGTTTATTCTACAGTAAGTACCTGTCTTAAAATGCAGTGATATGGGGACTTTTATTCTATTCACTCTGTGCAAATGCTCCGTGATACATACCTTCTAAAATCATATACATTCAGGCTGGCTATGGTGGCTTGTGTCTGTAATCCCAGAATTTTAGGAGCCCAAAGCAGGTGGATCACTTGAGGTCAGGAGTTCGAGACCAGCCTGGCCAACATGGCAAAACCCCATCTCTACTAAAAATACAAAAATTAGCTGAGTGTGGTGGCAGGCACCTGTAGTCCCAGCTACTAGAGAAGCTAAGGTACAAAAATCGCTTGAACCCAGGAGACAGTGGTTGCAGTGAGCCGAGGTGCCACCACTGCACTCCAGCCTGGGCAACGGAGCAAGACTCCGTCTCAAAAAATAAATAAACAGAATAAAAATTAAAATAAAAAAATCATAGGCCGGGTGCAGTGGCTTACGCCTGTAATCCCAGCACTTTGGGAGTCTGAGGCGGGGTCGGGAGTTTGAGACCAGCCTGACCAACATGGAGAAACCCTGTCTCTACTAAAAATACAAAATTAGCCGGGCGTGGTGGCGCATGCCTGTAATCCCAGCTACTTGGGAGGCTGAGGCAGGAGAATCGCTTGAACCGGGGAGGTGGAGGTTGTGGTGAGCGAAGATCATGCCATTGCACTCCAGCCTGGGCAACAGGAGCGAAACTCCATCTCAAAATAAATAAATAAATAAATAAAATCATATACACTTATACAAGCGCGCACACACACAAACACAAATATATTGACACAAATACCCAATAACAACTATGAAGGTTATTTAGAAACACAGGAAAAATACTTAGGTTGTTACCTGAAAATGCCTGACACAGAATAATATGTATCTTTTCCAATATATGCCTATCTAGGCAGGCACGGTGGTATATGTCCATAGTTCCAACTACTCAGGGGGATCACTTGAGCCCAGGAGTTCAAAGATCATCCCACATAGCTTCCCAAAGCATTGGGATTGCAGGCGTGAGCTGCTGTGCCCAGCCATTACTTTGATATTTCTAAGGTAAAAATAAAACTCCAGCAGGGTATGGTGGTTCATGACTATAATCTCAGCACCCTGGGAGGCTGGAGCAGAAACATCCCTTGAGGCCAGCAGTTCAAAACCAGCCTGAACAACATAGTAAGACCCAGTATCTACAAAAAATTTAAAAATTAGCAGGCAGGGTGGTATGTGCCTATAGTCCTAGCTACTTGGGAGGCTCTGGTGGACTGCTTGACTGTAGGAGTTCAAGTTGCAGTGAGCTATGATCACGCCACTACACTCCAGCCTAGGTGACAGGGCAAGACCCTGTCTTAAAAAAGAGAGAATAAATAAATAAAACTCCCAGGCCCCCAATTAATTGTGAAACATCTGCCATTCTTACCAGCTTTGCACATCATGGAAGCCAGCAATTTAGAGACAATGGAGCCTCTTTTTCTCATCTTGCACTGCTTGCTGTAAGGAAAGTAGGGTATCACGCCAATGATGCTCTTGGCACAAGAGGTCTTACATGCATACACCATGATCAGGAGCTCCATGATGGTGGTGTTCACGTCCCTGTAACAAAGACACAGCAAATCTCATCAAGGGATCTACAACACAGTATTCCCTGTTCCAAAAAGTGTCAGCAGTGTGTTACTCATGCCTTTATACAACCTAAGGTGCAAGGCAGAAAAAAACCAACCAATAAATTCCTCTTTTCTCAGGCCTCCATAAGATCCCCCATCATCTGCTCTCAACTGACCACCCTACTTAAGTACTCTCAGAGGAGCGTGTCCACAAGCTCCCACTATGTGCATCTGTGCCCCAGGAGTCGGCCTGCCCTCAGTCATCAGTCAGAGGAAATTTCCATGCCAGTGGCCCTAAAATTAATCCCTCCAAATGGCACACCTATGTAAGGAATTCTCTCTCCTCTCCTGCCTCCACCACTGATAACCCATCGGCCACAAACATTCTGTTACTTCCATTAACACGACTCATAACCACTCTCCCCTCTGCTCCCCTTTGCTGTACATCTTACACTATCTCCAATTTATCTACTCTCAGTCTCTCCCAAATAGTCCAGTGAAGCTTTGTTTTCATAAAGGTCATCAGTGGCCTCCATGCGGCCATGTCCACGGTCACTTGGCTTCCAGAATGCCCCTCTCTGGTGTCCTCCTTCCACCCTTGGTTTCTTTTGCTGGTTCCTCTTCTCCCCAGCCTCACGTCCCAGGACTTGCTCATGTGTCCTCTCTTTCTGTTCCCTCTCGTCCTTTGGGCTTCTCATCTAATTTCACAGCTTCATAGATGGTGGCAACTCTCAAATTTACAACTCCAGTCCAAACTTGAGGATCTGCCCCTCCCCTCCTGCCTGGCCACACCTGACCCTGTTCAGTCCTCCCACAGCAGCTCACACCGCTAAGGGGCTTGCTCTAGGCGTTCCCACTGCCTGCAATGCTTTTCTCCCCACCTAGTCACCTGACTCTCCCTCACCTTCTCTAGTCTCTGTTCAAATGTCACCTCCACAATGAGGCCTACCCTGTCTGCCTCTCTCTGCCCTCTCACCACTATCATCTCACCATGCTGTCTTATTTTTTTCCAAACCATTCATCACCTTCTAGATAATCTATGTCTTTATTATGCTCACTTTATGTCTTCCTCCACTGGAATATAAACTCCACAAGGACAAGGACTTTCTCTGTTTTAATCATGGAGGCATCCTGCATACGTGTAACTAACTGTAATTCACATATTGTAGACATTCAAAATAAGTATTTGTTAATGAAAGAAGGAGTGAATGGAAACACAGAACATTCAGGTGAGTAGGTTCTCTGTCACTATACAACAAGTCTGACATCTGATGAGTTAAAAGAGACTTTCACCCTGTTAATTAACTTAGGAAAAAAAAAGATTTTCAGAAAAGTATTCTATGGGAAGGATAAGAGTGGAGGAACAAGGCTTTCCATTACTGAACTCAGATAAGGACAGTCTTGTTTGAAATACAGGAAAACTTCAGTTAATGGATGGAATTTTCTTAATTTTAAATTTCTCTTTTATTTTTAGTGCTAGCACTAATCTGTAGTAAAATGAAGTATAAGATGTATCTGACAACACTAAATCATTTTTTTGTTTGTTTGTTTTTGAGACGGAGTTCTGCTCTTGTTGCCCAGGCTGGAGTGCAATGGCATGATCTCGGCTCACCGCAACCTCCGCCTCCCAGGATCAAGCAATTCTCCTGTCTCAGCCTCCCGAGTAGCTGAGATCACAGGCATGCGCCACCATGCCCGGCTAATTTTGCATTTTTAGCAGAGAGAGCGTTTCTCCATGTTGGTCAGGCTGGTCTTGAACTCCCGACCTCAGGTGATCTGCACGCCTGGGGCCTCCCAAAGTGGTGGGATTACAGGCTTTTTTTTTTTTTTTTTGAGACAGAGTCTCACTCTATCACCCAGCCTGGAGTATAGTGGCGCCATCTTGGCTCACTGCACCCTCTGTCTCCTGGGTTCAAGCGATTCTCATGCCTCAGCCTCCCAAGTAGCTGGAATTAGAAGCGCATATCACCACGCCCAGCTAATTTTTGTATTTTCAGTAGAGACAGGGTTTCACCATGTTGGCCAGGCTGGTCTTGAACTCCTGATCTGCCCGCCTCGGCCTCCCAAAGCTCTGGGATTATAGGTGTAAGCCACCTCGCCCAGCCTTTTTTTTTTTTACTTCGAGATGGAGCCTTGTTCTTTTACCCAGGCTGGAATCCAGTGGCGTGATCTCAGCTCACTACAACCTCTGCCTCCTGCGTTCAAGCAATTCTCGTGCCTCAGCCACCTGAGTAGCTGGGACTACAGGCGCTCATGACCATGCCCAGCTAATTTTTTGTATTTTTAGTAAAGACAGGGTTTCACCGTGTTGGCCTGGCTGGTCTCAAACTCCTGGCCTCAACTGATATGCCCACCTCGACCTCCCAAAGTGCTAGGATTACAGGCATGAGCCACCACATCTGGCCCTCAACACTAAATGTTATTTCATGGTATTTCACAAAGAAGACCATGACGTCCAGACTCTGCAACATGGACAAGACTGAGAACCCGAGTTAACACAAGCTTATGTCAGGTATGGAACAATGCAAAATGAGACACGGAGAGAAAATGAAAGGGGTGCTGAGTGATTCTGATTAGAGGAATATGAAACTGACAAAAGACAGGGGCACAGGATAAGTATTGAAATGTACAAAAATAAACAACCAGAAGGACTTGAAAATGAGAAGGATCAGCAGTCACCCTTCTGAAGTCCTAAATTCTAAGTCCAGGGGTGCCCTCAATGCCTACCCATCCCCTTGGGTAATCCACACAACCTCTGTGCATTTATCCAATGGAATCACACTTGTCTGTAAGGACATAAAAGTACCACAGACACAGAAACCAAGGAGCCAGAAGCCGTTTAAGTTGTTCTGTGCCCGCCCCTTCCCTACCCCGATGCTGGAGGTAAAGGGTTAAGATGTGGGCACAGGTGAGTCCTCCACTTCCACCCTGGTTTGGTGGCAGACGTGGGAAAGGGGAAAGAGGACAGCAGCAGCAGGGGCAGTTGGCGCTCCGTGCCCCCACCTCCAGCTCTGCTGAGAATCCTGGGTGTCACAGCAGAAGGTGAAGCTAGGGCACCGTGGCAAAGGCCCTCCACACCCTTCCTCCTTCAGAGCACACCCGTTTGCCAGGGCTATAGGATGCAAGGACAGGTCTCCCCTGCCACTCCTCTTCCCAGGAGAGATGGGGGTTTTGTGACTTCATCCCAATAAACCAAAGACCAGGAGAGAAAATGTTCAAAATTTAGGTGAAAAAAATGTGTGTTCCAAGACTAAAGTCTCCCGAAATGGCCTTCTTTTTCCCTTTCGTTGGTTTTATATATGTATATACACAAATTAAGCATGCAGCAACTTTCAGACTCTCTAAGCTAAAAAATAATGCACTAGACAAACTGATTTCTAGACATTAAAAATTGTTCTGAGCGAAGAACTTCATACACAGAAGCATTTAGGGACATTTGTGGACAAACACACAATGGAAAGTGGGGCTTTAAGGCCAGGTGTGATAGGCTCACCTTCTATATTGCTGGAATCTCAGCAATATAGGAGGTCAAGGCAGGAGGATCACTTGAGGCCAAAAGTTTGAGACCAGCTGGGCAATACAGTGAGACCTCCATCTCTACAAAAAATGAAAAAACGAGGTGAGCATGCTGGTGCATGCCTGTAGTCCCAGCTACTTGGGAGGCTGAGGGAGGAGGATAGTTTGAGCCCAGGAGTTTGAAGTTGTAGTGAGTTATGATCTCACCACTGCACTCCAGACTGGACAACAGAGCAAGACTCTACCTCTTAGAAAAAAGAAAAAGAAAAAAAAAAAGTAGGGCTCCAGGTGATCACCCTCCCTTCCAGAGTGCCAGAGACAGCCTTGCTGCATTGAATCTTCTATACCTAGCTTAAACATATGTGACCAAACAATTTCCAGAACACAGGTGTGTCAAAGGTCACACCAGACAGGAATACACATTCCTTCAGTACAGTTTTTTATCCTCTCAGCTAATTTATGTAATAAAACAGTAAATAATGATCACTTTTATATGCAATAAAAGCTTAAAGAACCCCAACTAAGAAAGGTCTCCTCCCCTAGCCTCTGTTTCTTTTGGGGAGAGGAGGGAACTAGAAATGCTTCCTTGCAAGTTTTACAAAATTCTGGCTGTTAATTGTTAGGAAACTTAATGTATACTATTATCATTAACAGCCTCTACTCCAGGCTGGGCGCAGTGGCTCACGCCTGTAATCCCAGCACTTTGGGAGGCTGAGGCAGGTGGATCACCTGAGGTCGGGAGTTCAAGACCAGCCTGACCAACATGGAGAAACCCTGTCTCTACTAGAAACACAAAATTAACCGGGCGTGGTGACACATGCCTATAATCCCAGCTGCTCAGGAGGCTGAGGCAGAATTGCTTGAACCTGGGAAGCAGAGGTTGCGGTAAGCTGAGGTTGCGGTAAGCCGAGATCGCGTCATTGCACTCCAGCCTGGGCAACAAGAGTGAAATTCTGTCTCAAAAAAAAAAAAAAAAAAAGAGCCTCTACTCCAATACTTGGTTATTTCCACCCGTTAAGAACACTGAGTGGCTGGACACGGTGGCTCATACCTGTAATCCCACCACTTTGGTAGGCCGAGGCGGGCAGATTGCGTGAGGTCAGGAGTTCAAGACCAGTCTGGCCAACATGGTGAAACCCCGTCTCTACTAAAAATACAAAAATTAGCCAGGCGTGGTGGCGCCAACTGTAGTACCAGCTACTCGGGAGGCTGAGGCAAGAGAATCACTAGAACCTGGGAGGAGGTGGTTACAGTGAGCTGAGATTGCACCACTGCACTCCAGCCTGGGTGAAGGAGTGGGACTTTGTCTCAAAAAAAAAAAGAAAGAAAGAAGGAAAAACACTGAAAGAACATGTAAAAGTCAGCAGTTATGTCAGAAAACTTAGTTTTCTAAATTCTAAATTGGTAAGATATACTAATTTTAAGACTATTATAACTCTTCCTGGCTAGCCATCTATCATTATTTTAAACACTCATGCCTAAACTGAAACCCAGAAAGCAACACTTTTGCTGGATACTCACTTCGAAACAGTTTGGATGATGAAAACATCTTTTCCCCTCACAGACTCTTGAATTTGTACTCTTGTTTCTGGCAGGAAAAGGAAAAAGAAGAGAGGGAAAGGCATATAGTTCAAATTTTTCAAAATACACAAAAAAATCTGTATTATTCCCTAATGTAATAGAATATGGCAACTCAAACTGTTATAAGACTCAGTAGGCTTTAGATGTTACAAGGGATAATACACATACTGCCATTAATCACTTTTTAAAACACAGCTTTAAGAGAGAATTACATTTCTGACTTGAAATAAGTAAATGTATAATTCTCACCCCTTATATATACAAACAGTTGAGTGCTGTACCACTCCGAGCATGGTAACTTTTTTTTTTTTTTTTTTGAGACGGAGTCTTGCTCTGTCGCCCACGCTGGAATGCAGTGGTGCGATCTTGGCTCACTGCAAGCTCTGCCTCCTGGGTTCATGCCATTCTCCTGCCTCAGCCTCCCGAGTGGCTGGAACTACAGGCGCCCGCCACCACATCCAGCTAACTGTTTTGTATTTTTTTAGTAGAGACAGGGTTTCACCATGTTAGCCAGGATGGTCTCGATCTCCTGACCTCGCGATCTGCCTGCCTCAGCCTCCCAAAGTACTGGGATTACAGGTGTGAGCTACCGTGCCCAGCCTGAGCACAGTATCTTTATAGACAATCATAGGCCAGGCACAGTGGCTCATGCCTGTAATCCCAGCACTTTGGGAGGCCAAGGCGGGCAAATCACCTGAGGTTAGGAGTTCGAGACCAGCCTGACCAACATAGAGAAACCCCGTCTCTACTAAAAATACAAAATTAGCCAGGCGTGGTGGTGCATGCCTATAATCCTAGCTACTCGGGAGGCTGAGGCAGGAGAATCGCTTGAACCCAGGAGGCGGAGGTTGCGGTGAGCCGAGATTGTGCCATTGCACTCCAGCCTGGGCAACAAGAGCGAAACTCCGTCTCAAAAAAAAAAAAAAAAAAAAAAAAGAAAATTATATACTCATTCAATCAGCATCAATTATCAATTCAGAATGTATTAGGTACAAAACATTGTATGTTGTGAGAAACAAAGATAAATAAGACCTAATATCCCTACTCTCAAAATATGTGTGATCAGTCATAAAGAAACAATTAGACAAATCCATAATGGGACATTCTACAAGACAACCTCTTCACTGTCACAGGAAGAAAACGGAAGAGGTGAGGGGATTGTTCTAAAATAGAAGAGACTAAAGAGATATTTTTTAAAAAAAATCCCTTGAACTAAGAATCCTGGTTTGGGGTGGAGGTGTTGGAAAAAACAACTATAAAAGACCCTTTAGGCTGGGCACGGTGGCTCACACATGTAATACCAGAACTTTGGGAGGCCCAGGCAGGCGGATAATCTGAGGTTAGGTGTTTAAGGCTAGCCTGGCCAACATGGTGAAACCTCGTCTCTACTAAAAATACAAACATTAGCTGGGCTTGGTGGCACACACCTATAATCCCAGCTACTCAGGAGGCTGAGGCAGGAGAACTGCTTGAACCTGGGAGGCAGAGGTTGCAGTAAGCCAAGATCGCACCACTGCACTCCAGCCTGGGTGACAAAGCCAGATTCCATCTCAAAAAAATAAAAAATAAAAGACCCTTTAGGACAATTAGGGAAATGTGAATATAGGCCATATATTAGATGATTAAAGAATTGTTGTTGGGCTGGGTGCGGTGTCTCACACCTGTAATCCCAGCACTTTGGGAGGCCAAGGCGGGCAGATCACTTGAGGCCACAGAAAAAAAAAGAATTGTCCTTAATTGTTAAGTTAATTTTCTTTTCCTTTTCTTTTTTTTTTTTTTTTGAGACAAGGTCTTGCTCTGTTGCCCGGGCTGGAGTGCAGCGGCGTGATCCCAGCTCACTGCAACCTCCACCTCCCGGACTCAAGTGATCTTCCTGCCTCAGCCTCCCAAGTAGCTAGGATTACAGCTGTGTGCCACCAACCCTGGCTAATTTCTTTATCTTTGGTAAAGATGGGGTTTTGCCATGTTGCCCAGGTTGGTCTCAAACTTCTGGTCTCAAGTGATCCACCCACCTTGACCCCCACAAAGTGCTGGGATTACAGGTGTGAGCCACCATGCCCTGCCTGTAGTTAATTTCTTTAAATGTGATAATGGTATCATATTTATTTAGGTGAAAGTAATTATTCCTAGAGGATGCATGGTCAAGTATTCAAGGATTAACTGTCTGCAACTTACATTTTTTTTCTTTTTTTGGGACACATCTCGCCCTGTTGCCTAGGCTGTGGTACAGTGGTGCAAATATGGCTCACTGCAGTCTTGACCTCCCAGGCTGAAGAGATTCACCCAGCTCAGCATCCCAACGTGCTGGGATTACAGGAGTGAGCCACCGCACCCGGCCTGCACTTAATTTCAAATGGTTCGCCACATACATATTCATATGGCAAAATGTTAACTGTTCAAGCTAGGCGGTAGTTCACTGTACTATTCTTTCAACTTTTTTATATGTTTGAACATTTTCATTAAAAATGTAGGAAAATAGTTTGGGAGGCTGAGGTGGATGATCATTTGAGGTCAGAAGTTTGAGACCAACCTGGCCAACATGGTGAAAGCCCGTCTCCACCAACAACACAAAAAATTAGCCGGGCGTGCTGGCACACACCTGTAAGCCCACCTATTTGGGAGGCTGAGGCAGGAGTATCGCTTGAACCTGAGAGGCGGATGTTGCAGTGAGCCAAGATTGCGCCACTGTACTCCAGCCTGGGCAATGGAGCAAGACTCTGTCTCACACACACACACACACACACACAAAAAAAAAGTAGCAAAATGGGAACAGATTGTGAGGATAAGAGAAAAAAAAAAATGTTGGAAAAAACAGAATACAAGTTTACAAAAGAAATGTGGTATGATGTTAAGAAAATGAGCTTTACCAGCCTGAGCAAGATGGCAAAGCCCCGTATCAAAAAAAAAAAAAAATTATGGCTGGGTGTGTGTGTGTAGCTCACACCTGTAATCCCAGCACTTTGGGAGGCTGAGGCACGAGAATCACTCGAACCTGGGAGGCGGAGGTGGCAGTGAGCCGAGGTTGCCCCACTGCACTCCAGCCTGGGTGACAGAGCAAGACTCCATATTTAAAAAAAAAAAAAAAATAGCCTGGCAGCATGGTGCCCACCTGTAGTACCAGCTACTGGGGAGGCTAAGGTGGGAGAAGCACATGAGCCCAGGAGGCAGAGGCTGCAGTGAGCCCTGATCATGCCACTACACCCCAGCCTGAGTGACACAGAAAGACCCTGTCTCAAAAAAAAAAAAAAGAAAAGAAAAGAAAAGAAAATGAGCTTTAGAGTCAGGGAGATCTGGATTCAAACTGGACCTCGTACCTAACATCAATCCCTGAACTCCTGAACTCAGTTTTTCAGTATCTGGTAACAGTAAGAAATTCACAAATATTACTTCCTTCCTTCCCAATAAACACCAAGTATTTTCTCTCCCTTTATTCAGAAACTTGGAGAGTGGACCAGTCTCCTGGAGTCTTATGCCACTGCTTCTCCCTTTCACCTTCCCTCCTAGACTCCAGACAAAGAACATCATTCAATCCCCTCTAGAGGAAGAATCTTCTCCAAACTCTCCTTGCAGAGTTTAATTATACTTTTTCCCTACTGACGCCACATAGGGATCTTGGGAGACAGAAAAGAGGCAGGAACGGAGATAAACATGGGAACAGCAAAACTTGTGCCTTTTTATCAAAGCCTCCTGTAGGCTTTATAATATGTAAATATTTGATAAAATCCTGTAGAGGGGCCAGGCCTGGTGGCTCACACCTGTAATCCTAGCACTTTGGGGGGCTGAAATAGGAGAACTGCTTTTGCCCAGAGTTTGAGATAAGCCTGGGCAACATAATGAGACCCTTGTTCTACCAAAAAAAAAAAAAATGTTTTTTTAAATCTTCTAGTGGAAAAGGAACAGGAATAAGTATATATTGAGCACCTACTGTGTGCCAAAAACTGGTAGGCACACAAGTTATCCCACTTAATCCTCAAAACAGCCCTAATTTACAGTTTATTTATAGTTTAGAAAGGTTAAATAACTTGTCAAGGATAAGGTGTGTAACTCTCAAGCCCATGCAAGCTGTCCATCGCTCCTGCTAAAATAATTTCTTTTTTTTTTTTTTTCCCCTGAGACAAAGTCTCGCTCTTGTTCCCCCCCAGGCTGGAGTGCAATGGCACAATCTTGGCTCACTGCAACCTCCACCGCCCGGGTTCAAGCGATTCTCCTGCCTCAGCCTTCCCAGGAGCTGGGATTATAGGCGCCTGCCACCAAGCCCAGCAAATTTTTGTATTTTTAGTAGAGACAGGGTTTCATCATGTTGGCCAGGCTGGTCTACGAACTCCTGACCTCAGGTGATCCGCCCACCTCGGCCTCCCAAAGTGCTGGGATTACAGGCGTGAGCCACCACGCCTGGCCTAAAATAATTTCAAATATCCACCATTGCTAAAGAAATTACAAAGATCACTTTCTATTTATTTATTTATTTATTTTTGAGACAGGGTCTCACTCTGTGGTATGATCACACTTCACTGCAGCCTCCACCTCCTGGGCTCAAGCGATCCTTCCACCTCAGCCTCCCTAGTAGCTGGGACTACAAGTGCAAACCACCACTCCTGGCTAATTTTTGTATTTTTAGTAGAGACAGGGTTTTGCCGTGTTGCCCAGGCTGGTCTCAACTCCTGAGCTCAAGGAATCTGCCTGCCTCAGCCTCCCAAAGTGCTGGCATTAGATGCATGAGCCAGCACACCTGGACCTACAAAGGTTAAATAACACTTCTTTTTACAACTTGGGAGAATTATGTAATGACATGTATCAATTAGCAAAAAGTATTTCTTAACAATATTTTATGAAGTCTAACCCAAGGCAGCTTAGGTGCAAATAAAGACTAACTAAAACTGCGGTCACACAGGATTTAGTCATCCTGTCTAAGGTGACAGGATTTACTCATCCTTCCTAAGGTGACATAAATTTAAGCAACAGTTGAGCTCATGTTCATTCAGTTGACCAGCTGGTTCAAATATGTCTGCAGCTTTTACTGAATGAAGTCTCAGAACTGCAGTTCAAGCCCCAGAAATGACTTGCACCAGGGTTAGATATCTAGCTGGTATTAGTGAGAGCTAAAAAACCACTCTGTTCTACCTTGCCTGCCTGACTTCTTGCTAATGGAAATGTACAACTGAATCAAATCGTTTCAATAGTAAAGGATGAAGGACGGAGCCAATATGCCACATTTCACAAAAAGGTCAATGTTCCACATGCCCAAGATAGCTCACCTCTGTTAGGTTCCTGGTAAACCTGCACTTTGCCCATCTCCACCCCTAGCCGCCTAGAGAAGAGAAAGGGGGAAAAAGCTGAAAAAGTAATAGAAGAAACCCAGTATCTTTACTATTTAAGGAGACTCGTAAATCGATAAGAGTAAAATAAAATAAAGTTATTCTTCTTATAAAATTTAAAGTCAACATTAAATTGTTACATCAATCCATTACCTAGCCCCTCACCCCAACCCCATGTCTCCCCAGGAAGGACTATGCAGTCCCGCTCTGCCTGCCTCACTAGCCATCTTCCTTGGACACTCTGTACTCCAGCCCACGTTCCTGAGACACACCAAGAACTCCTCCTGCATGCTGCAGAGGCTTGGAATCTGCTGTCCCCTCTGCTTGGGGGGGTTCTGCCTCCAGACCTTCACTTGGTGGCTCATTCAGGTTTCTCAACTCACACACCATCCCTTCAGTTTAAAAGCACTTCAGCACACATGCTAAAGCAGAACAACCTGCCCCATCATTACTTTCACACAGTTTTCTTCATAGCATTGACATCATCTGAAATTACCTTGTTTGTTTTGTTGACTTGATTTCTGTTTGGCTCCCATACTAAAATGTAAATTTCATAAAAAGGATGGATCTTGACTCACTGATAATCCCCAACATCTAGATCAAGGTCTAGTACACAGTAGTAGGGGTACAATATTTGTTTAATAAATATCTAAAATTATACTAAACTATAAGCTATAAGTTATTTCATATAATATACATGTTAATGTTCTTTTTTTGAGACAGAGTCTCGTTCTGTTGCCCAGGCTGGAGTGCAGTGGTGCAATCTCAGCTCACTGCAACCCTCCTGCGTTCAAGCGATTCTCCTGCCTCAGCCTCCCAAGTAGCTGGGACTACAGGTGCCCGCCACCACGCCCAACTAATTTTTTGTATTTTTAGTAGACGCGGGGTTTCACCTTGTTAACTAGGATGGTCTCAATCTCCTGACCTCGTGATACACCCGCCTTGGCCTCCCAAAGTGCTGGGATTACAGGCGTGAGCCACCGCGCCTGGCCCCAGTGTGCTTTATACTCAAATAATTATATATATATATAGCATCTAACACAATCCCTGGCACTTATAAGGCACTCAATAAATGTCTGCTGAAAGAATATGTAGGGAGATGGGATAGTTTACAAAAAGAATAGCCCTTAATATATACAGATGAGACATACTACATGAACATCTTGCATGATGAAAAAAAAGATACATGATGAAAAAAAGATATAATTATTTTATAATTATAAAATATCTGCTTTCAAATTTAACAATAACTGCTAATCTGATTATCAAATTTAAAGCATCACATAATGAATATAGATTTTAATGGTACAATTATAACTCACTCTGCAATTTTCTTTGATAGCTCCATACATGATGAATTCGAGTTTGCTGAAAACAACACCAGACCACCTTTGGTTATGTTCATCTTGGTTTCTAATTCAGGTGGCGTCACACAAAACATCAAAACCTTCTTGGTTTTCCAATTTTCAGAGCCTAGAAGGATATAATACTTATTAAAAACTGCCATATGATATGAAATATACCTGAATGAATTTTTTTTAAAGGAAATGACTTCAGCTGAAGGAAATTAGTTTCCATCCTAATAGTATTTTTTAAATATTAGATATATATGGACAAACAGAAAGTTCAGTTGGATTTCAGGGTCCTAAATTTATGGAAATACATTATCACATGATGTTCACAACCACTAAGAAGAAATGATAAACTTACAAGAAAGGCGGAGCTGAAGAGCTCAATGTTTTACTGATTGCTGCTTAAAGTCAATTATGGACAACCTCCTTTTATTCTCTGACAACAAAATTCCTCCTGGATTAACACACAGAAAAATGGCAGAGCCATTAGCGAGAACAAGGACTGATTAATCCTTAGACAAAGAATAAATGACCCATCTACACCCAGCTTTTCCTGTAATCCTTGTTTACCATAAAACCTTTCCCGGCCTTTCAGCTGCCCTGTGTCATGTCTAAAACTGACCTCTCATCTTCATTTTCCTCAAGTGGAACACGGGCTGACTAGATAATCACCTTGAAGGACACTTAAGCGACCACCCAAATGACAGTTTTGGTCACACCCAAATTTTGGCAGTGGGCCAAAAATAAAAAGGTCCCTGGCTTATAAATCATCAGTGCTGGTCAGATGTGGTGGCTCACGCCTGTAATCCTAGCACTTTGGGAAGCCAAGGCAGGCAGATCACGAGATCAAGAGATCAAGACCACCCTGGCCAACATGGTGAAACCCTGTCTCTACTAAAAATACAAAAAATAGCTGGGCATGGTGGCGCGTGCCTGTAGTCCCACCTACTCGGGAGGCTGAGGTAGGAGAATGACGTGAACCTGGGAGGCAGAGGTTGCAGTGAGCTGAGATCGTGCCACTGCACTTCCAGCCTGGCGACACAGCAAGACTCCATCTCAAAAAAAAAAAGTCGTCATCATTGCTGAGTGTCCTCATCACATAATGGAGATGCTAGATGGGAGGAACAGCAACAATCCAGCAGGCTGTGGGCAGGGGGGCCCTTTCTCAGCAAGCCCACTGCATTTCCACAGTTGTATGTTCACCTGGGACCTCTGGGAAGGCTGGTGTAGATCATCAATGAGCTGAAACTAAGCTAATCTTTTTCATTATTCTCAAATTTTAATTATACAAGTAAAACACAAACACATCCTCCCTATAAAAACCTGAAACATGGCTGGGCGCGGTGGCTCAGACCTGTAATCCCAGCACTTTGGGAGGCCAAGGCAGGCGGATCACAAGGTCAGGAGTTCAAGACCAGCCTGGCCAAAAGGGTGAAATCTGTCTCTACTAAAAATACAAAAATGAGCTGGGCGTGGTGGTGGCTGCCTATAGTCCCAGCTACTCTAGAGGCTGAGGCTTGAGAATCGCTTGAACTCAGGAGGCAGAGGTTGCAGTGAGCCAAGATTGCACCACTGTACTCCAGCCTGGGCAACAGAGCGAGACTCCGTCTCAGAAAAAAAAAAAAACCTGAAACATGATAGTTAAGGATAAAGTCACCAGCCTCGATCCCAGGTCCTCCCCAGAAGTGAGGGTTCTTATCAGTTTGGTAGGGACAACATAAGACTTTTTCTATGCATTTATACATGTGACCTCCATAAAAATTATATACGGCCAGGCACAGTGGCTCACGCCTGTAATCCTAGCACTTTGGGAGGCTGAGGTGGGCAGATCACTTGAGGCCAGGAGTTCGAGACCAGCCTGACCAACATGGTGAAACCCCATCTCTACTAAAAATACAAAAAAATAAAAATAAAAATAAGCCAGGCATGGTGGTACATGCCTGTAATCCCAGCTACTCATGAGGCTGAGGCAGGAGAATCGCTTAAACCCAGGAGGCAGAAGTTGCAGTGAGCTGAGATCCACTGCACTCCAACCTGGGCAATGAGAACAAAACTCCATCTAAAAAATTAAAAAAAAAAAAAAAAAAAAAAGGCCACGCAGTGGCTTACGCCTGTAATCCCAGCACTTTGGGAGGCCGAGGTGGGTGGATCACCTGAGGTCAGGGGTTCGAGACCAGCCTGGACAACATGGCGAAACGCTGTCTCCACTAAAAATACAAAAGATTAGCCGGGCGTGGTGGCAGGTGCCTGTAGTCCCAGCTAATCGGGAGGCTGAGGCAGAAGAATGGCATGAACCCAGGAGGCAGAGCTTGCAGTGAGCCAAGATCGCGCCACTGCACTCCAGCCTGGGCGACAGAGCGAGACTCCGTTTCAAATAAAGAAAAGAAAAGAAAAGAGAAGAAGAAAGAAAGGGAAGAAAGAAAGAAAAGAAAGAAAGAATACGTTTAATCATCAACATTCTGGAAGGGATCTTAAATACTTCTAAAGCCATCTCTCAACCAATAAACATGTGTGTTTAAGAACAAAAGGTATGGCCAGGCACAGCAACTCACACCGCTAATCCCAGCACCTTGTGAGGCCAAGGTGGGCTGACTGCTTGAGCCCAAGAGTTTGAGACCAGCCTCGGCTACATAGTGAGACCTAGTCTCTACAAAAAAATCAAAAAATGAGGTGGGAGGATCACTTGAGCCCAGATGGTCAGGGCTGCAATGAGCCATGATTGCACCACTTCACTGCACTCCTGCCTGGACGATGGGAATGCGACCTCGTCTCAAAAAAATAAAAAAATAAATAAATAAAAAATTGCCGGGCACGGTGGCTCATGCCTGTAATCCCAGCACTTTGGGAGGCCGAGGCAGGTGGATCACGAGGTCAGGAGATCAAGACCATCCTGGCTAACACAGTGAAGCCCCGTCTCTACTAAAAATACAAAAAATTAGGTGGGCGTGGTGGTGGGCGCCTACAGTCCCAGCTACTCGGGAGGCTGAGGCAGGAAAATGGCGTGAACCTGGGAGGCGAAGTGGGCAGTGAGCTGAGATCATGCCACTGCACTCCAGCCTGGGAGACAGAGCGAGACTCTGTCTCAGAAAAATAAATAAATAAATAAATAAATAAATAAATAAATAAATAAAAGGGTGTTACAGGTCCAGGAAAATAAATAAAAACAAACTAATTTTCCTGTAGTTGTAAATACAGGATTTGGAGTCAAACTCATGTTTGCATCTTGAAATACTTCCCCTAAACTCACAGTGAGGACTTGCATAAGTTATCTAATACTCAAAATCTCTTAGCCTCAGTTCTGCCATCCATACAACTGTGAAAACTGACCCCACAGGTGACTGTAAAATTTCTGCAAGGCACTTAACACAGTGCCCTGCATATCGGACATGCTACCTATGAACTGACTTCTAACATCTTGATTATCTACCATATAAGTACAGTAACAGCCATGGGGGGAGGGGCATTTTTTTTACACCCCCTAACCTTCAAATAAGAAGCTCCTTAAAGTACAGCAGGATTCCTGATAGGAGTTGGAACACTTAGAATGAAAGTATTTTAGAGGTAGGAAGAGATCTTAGAGGTAGTTCAGCCCATCCCTCCTAAATCTTTTGTTCAAAGCCCATCTGTAGGAATCCTGCCAAGGAACCACTCAACAGAAGCTTGAACAGCCCCAGGGTCTGATGCCCACATCCGCTGAGGGCCCATCATTCCAAATTCTTCCTTAGAACATGCTGTGGCCAGGCGCCGTGGCTCATGCCTATAATCCCAGCAAATTGGGAGAGCGAGGCAGGCGGATTACCTGAGGTCAGAAGTTCAAGACCAGTCTGGCCAACATGGTGAAACCTCATTTCTACTAAAAATGCAAAAATTAGCTAGGCCTGGTGGCACACACCTGTAGTCCCAGCTACTCACGAGGCTGAGGCAGGTGAATCGCTTGAACCTGGGAGGCGGAGGTTGCAGTGAGTAGAGACTGCACCACTGCACGCCAGCCTGGGTGACAGAGCAAGACTGTCTCAAAACAAACAAACAAACAAACAAAAGAACATGCTGAGATTCCTCTTCCTGCAGCTTCTGCCCACTGGTTCTTGTACTCTCCTTAGAGATTTATGGGAAACATCAAATTCCTTTTCCACAGGATGGCCTCCAAACTATTTCAAGATAGCTCTCCTGCCTTTGTATATTTTTTCCAGGATATTTCCTGAAGTCTTTCCTTATCTCTCATGGTTTAAAATGGCCTGCAACACCCTGCATGTGGTCTCTGACGTTCTAGACTTCAGATATAGGCTTCTATATAGAATCCTAACCTAAGACCACCCTCAAAATGACATGGTGGAGTGGACTGGGGAGCATCCACTTGGAAATGACTATCAACATAGTCATGTTTTGTGACTATTCACTTCACAAGTTATTCAAACATAAGGGCTGTTTATTTTTCTTTTTTTTCTTTTTTTTTTTTTTAAGATGGAGTTTCACTCTTGTTGCCCAGGCTGGAGAGCAATGGCGCGATTGCGGCTCACTATAACCTCCGCCTCCCCGGTTCAAGCGATTCTCCTGCCTCAGCCTCCTGAGTAGCTGGGATTACAGGCATGCGCCACCACACCCGTCTAATTTTGTATTTTTAGTAGAGACAGGGTTTCTCCATGTTGGTCAGGCTGGTCTCAAACTCCCAAGCTCAGGTAATCCACCCGCCTCAGCCTCCTAAAGTGCTGGGATTACAGGCATGAGCCACTGCGCCCGGCCATAATGCCTGCTTGTAGTTTTAGTTCTCCTTTCTCCTGTTGGTAATTAAGGCTGTGTTCTTTACCAAGCTTCAAGAAAAGAGTTATAAAGACTATCCTCAAAAACATAATAATCATCGAGATGGGGCTGGCAGGAGGCTTGTTAGCACAAGGTTTTAGTGTGAAATGAGAACACTCCCTTATTTTCCCCATGAGCTATAACTGCTTTATGTTTATTCTAAATTTACTCTAGAATGTGTGAGAATTATTTATAACATGTATGAAAACACACCGTTTTCAGAGAATCTTAGCACCTTTTAAAGAGCAAATCATACTCCTCTTTTGAATAAGATTTTAGAATGTTAAGTCTCATGAATGAAGAAACCACACTGAGAGATCATTTCCTTTGGACAGACTAGCAGTCATTTCAAAACCACTCACCCACATTTCAGATGGGGAAGACTCACATTGAAGTGTGTTGTCTTCCCTCTAAAGCATCTACTGTGTAAATACCTTCTACTTAAAGATGGCTGAAGTAGGAGTGTGAAGAGTTGGGTTTGCCTTCCAGCTACTAGGCCATGTGGACATCACTTGTCCTTGCTGGGCCTCAGCCTTTACCTTCCAGACAAGAGATATAACCTTGGTAAAAAGATTTCCCCATCAGAATTTAAGGTCCAGGCAGCAGAGACTATTTTTTACCATGATATTCTCTGCTGTATACCCTGTGCAGCTGCCACACGGTAGAGGCTAAACAAATGATTGCTGAATAATGCCTGACTTCAATGAGTCACAATGATTAACAAATGAAATTGAAAGATGAACTAAAAGGCATCATAAAGTATAAAAACCGGCCAGGCGCAGTGCCTCAGGCCTGTAATCCCAGCACTTTGGGAGGCCAAGGTGGACGGATCACCTGAGGTCAGGAGTTCGAGACCAGCCTGGTCAACAAGGCGAAACCCCTACTAAAAAATACAAAAATGAGCCAGGTGTGGTGGCATGCACCTGTAACCCCAGCTACTTGCGCAGCTGAGGCAGGAGAATCGCTTGAACTTGGGAGGCAGAGGTTGCAGTGAGCTGAGATCGCGCCACTACACTCCAACCTGGGCAACAGAGCAAGACTCTGTGTCAAAAAATTAAAAAGTATAAAAATTTATGTTTATTGGATGGGCATGGTGGCTCACGCTTGTAATCCCAGCACTTTGGGAGGCCAAGGCAGGCAGATCACAAGGTCAGGAGTTTGAGACCAACCTGACAAACGTGGTGACACCCTGTCTCTACTAAAAATACAAAAAATTAGCCGGGCGTGGTGGCGCATGCCTGTAATCCCAGCTACTCAGGAGGCTGAGGCAGGAGAATCGCTTGAACCCGGGAGGCAGAGGTTGCAGTGAGCTGAGATCGCGCCACTGCTCTCCAGCCCGGGAGACAGAGCAAGACTCTGCAAAAAAAATAAAAATAAAAAAACTTATTATGTATGTTTATTAGTGATGTGCCTCACTCCAAGGAAATCTGTTTTTAATATCAATATTGATGAGAATTTGAAGGGCAAATTCTAAACCGAATTACTCTTCCACTCCTGTATGATCCCAGGCTCTGCTTATCTCTCCAACACAATGTTAACTCATGCCTAACATCTGAGTGTTCACAATGCTTATGACAACCCAGTGAAGCAAGCACTAGAATGAGACCCATTTTAGACAGGGAAGCTAGGTTTCCAGATGAAGAAACTTACTCAAGGCTGCAAAGCCTCTAAGCAGCAAAAATAGCTCGGTCTCAGCATGATTTGTAGTAGTTAGTCCTATGCAACAGTGGGCTGCACAGCCTGTCTCTCAACCCACACAGAAAACGACTTGGCACCCCGCTGAATTCTGCATACAGAGAGCAAAATAGGACAAATACCCAGATTTTGAAAAATGTCTATTGTAAACATGCCTTGTTTGGAAAACAATTTATATAATAGTGCCAAAGAAAGAAAACAGAAGTTTGATTCGGTATTTCCACTTCGGGTAATTATCCCAAGGAAATAAGGAAAAAGCTATATGCTCAGTGATGGTGGTCAACATAAGACTTTTCAAAGAACAAGTACACCAGACCTGTGTAAAGGTTCCATAATAAAGTAATTAAGTAAAACACAGAATAGAAATTCAATAAATATTCAACACGACGCAAAAGTATCTATGAATGACTTTAAGTGGAACGAGCTCAAATCACAACTGAGTAATAATGGTACACACGAGGGCAGCAGGAAAGGAATATGGACAAAAAGGATATGCTTTAGTGGGGTTCAATAATGTGGGTGAATTATTTCTATTTGTGCAATTAAATTTTTTAAACACTAGAGATCACACCTCAAGCCCCAAAGCCCCATTCCGCATTTTCATACTCCTTTCAAAAGCTAAACACCCAAACGGAGCCAACATTAACATAAGAGAAAAATTATTATCATCAAGCAGAATACTTAAAAATTTCATCACGGTTCCCCCTCAATCTCTGCTGGGGTGAGTTCTGAGTTGGATAAAATCATCCTTTAGGAGGTGAGAGATATATTCGTAACTAGCAAAGCCAGGTAAATTAAAATCAGGGGCTCCGTGTCAGCTTAGGGACGGAGAATGGCTGGGTCTGGGCTTGCTTTCAGGGCTGCTCACCACAGGTCCCATCATCAGGGTTCGACTCCCCAGCGGCGCCTCAGGGAGAGGAGAGAGCCCAGGCACCGGACGCCCGTCCCCCGCCCCCGCCGACCCCTGGCGGGAGAGGAAGAAGGGAGGGAAAAATGGAAGGGCCGCGGGCGCGAGATCGCCCCAGTGAGCCCCCAAGCAGCCACCACCCAGGGACCCCGACCCGTCCGCCTGCCGGCGCCGCGGGCTCCCCGCCCCTTGCACCTGCGCCCCGCAATGCCGGAGCCAGCCAGCCCTCGCTGCCGCTCGCCACTGGCTCCCGCCCGCCTACCTGGCCCCGACCCCAGCCCCGGCCCCGCCGCAGCCTCAGCTGCAGAAGGAAGAAAGCGCCGGGTCTCCTGGCGGCCTCTCTAGGAGCAAAATGGCGACTCCATGCACAAGATTGGCGTCCGCGGTGACTGCGAGGCCGGTGGGCGGGGAGGGGCGAGGGCGGGACTAGAGCCCGGACAGCGGAGGCACCTAGCTGGGGGCTGTGGGCGTGGCCCACCAGTGGGTAAGGCGCGGGGCAGTGGGTGTAGCCACAGGGGTGGAGTCGGGCTGGCACGATGGGCGGGGCGGTGGGCGGGGATGCGCCTGTTTTGGTCCCTGGGGAGCTGCTAGCCCCACACCAACTGTGACAGCCCAGGCAGGTTACAAGGAATGAATGTGGACAGAGTATGACATTTGGAATTACAAATACCTGGGTTCAAGCCTCCACTGGCCTGTAACCTTGGACAAGTCATTTCAACCCTCTGAGCTTGTTTCCTCATCTGAAAAACAAAGATAGCAGCACCCATTCCATAAGACTGTTGTGAGGATTAAATGAGACAATACGGCCAGACGCGGTGGTTCACGCCTGTAATTCCAGCACTTTGCGAGGCTGAGGCGGGCGGATCACGAGGTCAGGAGTTCGAGACCAGCCTGACCAACATGGTGAAACCCCCATCTCTACTAAAAATACAAAAAAAAAAAATTAGCCAGGCGTGGTGGTGCGCGCCTGTAATCCCAGCTACTCAGGAGGCTGAGGCAGGAGAATCGCTTGAACCCGGGAGGCAGAGGTTGCAGTGAGCCGAGATCGCGCCACTGCTCTCCAGCCTGGGTGACAGAGCAAGAGTCCATCTCAAAAACAAAACAAAACAAAACAAAACTGTGCTAAAAGCACAGTTCTGGGTGTATAATAAATGATCAGTTTTTTGTTCGTTTGTTAGTTTTTTGTTTTGAGACGGAGTTTCGCTCTGTTGTCCAGGCTAGAGTGCATCGGCGCGATCTCAGCTCACTGCAAACTTCGTCTCCCGGGTTCAAGCGATTCTCCTGTCTCAGCCTCCCGAGTAGCTGGGATTACAGGTGTGCGCCACCACGCCCGACTAATTTTTTGTATTTTTAGTAGAGACAGGGTTTCACCATGTTGGCCAGGCTGTTCTCAAACTCCTGACCTCAAGTGATCCGCCCGCCTCCGCCTCCTAAAGTCCTGGGGTTACAGGCGTGAGCCATCGCGCCCAGCCATTATCAGTTATTATCGTTATTTGCCTTGTCGCCTTTTTTTCTTTTATTATAAAGGAATTAGTACTTTTGGTATCCATTGCCTAAGTTCTTTATAACTTAGGTAATGTTTACTCTTTATTGTATGTATAACATAATAATAGCAAACACATGGTCCTCTTTTAAGTGCTTTACATATATTAACGGTAACTTATTTAATCCTCACAAGAGCATAAGGTAGGTGTTGTTATCCTCTCCATTTTAATAGTTGTGGGAACTGAGACGACGACGTTAAATAACTTTTCCAATGACAAAGCAGTGGACAGAATTTCGACCCAGGAGGCTTTGCACCAGTCTTCACTTACCTAATCCCTATACCACATCTTCTCTCCAATTCTGCTTTGGATTTTTCACAATAATGAGGCATGAAATATTCATCAGAGGTTGCAGAGCTAGCTAGAGTCTTTATGGTTCAACGTCTTATTTTAGAAACGAAGAATACAAGCATCTCAACTAACGAATTGTAAATTAGGTGAGACTTCGTGAAATGGAGTCGTTTGAAACATTTCCTTTGCCTGACAACTTTACAGGGACATACCTCTTTGTAAAGAGCAAGACCCATGAGCCCAGTGATTATCTGCATACCAAAATTGATTCCTCTTCAGCGGTACCTCGGCTGGGCTCACGTCCCTTCTGCGCTGGCATCTAACTCCGGTCACAACCCCCACCTCTCTGCTGTGGCTGGCGTAGATTCCACGCGTCACATGTTGGCATGTGACTGGATCTGGCCAGTCAGAGAAGTTCATCCCTCTCCGCTCGCTGATTCGCTCCAAAGATAGGCTACTGAGCCAATCGGAGCCCACGAAACACCGTCTCCATCCCTGCGCCGGGACTGGAGAGGCTTACTCTCTCCTGCTGATGCTGCAGCTGCTGGGATGCCAGGAGGGGAACCGCCTGAGGAAAGTGCTGAGAGAAAAGAGAGGGAGGGATACAGACCGGGCCCAGATGAGTTTGCGCTGAATCTGAAGTCGGTAGGTCCCTGGACATTTCTATTATGGAAGCCAAGAAGAACCTCCCCTCCACCCTCTGAAGCCAGTGTGGATCGGGTTTCTGGCACTTGCAGTGTCTGCACGGTCTCCTCTCCTTCCTTCTCCATTGCCCTTTCTCACCCGCCTGGGCCCGCCACCCTGAACTACCGGGACACATGCTGTTCCTGCCTCCAGGCGTGCACTTCTTCCTGCAGCCTCCTCCCCTACTAACTCCTTCTTGAACTTGATAGCTCCATTGTCACTTTCGAGTCTTCCCTAAACCACTCCCTTCCCAAATAAAACTGTTTCATGTATTTTTCTTTCATTGGGCTTATCACGATTTCTAATTAAGTGTTTGGGTGGTTATTTGACAAATATCACCACCTCAGCCCCTGTACACTGTAAGCCCCATGAGGGTGGGCTCTTCGTCCCTCCTGCTGATCACTGTTTCCCAGGGCCTGGCACAAGTATGGTACTCAAGAAATGTCTGGAAAATTGAGTGCCTTATCCTTTCTGGAAAGAAAATGGGCAGTAGCGCAGCATTATATAGTGTTTGCACCATACAAGAATAATATTACTGGAAAAAAAAAAACTTTTCTAAGAGACAGAGTCTTGCTCTGTTGCCCAGGCTGGAGTGCAGTGGTGCAATCATAGCTCACTGCCGCCTCGAACTGGGCTCAAGTGATCCTCCCGCCTCGACCTCCAAAACGCTGGGATTGCAGTCATGAGCCACCACACCTGGCCTTGAATTTTTTAAAAAATCCACTCTCATTAACCAGAATGAGCTAGCTCCAGTGTATCACCGCGTCCAGGGTTCTGCAGTGGGGTGGCTTGCTCCTCAATAGTTTCCCGCACTGCAGGCACTTAGTTTGTAGTTTCATTTGTTCTGTTATAGCAATACCACTCTTCCATCCGCCATCCATTCTCCAAGGACTATTGAAATCCCTTGTAGGCTGATGTCAAAACTCTCATTCTCTTTATCCTTGGGGTTTAGGCCATAGGAGTGTGCCATGGTAGGTGTTCAGCCAAGCTGACCCACCAGGTGACTGCAGCCCCAGCCACCACCTGACTGCAACTTTATGAAAGACCCTAAGCAAGAGCCACCTAGCTAAGACCAATCAAACCACAAAAAATTGAGAGCTAAGAAATTTTTTATTAAAGCCCAAGTCTGGGCATATTTTGTTATACAATGGGTAATGAGCAAGAAAGGAGCAAAAGCATAATGTAAAGCTTGTGGTCAGTTCCACACGAATGCAGTTTTTGGTTAGTCCATTGCTAAACTTGATAATCCCTTGCCCACTTGGATGTTTGCAGTCAGAGTCTTTGCATGTAATAGAAGTGCTCAGCTTGCTGCAACACGTCATTGGCCATATTCAAGGGCTAAACTGCTGTATATCGACTATAAATCAAGATACTCAAGTCTAAGACATTTCCCTTCAACATTTTTTAAAGGAAGGAAAGGAATCTTTGCTATAGTTTGATAGAAATTTTTGAGCAGTATGGTGTAACAAAAAACACAGGATTCTCCTTCAAATGGTTGTGCAAATGAAAAAACAGGGACTTAGGTGTCCATCACTAGGATGGAGCCTGCTTCCTGCCTCCTGTCCTCATTGTGGAAATGACCCTGGACAGATCCACCTCTCTAAGTTTCTGTTTCCTCAGTGGAAAAATGAGCACTAATATTAGCAGCCATATGATGGTTGGGGGTGAGGAGTTACTTTTAGATGGAGTCCATGAGTATGAGGCACCGAGGAAGCTTTTGCAGCTGCCTCTCTGCTCTCGCCTGTCTGGCTATCAGGGAAGAAAAACAAGGCACCCCTTTTTCCCCAGTGGAAGAGGATGGCAGCTTGCCTGGCTGTAGGAGGCAGCGGAGGCCAAAGCCAGGTCACCAGCCAAGGAGGCCTTGGAAGTTCCTATAGAGTCCTTTCCTGCATCCTCCAGCTTTTTTCCTTTTTCTTTTCTTTTTTCTTTTTTTGAGATGGAGCCTTGCTCTGTTGTCCAGACTGGAGTACAGTGGCGCAATCTTGACTCACTGCAACCTCCACCCTCCCGGGTTCAAGCTATTCTCCTGCCTCAGCCTCCCAAGTAGCTAGGACTACAGGTGCATGCCACCACACCCGGCTAATTTTTGTAATTTTACTAGAGATGGAGTTTTGCCATGTTGGCCAGGCTGGTCTCGAACTCCTGACCTCAAGTGATCCACCCATCTCGGCCTCCCAGAGTGCTGGGAATACAGGCATGAGCCACTGTGCCCGTCCTCTTTTCTCCTTTTTCTATTTTCCCCCAAAATGAAAGGAACTTCATTGTCTTTTTTTTTTTTCCCGAGGCTGAGTCTCACTCTGTCATCCAGGCTTGAGTGCCGTGGCGCGATCTTGGATCACTGCAACCTCTGCCTCCTGGGTTCAAGCGGTTCTCCTGCCTCAGCTCCCCAGCAGCTGGGACTAAGAACTTCATTGTCTTTTGTAAGCATAATAATATTTACACATTGTAAGAAAAATTCAAATGAGAAAGAAGAAAAAATTAAAAAGATATTTGCCATTATCCCATGTGGAGAGGTAGCCACTCTTGGAATTTTCCAATATGCCTTTTCCCTGTAACAATTTATTGCAGGCATGATTCCATGTTGATGAATTCAGGTCGACATCATCATGATATGAGCTGTGAATGAAAGACTGTAGTCTTGGGAACCAGCGCCTAGATCCAAATTCCTTCTCTCCTCACCAGCTGTGTGACCTCAACAAGTTTCTTAACCTCTCTATACCTGTTTCCTCATCTACAAAATAGGAATAATAACAGCATCTATGTCATAGGGGAATCTTGATGACCACTTGAGTTATCTGGCACACAGTTGACTACCACTTTCTATTAACCGCAGCGATTATGAGCTATTGTGATATGGATGAACCATTATTTTCTCTTAACTAATCCCTCATTCTGGGCACTTTTTACTATTAATACATAACCTGTCTTTCTACCTTTGCCCAAGTATTTCCTCACGTTAAATTTCTAGAGGTAAGCTTGTTTGGTCAAAGGATATGCCCTTTTAAAATTTTGTTCCCTGAAATTTTGTACCAATTTACAGTCTCACCAGGAAGGTGGAAGAGCATCCATGTCTCTTCATCTTCACCAACACCAGGCACCATCCATTATTTTTAGCTTGTCCAAGTGAATAGTCAATGTTTTCTGGGCTTTTAAAATTACTTGTCCACGGGCCAGGTGTGGTGGCTCACACCTGTAATCCCAGCACTTTGGGAGGCCGAGGCAGGCAGATCACCTGGGGTCAGGAGTTCAAGACCAGCCTGGCTGACATGGGGAAACCCCATCTCTACTAAAAATACAAGAAAATTAGCCAGGCGTTGTGGCAGGCACCTGTAATCCCAGCTACTGAGGAGGCTGAGGCAGGAGAATCGCTTGAACCCAAGAGGCAGAGGTTGCAGTGAGCCAAGATCACACCATTGCACTCCAGCCTGGGCGACAAAAGTGAAACTCTTTCAGAGATTCAAAATAAATAAATAAATTAAAAATAAAATAAAATTACTTGTCCAAATCAGGCTGCCTGTAGCTACCCTGGCTGCCTTGCTAGCTGACTTTTACCTCCATTCATTTACTCAACAAATATCAATAAAGTACTTAACTCATGCCAGGCCCAGTGCTGAGGGTTGGGGCTACAGCTGGGAATGGCAAAGCACCCACCTCATACAGTGACCATAGTAGATGATCCACTGCATGCTAAGAGTTTAACAAAGTCCTGCTTTAGTATCCAATAAGCTATACTAGGTAGGTTAAATATTTATAATATATATGCTCTCTGGATATATAAGGAGTTTTGGGCCGGGCACGGTGGCTCATGCCTGTAATCCCAGCAGTTTGGGAGGCCGAGGAGGGTGGATCACCTCAGGTCAGGAGTTCGAGACCAGCCTGACCAACATGGAGAAACCTCGTCTCTACTAAAAATACAGAATTAGCCGGTCGTGGTGGCACATGCCTGTAATCCCAGCTACTCAGGAGGCTGAGGCAGGAGAATTGCTTGAACCCGGGAGGCGGAGGTTGTGGTGAGCCAAGATCACGCCATTGCACTCCAGCCTGGGCAACAAGAGTGAAACTTGGTCTGAAAAAGAAAAAAAAAAAAACAGAAGGAGTTTTGTAGACCCGGCACAGTGGCTTACGCCTATAATCCTAGCATTTTGGGAGGCTGAGGCAGGCAGATCACCTGAGGTCAGGAGTTCAAGACCACCCTGGCCAACATGGTGAAACCCTGTTTCTACTAAAAATACAAAAATTAGGCGGGCGTGGTGGTGCATGCCTATAATCTCAGCTACCCAGGAGGCCGAGGCAGGAGAATCACTGGAACCAGGGAGGCAGAGGCTGCAGTGAGCTAAGCTGAGATCCTGCCACTCCAGCCTGGGCAACAGAGCGAGACTCCGTCTAAAAATATATATATATATTAGCATTAGCATTACCATTTTAGCTGTACAACCTTAGAAGTCATTTCTCTCTGTTAGTTTCCTCATCTGTAAATGGGCTAATGCCACCTACTTCATGTCACTATTGAGGTGGATGGAGTAGAATAACATATTTATGGTAATGTCAATAAACCAAAGCCACAGCAAGGTTGGCACGGCCCACACACAGGCCCCCGTGGCAGCCTCCTCCTCCTGGTGGCAGCACCTAGCCAAGATCTGGGCTTTGAGCCCTTTGCCCACACCCTACTCTCAACAGCTTTCTCCTGGGCACTACTGGTGACACTGTGCTGGCTCACAGCAGCACCCCACCCACCAGGACTTTTTTTTCATTTCCATAATTGGAAAGTGCAGAATCAGGGACTGATGATCCCCCGGTAAATTACCCCCCAACTCAACTTTATCGGGTCTCTCCCTGCCAAAGACAGGCATCGCCAAGGCCTCTAGCCCGAATCATAACAAACACTCTCCAAACCTTGTATCTCTGGCTCAGCCTCTCTAAATCCCTCCCTTAAGCTGGAGGGAGGAGCACCCTAAGCCAAACTTCGGGCCCACTGATCTCCTCCCCTACCTACACTGCCCTGCCCCAGCTGGAGAGCCCCTATGCCACTGTCCTGCAAGCAGTTTTTCCTTCCCCCTTCACTGGAAGCACCTCCTAGGGAGGCCTAAGGACTGGGGCCTGGTGGTGCTGAGGCCTGCCTTGGTGGCTTTGCTTCCTGGGGCCTCCAGGGGGTAAGGCTGGTGTACCTCCTTCTGAAGCATTCAAATCTTGCATTTGCTTGAAATCTTAGTAAATGGAAGGCTTTCCCCATTCACATTCTATCATAAGTATTTGTATTAGTCAGGACTTTTGCAATAAAACTCAGCTTGAACCAGCTAAATGTAAAGGGAAAGGGGCTAACTGAGGAGGGGTGAGGCTGACTTCCACAGCTAAAAAGCCCAGGGGACAGCTTCGTATGGCTAGATCCAGTGCTCCACTATCTCCAGGGTTTTGTCTTTCTTTGGTGATTTTATTCTCAGGCAAGCTCTGCCCAGTAATGCCAACAGGGCCACCAGCACTTGGAGGCCCCTATGGCACTTCATTCTGTGAACTCAGTAAGAAAGAGGCCCTACCCCACCAGCGTCCTTTGCAATGTCCAGTGAAGGACTCTGATGTCATATGTACACACAGGTATCTCACACATACATGAAGACATCACTCACACTCAAATGTTCCCCATGTGGATGACACATACATTCACAAATCACACACACTCATACATCACACACACATCCAGCTGTCTCTCACACAGGTGTGACTCAATATTCACACATGGCTGGGCATGGTGGCTCATGCCTGTAATCCCAGCACTTTGGGAGGCTGAGTCAGGCAGATCTCTTGAGCTCACGAGTTCAAGACTAGCCTGGGCAACGTGGTGAAACCCCATCTCTACAAAAAATACAAAAAATTAGTCAGGCGTGGTGGCACACGCCTGTAGTTCCAGCTACTCATCTGCCCCTGATTCTGCACTTTCCAATTATGGAAATGAAAAACAAGTCCTGGCGGGTGGAGTGCTGCTGTGACTCAGCAAGTATCACCAGTAGTGCCCAGGAGGATGGCTCGGGAGGATGGCTTGAGCCTGAGAAGTGGAGCTTGCAGTGAGCTGAGATTGCACCACTGCACTCCAGCCTGGGCGGCAGAGCCAGACCTTGTCTCAAAAAAAATAAAAAAATAAATAAAAAATAAATAAATAAATAAATAAAAATCTCTCCCCCTTAGATGTTACAGACCTGCAAACGGCCACCCTCAGAGGCCTAACTCACCCAGATTTAGTTGATATGCCACTTTTTTAAGGAACACACCTACCTCTTACCTAACACATCGCTTCTTTTTTTGTTTTGTTTTGTTTTTTGAGACAGAGTCTCGCTCTGTCACCCAGGCTGGAGTGTAGTGGCGTAATCTTAGCTCACCGGAACCTCTACCTCCCGGGTTCAAGCTATTTCTCCTACCTCAGCCTCCCGAATAGCGGAGATTACAGGCATGCGCCACCACGCCCAGCTAATTTTATATTTTTAGTAGAGACAGAGTTTCTCCATGTTGGTCAGGCTGCTCTTGAACTCCCGACCTCAGATGATCCGCCCACTTCGGCCTCTCAAAATGCTGGGATTACAGGCATGAGCCACCACGCCCAGCATCACATTGCTTCTTACCTAGATGTAATTCTGTGACATATCACTCTAAGTCTGTGTGTAACAGATTGAAGCCCTCTCATTCTCCCAAAATAGTGTAGAGCCTTTGAAAGGATTAAATACATTCATTTTTTTTTAACTGCCTATATCGAAAGACACAGATTGGGAGAAAATATTCACACTACATATATCTGAAGACAAAGGACCTATATCCGATGACAAAGGACATATATCCAGATGATATAAGTAACTCATTTTTAATTTTTTTTTTTTTTTGAGACGGAGTCTTACTCTGTCGCCCAGGCTGGAGTACAGTGGTGTGATCATAGCTCACTGCAGCCCCAGCCTCCTGGATTCCAGTGATCCTGCTGCCTCAGCTTCCCAAGTAGTTAGGACTACAGACATGTGCCCCTGCACCTGGCTTAAAGTTTATTTTTTAAAATCTGCCGGCCTGAAGGACAGGTCTTCTGCCCTGCTTGCAGTCCCTGTGGACTGTCTGTCTTGACTTCCCTCCCACTCCCTCTGGGCACCTGCCCTCAGTGCAGCTGCCCTCCAGCCCCTCCGCTACCTCTGCAGCTCTGCCTGTGCTGTTGTTCCCTTCTTTGCTTGCGGAAATCCTGTCTCCACTGAGGCCCTGCTCTGGGAAGCTTCCACCTCCCACAGGCTTTCCCGGTGTGTGATTTCACTCCTTTGCTGGCATTTAGAGGTAGAAGCTGAGAGGCCTGGGGAAACTAACTCAAACAGTTGGTGACAGCTGAGGAGAGTCTGGAAGGTGAGGGACTCAGAGCTGGGGACATGGATGGACAATGCTGTAACCGCCCTCGCAGCCCACCATCCAGGAGGAAGCCGAGGAGACAGGCCTGGGCCCAAGCTCCAGGGCTCAGAACAGTTAGATCAGATTCCTGTTGATTCTGCCTTTGAATCTAAGAGGGTGGCCCAGATCATATATCAGGAGATGGCTGCATATAACAGAAAACAAAATAACAATTACTTACAGGCCGGGTGCAGTGGCTCACACCTGTAATCCCAGCACTTTGGGAGGCTGAGGCAGGTGGATCACCTGAGTTCAGGAGTTCGAGACCAGCCTGGCCTCGAACATGGTGAAACCTCGTCTCTACCAAAAATACAAAAAATTAGCTAGGTGTGGTCGTGGGCACCTGTAATCCCAGCTACTCGGGAGGCTGAGGCAGGAGAATTGCTTGAAGCCGGGAGGCGGAGGTTGCAGTGAGCTGAAATCGTACCACTGCACTCCAGCCTGGGCAACAAGAGCGAAACTCCGTCCTCAAAAATAAAAAAATAAAAATAAAATACAGGCCGGGCACGGTGGCTCACGCCTGTAATCCCAACTCTTTGGGAGGCCAAGGTGGGAGGATCACCTGAGGTCAGGAGTTCAAGACCAGCCTGGCCAACTTGGTGAAACCCATCTCTACTAAAAATACAAAAATTAGCTGGGCATGGTGGCGCACCTGTAGTCCCAGCTATTCGGGAGGCTGAGGCAGAAGAATCGCTTGAACCCAGGAGCTGGAGGTTGCAGTGAGCTGAGATTGCCACTGCACTCCAGCCTGGTGACAGAGTGAGACTCTGTCACAAAGAAAAAAGAAAAGAAAAAAAAACAGCTGGCCGGGCGTGGTGGCTCACGCCTGTAATCCCAGCACTTTGGGAGGCCGAGGCGGGCGGATCATGAGGTCAGGAGATTGAGACCACGGTGAAACCCCGTCTCTACTAAAAATACAAAAAATTAGCTGGGTGCGGTGGCGGGTGCCTGTAGTCCCAGCTACTCGGGAGGCTGAGGCAGGAGAATGGCGGGAACCCAGGAGGCGGAGCTTGCAGTGAGCTGAGATGGCGCCACTGCACTCCAGCCTGGGCGACAGAGCGAGACTGCGTCTCAAAAAAAAAAAAAAAAACAGCTGGAGTCCACTGCACACAGGCAATGACTCTCACACATGAAACTCATATTTAGATCTGTGCTATGTTTTGGGTTTTGTTTTTAAATACAATAATGTTTAAACAGATTAAACCAAGTTTTAAAAATAACAGGCACATATTACATGAAAGAAATCAAGGAAATGTCTCGGGAAGAAAAAAATCTTAGTGTTAAAATTCCTAAATATCAGTATAGTCATTATATATTGTTCAAAAATAGCAATATTCTGATTAGTTATATGTTTGTTTGAAAATAAAATAATTTGGTAAATTTCCCACATATTTAGTCTAGTACTTAGTCTTAATATAAAAAGCTGGATTTGCCAGCAGAAAATTGTAATTACTTTTTTATGAAGTAAACACACATTATATCACTATCATTGCATGGAAGAGAAAGTGAACAAAAAAAGATTAAGGAATAAAAAAAAGAATATCACTATCATATAACTACATACATTAACAAAGAGACAAACATATCCCACTGGAGATTAGGAGTTTAGCAGAAGTCTCTGAAAATACTAAAAACCGAAACAAAATTAATAATTGCTTTTTGTTTGTTTGTTTGTTTGTTTGTTTTTTAACTATGTAGCGAATTCTTCTGGTTAAGACTAAGCATCAAAAAAAGAGATCTTCCTGAGAGCAATTATTAAACAATTCCTCTTGACCCACACTTCCAAATTAAGTCTATAGTTCTGGAATATGAAATCATTTTCATTTTAAACATAGTTGATGGAAGGCAACTTTTAAACAGAAAACTGCAGTTTAAAGTTGTCTCAAACTTAGTAGCTATATTTGTAACAAGCAACCACCCACAGCCAGTTGTAAATACAGTCAATCATCAGTGACCATTGGCCTCTCTCACCAACCAATATCAATGTGGGCCACTTGCTTTGGAAAGACAGCCAATTAAACACAAACTCGCTCCAATCCACAAGCCTGGGAGTGTTAACCAACCCACAGCAGCCTCACTCAGATAGCCATGTTTCTCCAGATGATGTTAACCCTCTTATGCCGCTGAGAGTCTGCCAATGCTTCAAGTCCGCTCCTCCCGCAACCCTATGTAAGATCAACAGCTGCTCTATCAGAATACAGAGTGCCTGATGAGCATAGCTCTCTTATAGAAAGCAACACATTCCAACTTGGTCTTTTAACTTCAAATACTGAAGGTTCATAATCAATTGGAAACAATTTTAAGTCCATTAAATTTACCACCCTTATATTTTAATTTTCTTTATAAATTACCAATGAACTATGTAATTCCTTTGATCCATTTTATCATAAGTAAAACTATCATGATTATTAGTAAAAGAATAAATAGTGAGTAACGACAATATTGAGCTTTTCTCTCTAAATGGAAAACTATTAATACAAAGAATGTAGCTTATTACAAAGAGCCAAAAAATCCAAAAACACATATAATTTCCAGGCAAAAGTGTTAGAATGAACCCATGTGAAACCTTTCTTTTTCTTTTTTTTTTTTTTTTTTTTTACCTGAGAATCAATCTAATGTTTAAAACAATACACCGAAGGGTAAACTTCAGTTGCTCATTTAATAAATATTTATTGAGTAGCTACTTATTGCAAGCTAGGCCCTTTTCTAGGCACACAAACATCCTACTCATGGGAGTGAAATAAACACAATAACCATAGATAGATTAGGCAAAATATACAGTGTTAAAGGAGAAAAACTAAAGCAGGAAAATGAAATGTTTACAGGTTTGAGAGGAGGGATAGTGGGAATTCTAGGATGGCCAGAAAAGTCCTTATTGAGAAAGGGGCTTTTAAGTAAAGAACTGAAGGAATGGAAAAAGAAAGCCAGGAGGCTATCTGAGGAAAAGGCATCCCAAACACAGGGAACTGCCCAGTACAGAGGTGTGCCTGGGGTGTTTAAGCAACTGTGATAGATAATGAAGAGCAAGAAGTTTAGTGTAGCTGAAGCACAGCAAAGGGAATAAGAAACAGAAGTTTAAGTGAGAGAGAGAACAGGTCATATTGTGTGTTGCCTTCCAACTGTGATAGATAACGAAGAGCAAGAAGTTTAGTGTAGCTGAAGCACAGCAAAGGGAATAAGAAACAGAAGTTTAAGTGACAGAGAGAACAGGGCATATTGTGTGTTGCCTTCTAGGTATGAGGAGGAACCCTGACACATACTCAGAGTGAAATGGGAGGCAATCAGATGGATCTGAGCAGAAGAATGACATCATCTGACTTATGTTTTAAGTATGGCCACTGAGTTAAGGATTAATGAAAAGAGGTTTCTTTAAAAAAAAAAACAGACCAATTAACAGTCTATTACATGCATCTAGAGAGCAGATGGTGGTGGCTTGGAAATGGAAGATATGACTGGCTTCTGGATATATTCTTCAGGTACTCCTGACAAGATCTGCTGACAGATTAGATGTGAGGTGTCAGAGAGAGAGGGGAGTCAATGACGACACCTTAGTTTCTAGCAGAGCAACTGCAAGAGTTGCCATTAATGCAAGTAGGAAAGACCATGTGAGGGGTAGGTATGAGAAAGAATATCGGTACCCCAATCTTGGACCTGGTAAGTTTGTGATACCCAACAGTTTGTGACCAATCAAACAGAGATGTCAAGTAGGCAGGTTGGTATGGAAGTCTGGAATTAAGGAGAGAGATCTAGGCTGGAGACACGCATTTGGAAATCATTAGCACACACAAGGTAGTAAAAGTCATGAGAAAGAAGATTGAGGACTGAGTCCTGGGACATATCAGTCCTGGGACATATCAATGTGTAAAAGGTGGGATATGAGAAGAAAGCAAAACAGACTATGACAGATGGACTGGAAAGGCAGGAAGAAAAGCCAGGTGAGTGAGTGAGATCCTGAAAGCCAAGTGAAGACACTGTTATGGAGGAGAGAGTTTTCCATTGGGTCCAATATTGCTGACAGGTTAAATAAAATAAGGTCTAAGAAACAATGTCTAGATTTACAAATCAATGGTAAACTTGAGAACAACAATCTTGGAAGAGTGGTGGGAGTGAAAATTACTCGTATCAGCTCAAGAGAGAATGGACAAGAAATCTGAATCCATGAGTATAAACCATTCTTTCAAGGCCAGCATACCTAGGGGCATGACTGTAGACGATCTAATTTTCTTCTTGTTTAGCTGTATTTTTCAATTCTTATATAACTATATACTATATTTTTACCCTTTAAAAGTTTTTTTAAAATGATATATATGGCATTTTTGAAATGCCAGATGAAGGTATTAAATAAAAATTCATTAACTTATAAAACCAAAAGACCTCTTGAACATTTCTAGATTATATAAGCTGATTATCATTTTGCTCATGCTTATACATAAAGACCAAAGAAGACTAAAAGTTTCAGGAGAAGTATTTCTTGCTTGATAAAAACCATCTAACTCTAGAATATTTTATACTCATCAAATATACAAAGTAATAGTCAAAATATGGAATTCTATGACAAGAATAAAAGGGGACAAGGGCAGAAAATAATCTTATTTTGTAAATCAAATTTGTCTAAATTATATGAAGCTACTGTTGAAAAATATGGTGTGTTTCCTACTGAAATACATTATCTTTTAAAAGAAAGGATAATGGCATGCATGTAGGGTACCTTTAAAAAGAGGATTCACTGCATAACAGCACCTTGGTTTTAGCACAAGGATAAACAAATCGGTGCTTGTGGAGCAAATCCAGCCCACTGCCTGTTTTCATAAGGAAAGTTCCTTAAAATGCAGCCACACTTATGCCCTTTGTAATTCACAAGGCCTAAAATGTTTACTAACTGGCTCTTTACAAAAAGAGCTGTCCAATTCTTGGTTCAGTAGAGCTAAGATCCTCTGTTGTATTTTAGTAAGTTTTACCCAGTATATTGAAAAGCTGACACGGAACATGAATCCCCATGTGCAATCCCTTGGCAATATTCAGATTAATTTGAGGATCTGGTATTTCAGCACTCACACATGGACAGCAAAAAACAAAAATTTAATAACTAGAATTCTGTTGCTAACAAGGTACAGTGTCAATGTAGCATGTAGCTAGCTTCCTTTTGTAACTCAGCAGATATTACGAGAATTCCAACAAAACTGGCTTAAGATGTGTCATCAAACTAAAGGCTTTAAATAGACTTTAATTGTGAAATAATCAGTACACTCCTGGTCTAACAACTTCTTTTATTAAAATGAGTGCATGCTACATTATTTTCTGGGTATGACAATTGTACTATTTCCTTATTGCTAAGGATTTAGACTATCTCCAACTTCTTTATATTACAATGCTATAATAAATATCCTTATACATAAATATATATGTAACACATATAAATATCCTTGACATAAATATATCATATATACTTAACATTATATATATTTAACCTATTAGCCTATTGTATGTTACATACTACATGTAATAAATGTCCTTAACACATATGTGTATGTGTTTACACAAGTCATATTTTCCTGTAGGATCTTGTCCCAAAAGTGAAGTTGTTAGGTTAAAGAAGTGACATATTTGAAATTTTGATACATGCTACTAAATTACCCTGCAAAAAGGATTCATCAATTTCATTTAACAAGTGTATGAATTTACGCCTTTTTCTTCACATTTGCCAATACTTCCTATTTTTTAAATAAAATATCAATATGATTGGAAAACATGGTGTCTCATTGTTAGTTTGCATTTTTCTGATAACCAAGGAAGGCTGAATATCCTAGTAAAAGTATAAAATCTGTTCATCATGAATATTAGCCCAAATTAGGATTCATTTCATAGCACATAATTGTCTCCTGTTTTTTGTTTTTGTTTCTGTTTTTGCTTTTTTTTTTTTTTTTTGAAATGGAGTTTTACTCTTGTTGCCCAGGCTCGAGTGCAATGGCATGATCACGGCTCACCACAACCCCGCCTCCCAGGTTCAAACGATTCTCTTGCCTCAGCCTCCTGAGTAACTGGGATTACAAGCATGCACCACTACACCTGGCTAATTTTGTATTTTTAGTAGAGATGGGGTTTATCCATGTTGGTCAGGCTGGTCTTGAACTCCTGACCTCAGGTGATTCACCCGCCTTGGCCTCCCAAATTGCTGGATTACAGGCGTGAGCCACCACGCTTGACCAATTGTCTCCTGTTAAACGCTGCTATAGGCTTACCTGTCATGCTCTTCATTTTCCTTCCTAGGAATCTGCTGATTTAGTCCATCATCATCATTGCCAACAGTAGTACCATCAGTTAGGGTTCCTGATAATTCTGTGCTATTACTTCTGTGCTTCTCCATTTCTTCTTCAACCTTGAGTGAGAGTTTGATGTTCAGGATGATTCTTATTGCTTTATTCAATACAAAGAACTTTTTTCTGTTTGCATTGATTTCATCATCACTTGACTCAGTTTAATTATAATTTTAGTCATTAAAATATTTGGTGCTTACTTTAATTTTATCACATCTGGAACTATCATCATATAATTATAATTATTATAATTTTATCATCAACATTTTTGTAAAGTCAGCTTCATTTCTGTTTCAATGAATGAGACAGAATTTTCCAAAATTTCAACCAGGGCCCTTCTTAATTTTGTGCTTTTATTCCCAACCACCCTTCACTATGTATTATGAATTTTTACCTCATTTGACTGGCACAAACATGGAAACAAGAAGATAAAGACACAAAGCGTGTCTTCTTCTATCTTTGCCACTTGACTTTCATATTAAACAGCCAGATTGAGAGGATACAACACTGTGGGGTTTCAGGAAAAGAAAGGAAGCTTTCCCTTTTCTGCACTAAGCTATTCTTTTCCCCCACTAACTTTTGTCTTTTTTTTTTTTTTCATTTGAATCCTGGGATATCAAAAAGGTGAAGGTGCTTACTGAAATACAAGTCTGCCACAACACAAAAAGCAGAGTGAAACTGCTGAGCTAGGGTGGAATTCTGGAAATGAGATGCTTCCCAAATTTCACATTCAATAGCCATAAAAGTTTATAGCTGGAGGATATACAGTATAAGAATCTACTTTAGCTCACTCTCTATTGATAACTGGGCTAAAGCCAAAAAAGATTAAAATGATTGATCCAAAGCCCCTAAAGTGCCATTACCTAGCATTTTGTGGCACCAAAAGAGACAGTACAATTCCATAATGCTGAATCAGACAAATTCGGCAAATTAATCAGATAGGTTAAAAGTGTGACTTGGGTAAAATAATTTAATGCCTTAGCGGAGGGTGGGAGGCCTGCCCTAATCAATGTAGAAGACTCAGCTTTCTACTTTGGCATCATATACTAAGTGTTTGGCTGAGCATTTATGCTACTTACATGGAAAAAATATATATGCCAAAACTTACTGTACTTTATTAAGCAACATAACATAAAGGTCTGATTCAACAGAAACAGTGGAGAGTAGTTATATTAACAAATATATTAAAGTGTATATACTTGTTGAAAAATATTTAAAGTGGTCATGATGCAATTCTAAGTTCCAACAGTTTGAGTTAAACAGATAAACCTGAAAAGCACAATAAACAGATTCATTGGCCAGGAATATTTGCTGCAGCTCTCAGGGCTGGATACTTCTTTTTTCTTTTCTTTTTTTTTTTTTTTTAGTAAGAGATGAGGTCTCACTATGTTGCCCAGGCTGGAATGCAGCAGCTATTCACAGGCACGATCCCACTACTGATCAGCACAGGAGTTACTTATGACCTGCTCCATTTCCGACCTGGGCTGGTTCACCCTTCCTTAGCAAATCTGGTGGTGCCCCGCTCCCAGGAGGTCACCATATTGATGCCGAACTTAGTGTGAACACCTGATCGGCATAGCACACTACGGCCCAGAATGCCTGGCCTCAAACGATCCTCCTGCCTTAGGCTCCCTAGTAGCTGAGACTACAGGTGTTTGCCACCACGCCTGCTAGATACATTTTTATATCTCTACTTAGTCATTGCTTCCTTTCTACTGTATTCCCATCTTATTGTTAGACACAACTCATCTTTAAGTCGGTAAAAGGAAAAAGCCCTCAAGCTCATCACATTTCCTTTAGCGATTTTCTTGATGCCTCTCCTGGTTCTGAAGGTCACATGATATATGGCTACATGAGTTTCACAATCCATACGCCACTTGGAAGACTGACAGAGAGACTTAGGTCAATTAAGAAACAACGATTATGAGAAAGTTTTCCTAAACTCCTATTACTTAGAAATCCTCTGTTTCTACACACAATTACAGATTTAGACAACCAAACTGTATGCTTTTCATATGCTTTTCCTAAGTGGAAAATCAGAATGGACCAGATAATTGAGAGAAAAAACAAAGAGTGGCAGCAAGTAAAACCCTACCTCTTTATGAAGTTGAACATTTTCTTTCTTCAAAGCCAGGAACTCTTCTTCTAATGTGTTGACCTCATTCTTAAACTTTTGCATGTCTTGCTGTAATTCTTCATGTAGATATACTTCTGATGTTCTGTCAGAATCTGGTGGTAAAGAACTCAGATTTTCTAATTTAGGTTTCAGGCTTTTATAGTTATTTGTACTGCCACTGTCACTATTTTGGTTCATATTTTTTGTCATTTGCAAATCAAACTCTTGGTCTTCTTTCATTTCAACCGTAACCACTTCTGGGTTCCTTGCTTTCTTAGTGCTTGCATCATTATGAAAGTTGTTATCTGTACTAAAAATATGTCCAATGCCTAGTTTGTTATCATTGTCGCAGTCTAATTTATTTTCATGTAAATGAAGCTTAGAAGATGACTGGCAAACATGTTCCTGGGACCCAGAGTACGGATGATAGTATGGATGGATGATATTTTTGAGACTGGGTTCTTTTTGTTCAGGAAATGTCTCGAATACCACTGAGACAGATATTTCAGATGCATCTTCTTCCTCACAACCAGGTATGTTATTTGTCAAATTAAAGGGAATATCCTTCACATCTGTTCCTCTTGTAGAGTTATCAAGTAGTGGCTCTTCCTCAGGACAAGCCGGAATTTTGTATTTTTCATAAATTTCACCAAACCTCTGCTTTAACTCATTTATGACGAGTTTTAATTGGTTTTTCCACTCTAATTTGCCTTGTTCAATCCACATTTCCTCAGATTTTTGCACATGAGGAAGTACTGGATATATAGGTATATCCTCTCTATCACAATCCTTAGCCATTTCTGGTTCTTGAGACGTTTTCTGCAGGTGCAAAAGTGGAAGATTAATTTGCTTGTTTTGTTTCTTGCGTGTCTTCTCTGTTGGGCTACATGTTTTAAAAATAGCTTTGTCCTTAAATAACAGGTATGAACAAAGAAAAATTCACAAATAATTAAAATGAAAATTTAACTGTTAAACTTCTTCATCTAGGTTTAGCTACTCCCAAATCACTGGCTTGTAACTAAGAAGTTAAAAACAATTGTCTTAGCTGAAAGGAGGAGAAAAATATGAACCAGCAAACTTAACTTTGTCACTGTTTGTTTGGAATAAACTTAATTCATTATGTGTTAAATCTACCAAAAATGAATTAGCAGATGATTTCTAGTGTTACAAAGGCCTCCTCACTTGGAAAGTGAGCCCCTACAGTACATGTAAGTACTACATATTACTACATGTAAGTACTATATATTACTACATGTAAGTTCTACAGATTACTAACTGGAGGGTAGGCAATCTTCAAATTATTAGGAGCCCGAATCAACACCAATCAGAAAGAAAAGCAAATTCTTAAGTTTTAATTCAAATTATATACTGTAACATCATAGGGTTATATATCTAGACTATCTTCTTCAGTTCAGTTCTAATATATACTACGGTCCCCTAATAACACTAACTAAAACTTTAAAGATAATTCTTACTAAGTTTCTGCATCTAAAAAGTTAGAAATTTATTGTTTGTACCCTAACACCAAAGATCCCATTCTGCAAGGTATGATTCCCTTAATAGGCAGTTGGGTTGATTTCATAACCCCATTCTCACTGAATGTAGACCATGAAGTCAATGAAAGGCCACATCTTTAACCTAGGCATTAGTAACTGGCAATATAAAACTGAAAAATTTGAGCCACTGGCCATGATTACTCCTATACCATGAATCCAACTCAGTGGCCATCACTGTTAAATTGTTCATAATTTCTGTTGCTTAATAATATAAGTCAATAATTGACATTACCTTCTTTATCCCGTAAGGATATTGTAAGAATGGAAGAGCAAACAAAATTCTGGAATGTTTGCCTCTACTCCAAGGGTAAAGATTAACTATAAGTTATGATAGATTCTAACAATATTGTGTTTTATAACTAGTTTAAATGTATTTAAAATTAAATATTAAGTAAGGATCTATTGATTCTCAAAGGCTAGTCTGAGAGGTAATTTCATTTGGGCTAGCATATTAAAGCAAAGAAAAGAGTATTAAACCAGACATTTAGATTTTAGTTTGAATGTTTCCACACCTGTGGCTGCTTATTTTCGCATCCTTTAAGTCTTTCTTGCTCTTCCTCTGATGTCAGCTCCAAGTCTTGTTCTGCTGCAAAATCCAAACGTTCAGTTAAACTACTTAGAACAGTTAGATAAAAGACATAGTCTTTATAAAAATAGATTTTAAATTACATTTCATTTTATTTCATAAATTGAGAGTTTAAATGAAGCTTGATCTTTAGTGGAATACTTACTTCTTTAAGAAATACTTCTAATTCTCCAAAACTTCAACAAACCACTTTCTGGGAGACACTAGATGCCACCAGGTTAAAGAAATACAATCATGTTGAAGATTCACTCACAGATTCATCCACCCAACATCAATGAACAAAGCCATCACAAACAAAACAAAATTTTGGAATGCAGTAGCAATATTATCAGGCAATACTGCATACTGTTCTCCACTTCATAATAGTACCTCATTAATGACTTCCAAAATGACTGTGGACACCTTTATTGGTGTACAACCTCTTCCTAACATCTGAAATGGTTCCCTGTATTATTCTGACAAATGTATTAATATTTTCATCTTTTAAAACAGACTGCTAAAAATAAATAAATAAAATACATAAAATAAAAAACAGACTGCTAGGTGAAGTTGACCCTCATCCTCATCTTTCCCCAGGTAAACAGGTATCTAGGTATCTCCTTCCTTAGGGCTGCCCTAGAACTTTACTGATTTTTCTACTGCATCTCCACCACCCGAACTGTCAATTATTGCTTTACATGTCTATTCCCTCTGCTCCTTGACTGTAGGGAACAATCTTGAAAATCATCTTTGTACAAAGAGTCATTATCTATTTTACTCAGCAATTATGTATTGAGTCTTGCTATGTGCTAGGCACTAGGATTTAAAGAGTGAAAAGAAAGCATGTCAGAGATGACTTTTCTAGAGATCCTGCCCGAGCTGAGGCTTAAAGAGTGAGGCTAGCCTAATTAGAAGGGGTAGGGGACAGGAAAGAGTGAGAGCATGACAGGCAGCAACAAAAGGCAGAAAGAGGCCTGAAAGAGTGTATGTGTTTGCCTGCAGTCGAAGGATGGGTCAGCAGGACAGGACCAGCAGTTCAGTAAGGCCAGAGAAGGGGCACACGGGGGAAAGGGCTAAAGATGGAGAGCTGAGCAGAAGTCACATTATGAAAGCCTTACGTATAACTTTAAGATGCTTGGACATTAATGTTCTCAAGAGTGGTCCCTGGTCTTATTTGCATTGGTGATAGAACACTGTCAATGCCAAAACCAACATCCCTAGCGAACACATTTATTAACGCAAGGTGGTAGCTCATGTGGACACAGCCAAGGAGATACTATGCAGCAAATTCTCAATAAGTCTCATTAATTACTGACTTGGAAAGTCAATTCTATAATACATAAAGTCATAGAAACGATAGGAAGTCACTTAATATTTGCTTTTGGAAGGTGTTTTTTCGTTTTTGTTTTTGTTTTTTGAGACGGAGTCTTCCTCTATTGCCCAGGTTGGAGTGCAGTGGCGCAATCTCGGCTCACTGCAACCTCCACCTTCTGGGTTCCAGCGATTCTCCTGCTTCAGCCTCCTAAGTAGCTGGGACTACAAGCATTCACCACCACGCCCGGCTAGTTTTTTTTGTATTTTTAGTAGAGATGGGGTTTCACCATATTGGCCAGGCTGGTCTCGAACTACTGACCTTGTGATCCACCCACCTCGGCCTCCTAAAGTGCTGAGATTACAGGTGTGGGAAGGTGTCTTTTAAATTATAGTGCATATAGTTATAACTAACAGCTGTGAATTCAGAGCTGTAAAAATAAAGCAAAGAAACCACATTGTGTTTGAGTCAGCAATCTTTAGGTCTCTACTAAATTATCCTAAATATAATCCTATGTTAGTCCCTAAACATACTTAGTCCCTATATTCTAAATATAATCCTACTTCCTAAAGAAAATCATGCTTTCCCTAATTCTCTGTTATCTAGATGTTGCTTTGGTTAAAGGAAGAACACAAATATCCTGCCAAAAGGTATTCTGTTCAGTGCAAAAGGTGAGTAAACACAAAGCACATTTTACCAGAAAAAGTTTTTTTAAGTCAGAACTATAGCTCTATGCAGCCAAGCAGAGGCACTCTAGGACTGAATTCTCTATGCTTCTTTGTTACCTTCTTTGCTCTCTTTGTTTTCTGGTAGCTGTGATTGGCACAGGTCATGGAGAGTATCATTCCCTGAGAGAAGTACAACTCCAGTGTCCATCTTTTCTCGTTCTGTTAAGTTCATCTGTCCCAGTTCTTTGGTTGCTGACTGATTTTCAGGCATTGATGGTGATACAGATGGACATTTATCATCAACTTTCAGATTCTTGGATCTCTGACAAGTCTCATCACTAAGGGTCAAATTAGTAGGATGCCAATCTGAAAAATACGAAAATGAAGTTTTCATTTTTAGGATGTAAATAACACAATAATTTGACTAACTTGTATACATGCTTTCTTCACAGAAACAGTCCCACATCCTGCTCTCTCCCACAACACACTATGCATTCAGGCTTATTATATTTTACATGCCCTATGCTTACAATTCATTCAGGTAAGTTTAATTAACTATCATCTCTCACTTTTCTACATTTTTACTGGTTACTATTACTTACTTTTATTCACTCAGCAGTCTCTATTACATATTTTGCTTTCCATTAAGATTCTTCGTGGATATAAATTTTTTAAAACATAATTTATGTCTAACCATTTTAAGCTTAAATATACATGACAGCATTGTATGTATGTATTGTAGAGACACAGGATTTACAAAAACTCATAATAAATATACTTTTAAAACTATTTTAATTATAATGAGATGGTGTTTCCTCAATGCACCACTATCTTCAGAATTTCCTTTCAAATACTTGGATAAACTTCATACATTTATTTGCAAAATAAGAGCTGTAAGGGCTCTAACTGTTCCCATGTGAGAACAGGATTAGTCTAGGACCACACTAGATCCAAATAGCACACAGTGCCACGAGACAGGAAAGGAATACATAACAAAAATATTTTCCTTTTTACTATATAAACAAAATTGTTGGGATTTAAATTTTTTTTTTATTTTTTGAGACGGAGTCTCGCTCTGTCACCCAGGCTGGAGTGCAATGGCGCAATCTCGGCTCACTGCAAGCTCCGCCTCCCGGGTTCACGCCATTCTCCTGCCTCAGCCTCCTGAGTAGCTGGGGCTACAGGCGCCTGCCACTATGCCCAGATAATTTTTTTTATTTTTAGTAGAGACGGGGTTTCACCGCGTTAGCCAGGATGGTCTCGATCTCCTGACCTCATGATCCGCCTGCCTTGGCCTCCCAAAGTGCTGGGATTACAGGCGTGAGCCACCGCGCCCGGCCTGAGATTTAAATTTTTTAAGACAAGTGAAAGAAAAAAGCCAAAAACACATACGTGAAACTTTAAAGTCCATTTCATCATAAAGGGTGCATTTATCCACAACCACATATGTGGTTTAAAATGTTGACTCTCAATTATGATCTGAGAATCCCTGGAGTTCAAGATCCAGATGAGGGGCCAAGACGTCAAATAACACAAAATGTTATTTGCCATTTTCACTCTCATTCTGTTTCACGTGTACAGTGGAGCTTTTCATAGACATGGTGTGTCATAACATCATAGCTCTAATGGTGAATGGGTCATAGTTCTAAAGGCTATTGGAATGTATGGCTGTGCGTGCTTGTTTTTTTTTGTTCGTTTGTTTGTTTTTTCAGATGGAGTCTCTCTCTGTCACCCAGCCTGGAGTGCAGTGGCGCGATCTCGGCTCACTGCAAGCTCCGCCTGCCGGGTTCACACCATTCTCTGCCTCAGCCTCCCCAGTAGCTGGGACTACCGGCGCCCTCCACCATGCCCAGCTAATTTTTTGTATTTTTAGTAGAGACGGGGTTTCACCGTGTTAGCCAGGATGGTCTCGATCTCCTGACCTCGTGATCCGCCCGCCTCGGCCTCCCAAAGTGCTGGCATTACAGGCGTGAGCCACCACGCCCGGCCGCATGCTTGTTTTTAAAATATTTTAGTTTTTATTTCTAAAATAGTAAATATCAAAAGACACAACCGACTTAAATAAAAGCTCTTTGGAATTTGCAATAATTTTTCTTTATTTTAATTATTTATTTATCATTATGAAGAGACTTTGAGATCCAGTCATTTGATAGAAAACCAGAGCTTCCTGTGTCAATAAGGACTGACCTCAAAAATGTAATGTGACCAGACAAAAGAAAGTTGCAAAATATGTAGAGTGTAAAACAATTTATATACAATTTTAGGACATGAAAACAAATTCTACATATTATTTATGACCATACACATATGTAATAAAATGTTTTAAAAGGGAATGGACATAATAAATTCTTAATTCAGGGTGTTGGTTACCTCTAGGCAATAATATTTAATCATATAAAATGAACCCCAGGCCAAAAAGTTTCAGAATCAATGTTTTAAAAGACTGTGTCCACCATATAGTTATTAAGGGTAATTATTGCTTTCTTCGTTTTTGATAATCAAAACACACACACACATGATTTGCTGACCAGAATATCTGACTGGCTTAAAATCATCAGTATAGCCACACTATGATGAAATAATTAAACTTAAAGCACAACTAACATATTGGCAAGTAAAGTTTGTCTTATCTGATAAGTTTTGGTGCTGCACGTTCACCTTATATTCTTTCCACCTTTCTAATACCCCACTCTTCTTTTGAAGTATTATCTCATTTTACCACCCTCCATCATATCCACTTGCTTCTTTTCCCTTCATTTACTCTCTGTACTCTCTGCCTTCCACATTCTTTATTCCCCCTTTTACTCTTATCCTCTTCCTTCTATCCTGACACTGCCTATCTAGGGTTCAGTACTATCCACAGTTCCAGGCATTCACTGGGGGTCTTGGAACATAACCCCCATGGATAAGGGGGAAAAACTGTACATTTTGTTGTGTAGGTCTATGGGTGCTGTGCTGTGTTATGTGGCAAAACATAGGGAAGAGACCAGGGACAAGGACCTTTGCAAAGACTTTTCAGCTGCCAGTGGAGAAGAGCTCAAGGGAGATCAATGTACTCACTCTCACTAATCCTCTTCTGGGGCAGATGCTGGCAATGTTTACTGAGTTCTAGCTATTTTCCCTAGCACAAACAAGGCTCAAATTCACCTCCCATTTTACCTCCTATGGACAGAACCACTGGAAAGATCACTCCCTTAAAGAGCTTATTCACTCTGAGCCACACCATTCATTCAGTGAGAAGCTTAAGAAGAAACACGGCCACAGTGGTGGCAGGTTGCCAGGGAGTACTACCTGGTATGAAAAATATATATGAACAGAACTATCAGCTCACTCAAGCTGCCAGAATGTGCCAACAGTTGTTACTCTCTCTGGTGAAAACAAAATTATTTTTCACTTATTGTAAAGAAAAACACTGGCATTTCCTATGACAGAGCATTTAGTTGTAGATGAGCCATATTCTAATAATATAGACTGTTTTCAAGCTCATCCCTAAAAGGAAGAGAACCAGAGAGGAACATATTTATTCACCTGTAGTGTTCACTGCCTGATCTTCTTTTTAAGTGCAAGGTAAGTATGCAAGACTTTGTGATTCCAGTTTTATAAAGTCCAGCTCTTGAGATTATCCCGTCCCATCGCTAGACTCTATCTGGACCCATCTCCTAGAGCACGATGGTCCAGTTAGTGCTGTGGAATACTGCATGATGCCATTTTTCCCCACCCTCCCCGTTACGTGGCAAACGTCTACAGAAATCACGCTTTCTCAGCACGTCAAATCATATGCCATCAGATCCTGTTCTGATGAACACAACATGAGGAAAACAAACGCAAGGACAAAGAACATCTAAAATGACAGAATCAAATTACCATGGAACTTTATTGTTTAAATATTCAAAAAGATATCCGCCACTGTTTTATTCCAACTATATGACTAGTCTGGAAAAAGCAAAACTACTGAGACACCAAAAAGACCAATGGTTGCCAGAAACCAGTGGAGAGGAAGAGACGAAACAGTGGAGGACAGAGGATATTTAGGGCAGTGAAACTATTTTGTCTGTGATACTACAAGGGTATATACATGCCATCACACATTTGTCCAACACCATAGAATGTACAACACCAAGAGTGAACCCTAACGTAGACTGTGGACCTTGGGGGTGATGTGTCTGTCAAGGTAGATTCCTCAACTGTAACTCTGATGAACTCTGATGGGGGGTACTGATAATGAGGGAGGCTATTCATATGTCAGGGGTCATGGGGAATATGGAAAATCTCTGTACCTTCTCAATTTTGCTGTGAATCTAAAACTGCTCAGAAAATAATATTATTAATTTTAAAGCACATACTCACTGAACTTGCTATTACCCTAAATTATAAAAAGACAGAGTCACCTTGAAAATTGCAAATCACTAAAGATCAAGGTAACAGAATATAAGTACTATCTCCCAAATTAAAGCATATAAAAACACATAAAGCAATTAATTTTAATCGTATACTTAGGCAAAAAAATTCACAAAAATGATTGAATATCTGATCTTATTTCATAACTGTAAACAGGGATTTAGTACAATATGAATCAAAACTGGTCCATCCATGAAAATAAAATGAAAGACAATTTTTATTCTAATTTTAAATCAGAACTTATTATGCCTACTTTATCCCACAATTTTACTGAAAGGTTAATCAGATAAGAAGGACAGATTATAATTACTTAATATTGCCATAGTAACTTATGTACCAATACCTGTTAAGTATTCACCAAATGTCAAAACTGTAAGCAGCCTTGCTATTTAATATGAATGATGCAACTGAAACCAGTACCATGTTATGGTCTATCATATTATTTGCTATTATATTATATAAAATTTTAAGATAACACCAACAATTTACTCAGGGGCGTAGCTGCTGGGCAGCAAAGATTTCATATAGCAGGCATGAGACACCCATCCTTAGAAAGGCTTGCTTGCAAGGCTAGTCCTTGGCTGGTGTTTGGTACCTTGAATTTGGGAGGGTTCCCAGCATTCCCTAACTTAGAAGAAGGGAGTGGCTCACTGTGCCTAAAGTGTTTGTGCAAATGTGGTTTACTATGAACAATTAATTTCCTCCTGGGAGTCTAGAGTTTTGTTACATGTGAGGGAGAGGAGAGGTGGCCTATGTGACTAGCCTCCATCGAAAACATGGGTGCTGAGCCTCTAATGAAACTCTGGTAAGGTAGACAACATTGCACATGTGTCGTCAAAATTTGAGGCTGGGGGAATTAAGCATATCCTGCTAGCTACACAGATGACGACTCCTGTAGCTTGTGCCTGGCTTCCTCCAGACTTTGACACATGCACCTTTTCCTTTCTCGAATGTTGCTTTGTGTCTTTTTGCTGTATTAAATGTAATAAATCAAAGCCCCAAGTATGACTATCTGCTGAGTCCTGTGAGTCCTTCTCAGTGAATTACCAAACCTCAGTGAAGGGGGTCTTGGGAACCCCTGATACGATTGCATTAAACAATTTTTTATTGTTTAAGTTGATGTGTTACACGTGACTACAATCAGAAGGTAATTTCACAGAATACCTTTCCCTAATCTGCTTATTTTTTATTTTTTGACATTTGCCTTGGAGATTCCTGTACTTCTATATCCACTAGACTAAAGGCATTAAAAATGCATGAAACAATGTCAGAAAGTAATTTTAAAAAGCAACAATCCTATTTTAACTCAATTAAAAATAGAAAATCTTAATGACTGACAATATATTCTACAGTATAAAAGTTTCTGGAACAAAAAATTATAAGATCACAGTCAATTTTCTCCCACTAGGTAGGATTTAATTCATTTTTATAATAATTGTGCAGCAGGCCAGGTGCAGTAGCACACATCTGTTGTTCCACCTACTCAGGAGGCTGAGGCAGAACAATTGCTTGAGGCTAGGAACTAAAGCTGCAGTGTGCTATAATCACACCCGTTCAAAAAAAAAGTCCAGGCCGGGCGCGGCGGCTCACGCCTGTAATCCCAGCACTCTGGGAGGCCGAGGCGGGTGGATCACGAGGTCAGGAGATCGAGACCATCCTGGCTAACACGGTGAAACCTCGTCCCTACTAAAAATACAAAAATTTAGCCAGGCGCGGTGGCGGGCACCTGTAGTCCCAGCTACTCAGGAGGCTGAGGCAGGAGAATGGCGTGAACCCGGGAGGCGGAGCTTGCAGTGAGCCGAGATAGCGCCACTGCAGTCCCGCCTGGGTGGAAGAGCGAGACTCCGTCTCAACAACAACAACAACAAAAGTCCAAAAAAGCCCTGCAAATAGTGGAACTGATCAGTAAGGATCAACAGGACTTTTAACTTATCTGGCCGGGAGAAGAGACATCTTATGTATAGATGGTTAAAAGTGTGGTAATCCAATTGACCACATATTCTAGTTAAATCACAGATTACCAATTTCTGAAGAAATGTAATACCACAAAAGCACTTCACATTTAAACTATGTCAGATAAAACAATTTGTATTTGACAACCCAGAAGACACTTAAAATCTTGGCAGACCATCATCATTGTGTCATTGTGGTGCAGATATAAAGAAGTGCATTTGAAATGTGTTCTAATAGTATTTTCTTTAGGAATGGAATTCAAAAGGAAGCAGTAAGAGCAGAAATATCACAAGAGGGTAAATGAAAAGGGAACTGCACTAACAAAAGGAGTCAGGCACTGACTTTTCTCCTGATGTCACCAAAACCCCAAGTACTGAGAACTGCTATATTCAGCATTTCACTTTATATTTTTCTCCAGCACATTATATTAGTTTCCTGCAATAAAATATTTTTAAAATGTCAGTTTGTCTAAACTGCTGGCCTGTAAACTATTTCTAATCAAAACCTGAAATTGTGTCACAACATGGCTGTATTATGATTCCATGTCAGAGGAACGATATATACGTGCATCTGGTGGTGGCTTCCAGTTGTTGCTGTTAGATGTTTGTTTGGGAATTCAGAAGAGCCTATCAAGGACTTGAGTACCAAACAAGCATTTCCACAAAAAAGCAGGTAAGAAAGACTACACTTTTCCTCACATATGACCTTAGGTTTAGACAATTCTAGGAAAATGGTGGTACATTAACTCACCAGTCTTGACCATTTTCCCTGATCCTGTACAGGGAGCTGCTGCAGTTACAAAAGTTAGGTAGGATCTTGGTAGGTGTATTCTTCCCCATTTGAACATCAGAAGTACTGATCACATAAACAGCGAACCCCACAACTCTATGATTGTTCTTTAGAAGACAGTGCCACTGAAGGCTTTTAAAAGGTTAACTCACTTTACTTTTTAGTAATCTTACTGGTTAGAATTGATACTCCCTCCTTGAAATTCTCACCTTTGTAAATTTTTGCAACATCACTTTATGATTCCTCTCCTCTTTTTCTTTAGCCGCGGCTCAGGCTTCTTTCCTAATTCCTCTGGGAAATGCTGATATTCCCAGGGTTCTGTCACTGGCCCTCTGCTCATTCTATACCTTTCCCATCATGGACAAGCTCACTCAGATCTACAACTTTGCCTCAGTTATTCCAAGTCTGCAACTCCAACCTCAGAGTTCCATCTCCAGCCATAAAAATTTTTCCAATTACCTACTGAAAATATCCCACATGGACATTTCAGTAAACTCAGCAATGCAGAGAAAACTGTTAGTCGTGACTGCTGACCTGCTGCTCTCCTCTATACACCTGAAAACTGCCTACTCCCTCGTGTCCAGGTTAAATGTTAGGGCACAAGCCAGAAACCTGAGAATCATCTGAGATTTCTCCCTATCCCCTATCTTTTTACATTCAACAATCACTAAATCATATTAACTGTACCTCTTTTCTGCATCTGCTTTATATTTCCACTGTGACACGTTTATTTTATGTTTATATTTCCTAGTTAAACATGGGCTCTTAAGTACTGGCTTTTATAGGGAAAAAACAACTATTAATGTTATTTCTTAAATGAAAAAAAAGTTTAAGTAAAATAAATGAAAAAGGCATCATGCCAAGAAAAAGACCGACATTTTTAAATGAATAACTGAGCTCCTTAACCTTACTGATTTCACCATGGATGGGTGAGAACCTCACAACAGACTGACACTAGTCTGAGGACAGCACAAGGAAACTATAGCTCTGATAAATGCAAATGTTTCTTTTGTTTCCCTGTCTCTTTATGTGGTTATCTTCCAGCTGCTCTCCATATGAGGGGTCAGCAAACTACAGGCCATGGAGCAAATCCAGTCTGCCTTATAGTTTTGTAAATAAAGTTTTACCGGAGCTCAGTCATGTATATTTGCTTGCCTTTTTATGACTGTTTTCATACTTCAATGGTAGGGTTGAGTAGGAATGACAGACCACATGAAAAAGCCCTGTACAGAAAATGCTTGCCAATCCCTGTTTTATACCATAACCAGATTGCCCTAATACTCAAATCTAATCATGTGACTCCCCACTCCAATGAGTCCCTACAGTAAACATTGCTGTCTCCCTACCCAATAGCGATTCCCTGTTTCTCAATAGAGAAACACGCATCTATTTGGATATTTATCATGCCAATAGCCCTCCCCACTCCAAAAGAAGAAATGATTATTCTAAGCTCATCATAGTAATTACATTTGCTTCCCCAGTGCCTGGTTTAGGAATGAGCATGTGGTAGGACCCAGCCAATAAAATGTTACAGGAAGTCAACTGCACCCTTCTGAGTCTTCTCCCTAACTAAAAGAAACATGTAAAGATATTGTCGGTGAGACCACGATGTTTGGAGCTGTTGCTAATTAGTCAGCCATGAAAACAGACATGAACAAAACACCGTGTTATCACTGAACCATCAAAACAACTCTGGTCCCTACTGTTTTAGCCACTGTTAGTTAGGTCATCTAGTATTTACAGCCCAAAGCATTCCACCTGGTAAATTTCCCATGGCCTACAGGAAAAGTTCTACTCATTTCTTTCTTTTTTCTTTTTTTCTTTTTTTTTTTTTTTTGAGACAGAGTCTTGCTCTGTCACCCAGGCTGGAGTGCAGTGGTGCGATCTTGGCTCACTGCAGCCTCTGCCTCCAAGGTTCAAGTGATTCTCCTGCCTCAGCCTCCTGAGTAGCTGGGACCATAGGCATGCTCCACCACGTCTGGCTAATTTTTCATGTGTATTCTTAGTAGAGACAGGTTTCACCATGTTGGCCAGGATGGTCTCGATCTCCTGACCTTGTGATCTGCCCTCCTTGGCCTCCCAAAATGCTGGGATTATAGGCATAAGCCACCATGCCCGGCCCGAGATCTACTCATTTCTATAGTATTAAAAAGTCTGGGCAGGGAGTGGTGGCTCACGTCTGTAATCCCAGCACTTGAGAGGCCGAGGTGGGTGGATCGCTTGAGGTCAGGAGTTTGAGACCAGCCCGTCAAACATGCCGAAACCCTGTCTCTACTGAAAATACAAAAATCAGCTGGGCATGGTGGCTCGCGCCTGTAATCCCAGCTACCTGGGAGGCTGAGGCACGAGAATCACTTGAACTCGGGAGGCGGAGGTTGCAGTGAGCCAAGCGAACGCCACTGCACTCCAGCCTGGGTGACAGAGTGAGACTTTGTCTCAAAAAAAAGTCTGTCATGAGCTTGCCTTAGGTATTCACTTCATTCCCAACCATTCACATCTCATATGTTTTGCACTGGCAAAACTGAACTGCTCATAAACCCTGCAAAGTTCACTCAAGCATCTTACTTTTGCACTCGCTGCTCCTTCTGCCACACACACAATCTTCTGCCCACATCATCCTTCTGCCTCTTTACCTAGAAAAGTTCTACTCACTCTTCATGCTTACCTTAAATCTTACCCACTTTTTTACAGCTTTCATTCCTCACCACATAAAGTGTCTGGCACATATTTAACATAATAAATGATCACTATACGGTTCCAGAGGGCATCTAACACAGTAGTAGGCACTGAATAAATAATTCATCAAATAATTAAAGTGACAATGATAATAACAAGCTCCTGGGTTTTGTTGGTTTGTTTTTTTTCTTTTTTGAGACAGGGTCTCACTCTGTTACCCAGACACGAGTGCAGTGGCATGATCATAGCTCACTGTAGCCTCAAACACCCAGGCTCAAGCAATCCTCCCACCTCAGCCTCCCAAGTAGCTGGAAGTACAGGCACCTGGCACCATGCCCAGCTAATGTTTTATTGTTTTTTAAAAAATTTAGTAGAGATGAGGTCTTGTCATGTTGCCCGGGCTGGTCTCGAACTTCTGGGCTCAAGTGATCCTCCCATCTCAGCCTCCCAAAGTGGTGAGATTACAGGCATGCACCACTGTGCTGGCCCCAACAGTATTTTTAAATGTCTGTATTCTGTAACATTAGAAAAAAAAAGCTTAGTACTAAAAGACATTTGATAATTATTTGTTAAGTGGACAAATGAATAAATGATTTCCTTGAAAATTCTGTTGGAAAAAACACAGAAATTAAATAGAGAAAGCTCTATTCTATTATGAGCACCTCAAAGACCAAAACTATGTCTATTTCATGTTTGTCTCCCATAACGTGCAAAACCTAACTTAGAGAAGTTCTTTGATTAATATGTACTAAATTAAAGGTGTCCTCTTACAGTTCAGATTGTCCAATGCATTAGGCATCACATCTTGGAAGCACAGAAGCATTTTTTGTTATTGTGAAACATTTTTATACTTCCATTATAATTTGTTGAGCCTAGAGTTGGGCTATTTGAATATTTATTATGATAATCTTTTGGCTAATGGTAACAGCATATCTTGTTCTAACAAAATTACTGTTAACATAGCAATTAACCAGCAGGTAGAAAAACACATCTTGTTCTAATGAAGTAAATATACCTCATTCGATTTCAAATTGGGGGAAAGTCAATAATAGTGACACCTTGTTGGTTTATAAGTATGTAACATGACCTGTTCTTCTCAACAAGGAATTGCTTTTCTGACTTCTGCACTCAGAAGGTCTCTTTAAAAAATAATTTCCCATTAGTATTAGTGCACATTGGGTATGTTTGGCAGGGTTTTGTTTGTGTTTTTGTTTTTGTTTTTTTCTGAGACAGGGTCTCACTCTGTCATCCAGGTTGTGATCATGATCACAGCTCACTATAGCCTTGACTCCCAGGCTCAAGCGATCCTCCCATCTCAGTCTCCCAAGTAGCTGGGATTACAGGTGTGCACCAAAACACCCAGCTAATTTTGTATTTGTTTTTGTAGAGATGTGGTCTCACTCTGTCACCCAGGCTGGTCTGGAACTTCTGGACACAAGCGATCCTCCCACCTAGGCCTCCCAACTTGCTGGGACTACAGGTCTGGGCAGCACACCTGGCCATTTCACGGTTCTTATTGCCATTTGTTTATGGTGCCAGAAAGGTATTGCTGAGTTTCCAGTTTTGAAACTAATTTCTTTTTTTTAGTGACACAAATCACTATGTAATATAGTTAGCCTTTGAACAACACGGATTTGAACTGCAGGGGTCTACTTATGAGCAGATTTTCTCCCACCTCTACCACCTGAGACAGCGAAGACTAATCTTCCTCTTCCTCCTTCTCCTTAGCCTGCTCAACTTGAAGACTATGATGAAGAGTTATAGAATGATCCACTTGCATTTAATGAACAGTAAGCGTATTTTTTCTGCCTTATGATTTTCTTAACAGTTTATTTCCCTAGCTTCCTTTATTGTAAGAATACAGCATATTAATACATATACCATACCAAACATATCTTAATTGACTGTTTATGTTATCAATAAGGCTGCTGGTCAACAGTTAGCTATTAGTAGTTACGTTCTTGGGGGAGTCAAAATTTATACACAGATGTTTGACTGCAGAGGGAATCAAGCATCCCTAAATTCCACATTGTTAAGGGTCAATTGTGATTGATATTCATTTACTAAACATAAGTCATTTATTTTAAAAATTAAATAGAAGTTCCAATTTCATAACAAGTCTAATTCATTATAATGTGACTATAAAGAAAACATACAACTTACTAACTCAAAAATATCTTTTTCTTGGCCGGGCACAGTGGCTCACGTCTGTAATCCCAGCACTTTGGGAGGCCGAGGCGGACGGATCACGAGGTCAGGAGATCGAGACCATCCTGGCTAACACGGTGAAACCCCGTCTCTACTAAAAATACAAAAAATTAGCCGGGCTGGGTGGCGGGCGCCTGTAGTCCCAGCTACTCTGGAGGCTGAGGCAAGAGAATGGCATGAACCCCAGGGGGTGGAGCCTGCAGTGAGCCAAGATCGCACCACTGCACTCCAGCCTGGGCGACAGCGAGACTCTGTCTCAAACAAACAAACAAAAAGCACTGTCATTTGGTAACAGCTGCCTTTTATGGAGGCCAAGCTATGCAAACCAAACTATGAAAAACTTTAAGAGTAAAAGGGACCCTGGATGCCATTTAGCTTGGTCACTTGCCACTACAGAAGCTCCTTCAGCAACAACCCAGCATGCTTGCTCAGTGCCTTCATCCGCCAGCTGAGGAAGGCTGCCCACTCCAGCCTGATCAACCATGATTGCTAGAAAGTGTTTCCTTGGATTTCACCAAAATCCTCTTTCTCTCATTTCCATCCAGCTGTCCTAAACTCTGTCTTTCAGGGCCATACAGAACACAAACAACCCCTGTTCAACATGACAGTTTTTCTAATCTCTAAAGACAGTTTTCATATTGCCCCTCAGTCTTCCCTACTGCCAGTTAAACAGCCCAGGACTTCTAACTATTTTCCAGATGACATGGTTTCAGATCACCTAACGTCCTCTGGGTTCCCTTTTTTGGGTCATCTTTGATCTTCTCAACTCAGAGAGGATTTCAGGCTCTATTTAGATTCCTCCTCCCTTATCCTATTGTCAGAAATTGCCTCCAGGTAGAAAGCCAAGGCAATTATAGGGTTCTTTTCACTTATGTCCATTTTCCCAGGGATCACAATCATGTACTTCCTGAAATAAGTTATTTTATGTATCTTGTCCACTTTCTAGTTACTCACAGTGGGAGGATAAGTCTGGTTCTTGTTATCACATTATGGCTGAAAGTGGACATCCACGCATGTTCAAACAAAGCTTTCAACATTTTACCGTTAACTGTGATATTATAAATGTTCCCCTTAATATTGTGGGCAAGCAAGGGTGCTTGATACCACCATGTCCTTACAAAATTATACTGGAGTTCCTAGTGAAAGCAGTAACGCATAAAAAAATATGAAGATTGGAAATGAAGGAAAAAAAATCTGTCATCATTTGCAGTTTGCATGTTTGTCTAGATAAAAATCCCAAAATATCTACACAAAAATCCTAAAGTATATACATTTAAAATGAACCTTTAAAAAAATGTGATGGCATAAAATACTACTAATGATAGCAACAGAAAATGTAAAGTACCCAAAAATAAAGCTAACCACAAATAGAAAAGACCTCTATAGAGAAAATTATAAAAACTTTACTTAAAGAAATCAAGGACTTAAGAGACATACAATGTTCATGGATCAGAAGATTCAATATTGCAAAGATGAGAATTCCCCCCACTTGATACACGGTTTCAATGGAGTTATGATCAAAATTCTAGCAGAGCTTTTTTGGTACTTAACAAGTTGATTATAAAATTATTATAATCTGGCCAGGTGCGGTAGCTTACACCTGTAATCCCAGCACTTTGGGAGGTCGAGGCAGGCAGATCACAAGGTCAGGAGATCAGGACCATCCTGCTAACATGGTGAAACCCCATCTCTACTAAACATACAAAAAAATTGGCCAGGAGTGGTGGTGGGCGCCTGTAGTTCCAGCTACTTGGGAGGCTGAGGCAGGAGAATGGCATGAGCCCAGGAGGCGGAGCTTGCAGTGAGCTGAGATTATGCCACTGCACTCCAGCCTGGGCGACAGAGCGAGACTCCATCTCAAAAAAAAAAAAAATTATTATAATCTCTACTAATTAAGTTAGTGGGTATTGGTATAGGGATATTCAAATAGAGAAATGTAACTGAAAAGAGAGGCATGAAAGAGAACCACATATATAGAGAAGCTTAGTTTATGATGGAGTTGGTATTGGAGATTAATGTGAAAAGGACAGATATTTCAGTAATTGGTTAGCCACATGGGAAATAAAAAGAAATGTGATTCTGTGTTAGCCATGTTGCTGCAATTATGCTGTGTAACAAACAACTTCCCAAATCTCAGTAGCATATAATGACAAACATATATTTGTCACACAGAGGTCTATAAGTCACACAGAGGTCAGATCAGGTCTACTCCACATGTCTCTCATTCTCTGACCCAAGCTGAAGGAGTGTGGCCACCCGGGGCATGCACTTCTCATGTTGCAGGTAAGGAATACACGAGAGTAAATCAAACCACACATTTAAAGTTTCTTATTGGGTGGGACATACATTATATCTGCTCACATTCTAATCACCAAAACAAGTCACGTGGTTAAGCTCAAAGACAGGGGGGAAGTGGAGTACATTCTACCCAAAATGAATCATGGCACAGGCAGGAAGGAAAGAAAGAATTCTGAGCAAATATTACAAATTACTACAGATTCTACCTCACACCATACCAAAAAAATCAATTTGAGGAGGCTTAAAGACATAACTTATGAAACATTTAAGAGACTATATAGGAAAATATCTTTATGTTCTTAGGGTAAGAAGGAAATTCACAAATATGAAGCATAAAACAGAAACTATAAAAGATTGATAATTTTAATTGAGCTGCTATTCATGAGAAATTCAAAGTGAGATAAGACATTCACAATATATATCAGTGGCAAAGAATTAGCATTCAGAAAACACAAAGTACCCCTATAAATAAATAAGGAAAAAATAGACCTATTCACACCAGGAACTTGGTATTTGACAGAATGGCATCACAAATCAGTGAGGAAAATCTGGATTATTCAATACAGGGTGCTGATACAATTGGCTGTCTACATGGGGAAAGATAAAATGAGATCCCTACTTCAGTCTATATGCCAAGATAAATTCTAGATAATTTTAAAAGCTAAATATGAAAAGCAGCATTTTATAACTTTAAAAGAAAATGTAGCATATCATTATTACATTGATAAAGAGGGTTTTCAATGAATATTGAAAAGAGAAGTCATAAAAGTTGGTAAGTTTGGCTACATTTTTTAAAAAACTTATAAAAGTCAAAACACTCCTGGCCAAGCATTGTGGCTCACACCTGTAATCCCAGCACAATGGGAGGCCAAGGTGGGCGGATCACCGGAGGTCAGGAGTTCCAGACCAGCCTGACCAACATGGTGAAACCCCATCTCTACAAATATACACAAATTATCCAGGCATGGTGGTGCACACCTGTGCACCACCAGAGCGAGATTCCCTCTAAAAAGAACAAACCAAACAAACAAAAACCTCCCTAAACAATGTTAAACGTGAAGTTATAGAGCAGAATTTTTTTTTTTTTTTGGAGACGTAGTCTCGCTCTGTCACCCAGGCTGGAGTACAGTGGCGCGATCTCGGCTCACTGCAACTTCTGCCTCCCGGGTTCAAGTGATTCTCCTGCCTCGGCCTCCCGAGTAGCTAGGACTACAGGTGCATGCCGCCCGGCTAATTTTTTGTATTTTAATAGAGATGGGGTTTCACTGTGTTGCCCAGACTGGTCTCGAATGCCTGAGCTCAGGCAGTCCACCCACCTCGGCCTCCCAAAGTTCTAGGATTACAGGCATGAGCCACCCCGCCAGGCCTTTTTTTTCTTTTTTTTTTCTTTTTGAGACAGAGTCTCGCTCTGTTGCCAGGCTGGAGTGCAGTGGCACGATCTCGGCTCACTGCAACCTCTGCCTCCCAGGTTCAAGCGATTCTCCCGCCTCAGCCTCCCAAGTAGCTGGGATTAAAGGCACCCACCACCATGCCCAGCTAATTTTTGTATTTTTGTAGAGATGGGTTTCACCATGTTGGCCAGGCTAGTCTTGAACTCTTGACCTCAGGTGATCCACCCCCTTTGGCCTCCCAAAGTGCTGAGATTACAGGCATGAGCACTGCACCTGGCTGGAAGATTTTTTTTTTCTTTTTTTTTTTTTTGAGACAGAGTCTCACTCTGTCGCCCAGGCTAGAGTGCAGTGGCGCAATCTCGGCTCACTGCCAGCTCCGCCTCCCAGGTTCACGCCATTCTCCTGCCTCAGTCTCCCAAGTAGCTGGGACTACAGGCGCCCGCCACCACGCCCGGCTAATTTTTTGTATTTTTAGTAGAGACAGGGTTTCACCGTGTTAGCCAGGATGGTCTTGATCTCCTGACCTCGTGATCCGCCCGCCTCGGCCTCCCAAAGTGCTGGGATTACAGGCGTGAGCCACCGTGCCCAGCCGCCAGAAGATATTTTTAACATGCCAAGAAGACAAAGATTAAATATCCAGAATATTTCAAAGATGTCCTATACGCACTACAAAACACTGCTGAAGAGAGCTTGGTGCATTTGAAGAACAACAAAGTGTTTCTTGTGGTTGTAGCAGAGTGGTGTGTGTGTGTGTGTGTGTGTGTGTGTGTTACTCCCGTCTTTACATGATAAATTCCTTTGACTTAGAATGCCCTTTCACCATTTTGTTCCTGGAGTTAGAAAATACCTCATGAAAATTAGCATGACCTTCCTTTATGCTTCTCTGGTTTGTTTTATACTCTCTATTAGACAAATTTTAAAATATTATAATTCATTGAGAGTACCATTTTGCCTCCCCCTACTCCCTACTCCAAATATGAGTTTTTCCTGTTTGATTAAACAGCCTTTGAATATGTGTCACAGATCCAGCTCTGTTCTAGGTACTTTAGAATAAAGATGAATGCTTGGTTGTTTCCAGGCTATGCTGTAAATTCTAAGGAAGGGGGTTAAGGACAGGATTCTTGGAGGCAGTATGATGTGATCCCAGAGACAGGAGATAGGAAAAGGTAAGCACATGTTCTAGATGTGTTTAAATTCTCATCAAATAGGAGGCGACGCCATTCTCTGATGAGGAAGGAGATATGAAATCAGACACCCAAAGAGGCTTTCTAGAGGACATCCTAACTTTTGATAGATGTTTCCACCATCTGGGTGGCGTCCTCTTCTCCATCCCTCTGTTTTCTCAGAAGCAGTTGCTGGGGTCCCAGAGGGATGCACACAGTGGCTATAGGTGCTCACAGATCCACAGTGAAACACTCTTATCTAACCCTGGAAGGTTTTGCTGCTTGAAAACCTTTATGCCTTCATCCTAAGATACAAGGTTGCAAATAGCACCAAGAGCTGGAAACAGATGCCAGCTGAAACCTAAGAACAGACACAGTGCATGAGCAGTGTCCTACCAGGACCACCACTCGGCTCTTGGCAGTGGCAGCCCTCCTCCTCCTGGCTCTGGCAATGACCATCAGTTGCTTCATCTTCTGAAAAGGAAAACTACCCAGTTGGCCAAGCCAGATCTCCAGGAAGGAGGTGTCTCTGTCTCCTGCTTTGAGATCAGTCCTTCCACTGCTCCATCCAGGGAGCCCCAGAGAAAGTAATGTGTGAGTTGAACACACTGAAAATCTGTAGCTAGCACAGGTCAGCAGTTGAAAACAGCATGTATACAATGGCTTTCACCTACACTGTTAAAAGGCGGGCACATGCCCAATAAATGTTTATTGAGTGCCATTAGGTGCCCGGCACTGGGTCATGCACTGACAATGGGAAGGCGAATGACAAAGATAGGCTTCCTGCTGTCATAGCGTTTACAGACAGCTGGAAGCGTGTGATGGTTAATTTTTTGTGTCAGCTTGGCTAGTACTGAGTTATTTAATCAAACACTAATGTAGGTGTTGTTTGCTTTGAAGCTATTTTATAGATGTGGCTAACATCTACAATCTGTTAACATTGAGTAAAACAGGTTGCTCTTTTACTGTGTGGGAATGTCTCAGCCAGTCAGTTAAAGGCCTTATGAACAAAACTAAGATTTTCCTGAGGAAGTAGAAAGTTGACCTCAAGATTGCAACATCAGCTCCTGCTTGAGAGTTCCAGCCTGCTGGCCTGCCCGACAGAATTTGGATTTGTCAGTTCCCACAACTGTGTAAGCCAACTCCTTGAAATAAATCTCTCTCCGTGTGTGTGTGTGTGTGTGTGTGTGTGTGTGTGTGTGCGTGCGCGCGCGCGCATGCGCGCATGTGCATGCGCCCACGTTCATCTCTGGCACGAGACCCACATACAAAGGTGGTGTCCTAAGGTGTATGATTGGGGAAACTGCATGTGGTGCTTAGCACTGTAAGCCTAAGGCAGACTGTCCAGATAGGAACCTTGGATCCATCATGTACTAGATGCACCCTGACCTTGGGTCAACTCCTACATTCTCTAACCCTCAGTTTTCATCTGTAAAATGGAGGTAGTATCTCCCTCACAGGGTTATTGCAAAGAGTCAAAGAGATTAAGTATCTCACGATATTTAAGAGGTTAAATGCCCATGACCAACACAGCAAGTAAATATGAAGCCAGGATTTAAACTCATGTTTGTCTGCACTGCGTATGCCCTTTACCCGCTGCCATATCACCTTGGTCTTTGGGAATTACACTTCAGTTATCAGCTCTTTAACAGACACAGTTGCTGTAGACCACTCCTACATTGTTACAGCTTCGACTCTGCTCTACAGAGATGCCTCTTAAATGTATACCTTTGGCCTAATCCTGAGGTTGAGTTCCAGGTTTCCACTGCACTTTGCTAATTTGATATGCTCCATTGGCTTCAAATCTGACATATCTTAAATTCAAGCTCATCATCGAAGCCTCACCATTGACAAGTCCTGGCTTCACCTCTCTCTAGTTATATGACCCCGGGAAAGCTACTGATCCCCCAATCCTCAGTTTCCTCACTTGTTAAATGGCAGGGTTTGCCAAGATCAGGAAGGTAGACACATAGCACTCATAGTTCTTCTTATGTCTGACTGTGTCTACGGTACCTGTCTTGCTTGATCTCTGTACATTGTGGGTATTATATTGTACTTATTTATTCAGCATCTATTCATTCCCTGGCACTGATTTTGACTAATTTCACAATAAGATGCATGGATTTAGTCCTAACTCACCACTTGTAGGAAAACCATCATTTCTTACTAAACCAAGTAAATTGGCTGCTCCAGGATGCGTTGGTTTCATTTACATCATATGTTAGTATATTGCCATCTAGAGGACCAAGTGCAAGCTACAAGCAAGAGGGAACTGGGGCTTGGGGAGAAAGGCAACATCCTAGAAGAAATGTTTAAAAAACATTAAGACTCATTCGTAGCTGTGTTGAATTTCAACGATTATGTGAAAAAAATAAATAACAGGATGTGTTTTAACTATAAATTAGAAATGAATGCTATAGTAAGTTACTGGCTCATAAACTTATGATCTCTGTTAAAAAAATTTATAGGAGGTCGTTGGTTTGAAGTAAGTTCCTGCACTAGGCCCCAGTAGACCAAACCAAAATGGAGTTACTCACGGTGAAGTTCCAGGCCACCAAGCCAAAACTACATTGTTATCTGACCTTCCAAGAAATCAGGAGTGAGAGGGAGATAATAGCCACATCTCCGAACAGCCAGTTTTAGCCTGCCTGATAAGGAAGTCCCCCTACTTTAACCTTCACAAGGAAAGTAACTTTGAAAAAACCAATCCACTTTGTGTTCTTTGTTTCTGCATTCTTCAGCCTTTTTCTGCCTGTAAATACTCACTGCCCATGTTTCAGAGCAAAGCCCAATTCCCATGAATCATTCTTTGCTCCGTTACATTTATTTTGTTTAAAGTTTTTCTTCTATCTTTAACTTGTTCTAAACAAAATAAAAAATAAAATGAAATCAGCATTCTTTCCTATAATTGACTGTTTTGCTGCATTTGGATTATCCATGCCATATACTAGATGAGAATCTAAATTAAAAGAGGAGCCACTTAACTAGGGGTTAGCTCCCCTGACTGCTGCACCTTTAGCTTAGCAATTCGGTTTTCCATCTGAGCAAGTTACCATTATCGAGGGCTTACTGTGGGCTTGGGACTATACTGAACATTTTACATGAGTTATCTCATTTAATCCTCACAAGCTCCTCCCACCTCGAGGGTAAGTATTTACTTGTGCTTATGACTCTCAGCCTGCTGCTTCATCTGTAAAAATGGGATAAGTGACTTTCTCAAAATCTAAAAAAGGATATTGAACTGGATCCACAACTCAGATCTGCCTGAATCAAATACAAGTTCTTAATGATTACAGTTTACTAAATACAACAGCTTCTGCATTCTAAGAATGTCACGAGGATGAAACAATTCGTGGAAAGCACTTTTTGGAGAAAAACAATGTTCGAATGCTTACATAACAGAATGTTCACACAAAAAATAGGTGTAAAGTGATGTATATTCTATTGGGATAACCAATCGCTTTACAAAAGCATTCAGTAAGGATTGCTTTTTCAGTAAACAGTAGTGGTATCTTTTCTTTCAATCTGATTCCAGGTTTGTCAATTTTGCTAATCCTTTCAAAGAACCAACTTCTAGTTTTGTTGTTTTCTCTACTGTTTTTCAAGTCTTTATGTTTTTTCTTTCCTTTCTAATCTATTATTTCCTTCCTTCTGCTTACTTTGATTTACTATGGTCATCTTCTAGTTTCTTAAGATGAAAGGTGAGACTTGATTTGAGATGTCTTGTTTAAAAAAAAATAAGTGTTTACAGTTATGGATTTCTCTATAAACACTGTTATAGCTGCATCCCATAAGTGTTGGTATGTTGTGTTTTCATTTTCATTAATCTCAAAGTATTTTCTAATTTCCCTTGTGATTTCTTCTTTGACCCACTGGTTATTTAGCAGTATGTTGTTTAATTTTCACATCTTTGTGAATTTCCCAAATTCCCTTGTGTTGTTCATTTCTAATTTAATTCCATTTTGACCAAAGATTATACTTTGTATGACTTCGATTATTTTAAATTTATTGAAGCCTGTTTTATGGCCTAACATATAGTCTATCGTGGAAAATGTTCCATGTTCATTTGAGTAGAATGTGTATTCTGCTGTTGTTGGACAGAGTCTCTACAGATGTCTGTTGGGTTTTTTTGTTTGTTTGAGATGGAGTCTCATTTGTCACCCAGGCTGGAGTGCCGTGGCGTGATCTTGGCTCACCGAAGCTTCCACCTCCCGAGTTCATCCTGCCTCAGCCTCCCAAGTAGCTGGGATTACAGGCATGCGCCACCACACCCAGCTAATTTTTGTATTTTTAGCAGAGACGGGGTTTCACCATGTTGGCCAGGCTGGTCTCGAACTCCTGACCTCAAGTGACCTGCCCGCCTCAGCCTCCCAAAGTGCTGGGATTACAGAAATCAGCCACCGTGCCTGGCAGATTTAGTTTGTTTATAGTGCTTTTGAATCCTCTTTTTCCTAATCATCTGCCTACTTCTATGCATTATTATAAATGAAGTGTTGATGTCTCCAGCCACTATTGTTAGATTTTCTGACTTCTTTACCTTTAACTAGCAAAGCAACTCAGTTTTTCTTTCTAAATAAGAGTTATCATTATCAAGTGCTTACCGTGTACCTGGGACTAAGCTTACTCTTTTATGTGGATTATCTCATTTAGTTATTAATAATTATTAAGAGTAAATTGTTATGCCAGGCTCAGAGGCTCACGCCTGTAATCCCAGCACTTTGGGAAGCCAAGGGAGGCAGATCACTTGAGGTCAGGAGTTTGAGACCAGCCTGGCCAACATGGTGAAATCCTATCTCTACTAAAAATACAAAAATTAGCCTGGCATGGTGGTGCAGGCCTGTAATCCCAGCTACTCGGGAGGCTGAGGCAGGAGAATTGCTTGAACCTGGGAGCGGGGGGGTCGCAGTGAGCCGAGTCAGCACCACTGCACTCCAGCCTGGGTGATAGAGTGAGACTCTGTCTCAAAAAAAAAAAAGTAAATTAATTGTTAATAATTATTCAGTTGTTAATAATTATTCATTATGGAGAGTTTTGTCAGCTTTTGTTTCATGTGTGGGATTTTTTAAGTGCATATTTGTTTTTAAGTGTTATGTTTTTCTGATGAATTGGTCCTTTTACCAATGTGTGATGTCCTTCTTTGTCCCTTGAAACAGTTTTTGCCTTAAAATCTACTGTTTGACATTGGCATAGTCACTCCAGCTATCTTTTGATTGCTGCTTGCATGGTATATCTGTTTCTATACTTTCACTTTCTACCTGTGTCTTTGAATCTAAAGTGTGCCTCTTGTAGACAACATATAGTTGGATCATGTTTTTTGCCGATCTGTTTTTTGGGTTTTTTTTGAGATGGAGTCTCGCTGTCACCCACGCTGGAGTCCAGTGGTGTGATCTCAGCTCACTGCAACCTCCGCCTCCTGGGTTCAAGTGATTCTCATCCCTCAGCCTCCAGAGTAGTTGGGATTACAGGTGCCCACCACCACACCCAGCTAATTTTTGCATTTTTAGCAGAGATGGGGTTTCACCGTGTTGGCCAGTCTGGTCTTGAACTCCTGACCTCAAGTGATCCGCTCACCTAGACCTCCCAAAGTGCTGGGATTACAGGCGTGAGCCACTGTGCCCAGCCGCAAATCTGTCTTTTGACTGAATTATTTAACTGGTTTTCTTCTAATATAATTACTGATAAGGTGGGAGTCATTTGTGGGATATCTGCTCTTTTCCTTTTATGCATCTTATGTCTTTTGATTTAATTTCTCCACTACTGCCTTTTGTATTAAATAGGTATTTTCTAGTATATCATTTTGATTTCCTTCTTGTTCCTCTTATTGTATTTTTTGAGTTTTTTTTCTTAGAGGTTGCCCTAGGGACTATGATTAATATCTTAACATAAAGTAGGTTCAGATTAATGCCAACCTAATTTCAATAATACTCAAAAACTTTGGTATAGCTCTATTCCCTTCCTCCTCCTTTGTGCTATTATCATCATACAAATTGCATCTTTTATAAGTTATAACCCTATCAACATTATTTCATAAGTATTGCTTTATGTAGTTGTCTTTTAGGTCAGACAGGAAAAGAATTACAAACAAAAATACATTTATACTATATTTCGTATTTACCTATGTAGTTACCTTTAATGATGCTTTTTATTTCCTCATGTGGATTGGAGTTATTGTCTAGTGTCCTTTCATTTCAGTCTGAAGGATGTCTTTTAGCATTTCTTGTAAGGCAGGTCTGCTAGCAGTGAATTCTTAGTTTTTATCTGGGTATGTTTTAATTTCCACTTTTTTTTTTTTTTGAGAGGGTGTCTCACTGTGTCACCCAAGTAGGGGTGCAGTGACACAATCAAGGCCTCAACCTGCCAGACTCAAGTGATCCTCCTGCCTCAGCCTCCTGAGTAGCTGGGACCACAGGCACATGCCCCCACACCCAGCTGTTTGTTGTATTTTTTATAGAGATGGCTTTTTGCCATGTTGCCCAGGCTGGTCTCAAATTCCTGGGCTCAAGCAATCCTCCTGCCTCAGCCTCCTAAAGTACTGGGATTACAGGTGTGAGCCACCATGCTCATCCTTTCTTATAGTTTTGAAGGATAGTTTTGCTGGATCTAAAATTCTCTGTTAAGTTTTTTCTTTTAGCACTTTGAATATGTCATTCTACAGCCTTCTGACCTCTGTAGTTTCTGATGAGTGGTAGGCATTTAATCTTACACAGGATCCCTTGTATGTGATAAGTTGTTTTTCTCCTGCTACTTTAATGATTGTCTTTGTCTCTGGCTTTTGACAGCTTGATTGTAATGTGTTTAGTAATAGATCTCTGAGTTTATCCTAGTTATAATTTGTTGATCTTCTTGAATGTGTAGCTCATGTATTTCATTGAATTTGGGAAGTCTCAGCCATTATTTCCTCAAATATTATTTCTGCCTTTTTCTTTTCGTTTTCTGGAACTCCTTTAATGCATATGTTGGTAACTTGATAGCATGCCACAGATCCCTCAAGCTCTGTTCACTCTTCATTCTTTTTTCTTTCTGTTCCTCGGACTGGATAATTACATTTGTCCTATTTTCAAATTTGCTGATTCTTCTGCCTGTTTAAATCTGTAAAGCCCTCTAAGAAATTTTTCAGCTCCAGAATTTTTCATGTTTTCTATTTACTGATACTTTCACTTTGTTTATACATTATTTTCCTTTCTCGTGTTCTTTGTCCATGGTTTACTTTAGTTTTTAAAGCATATTTAAAGGTTGACAAACTTTTTGTTTAATAGATCTAATGTCTGGGTTTTCTCAGGGATGGTTTCTGTTTTCTAAGTTTTTTCCCCCATATATAGGCGGCTGTAATTGCTGTTTCTTCACGTCTTTTGTTGTTGTTGAAAACTGGAAAATTTAAATAATATAAGGTGGCAACTCTGCAAATCAGATTTGTCCCACACCCCCCATCTTTGTAGAGTTTGTTACTATTTGTTATTTTTATTGCAATGGTGGTATGTCTAGTACCTTTCCTCGACTAATTCTGTTTAGTCTGTGTTCTTTGTCATGTTGCAGTCACCAAAATCTCTGCTTGGTTACTTTAGTCTTGAGCATATGATTAGACAGGGATTTCCTTAAGTGGTTGAAGCATAAGTCTCTCACCTTTACCTGACTTTCTAGCTCCCAAGAATATTTTGACACTTTTCAAAGCCTCTGTAGACATCGCACTCCCCTTTTTTCAAGTTTTCTGGCCAGTCTCATTTGTCCCAACTAGTATAGCCATGTCAGGCAACTGTGCTGTTTAAATAATTGCCACCAATTGTTTATAACAAACAACCTGAGGATAGTTTCCTCATTGAGTGACCTGAGTTGGGTTAAATGAAGACAAGCCCTGTGATTGGGACTATTCCAGGGAGCTGCCAGACAGGTCAAGGAGTGACAAATCTCTGGGGATGGGGCTTCTTGGATAACTCCAAACCTATCTTGGGGGGGACTCTAAATTCCTTCAGTGGTTTCTAGGCTACTGGTTTTCACAGCTACTGTGGTCTCAAGGTTGCTGATTTTCAAGGCTACTGTGGAGCTGAGAAGAAAATGGGGACAGGACAAGTTAAAACACCACAAACCTTATTGATCATACGGAAAGTCAGCTTTTTTCTCAAATACATTTTCTTTGGGTTGTTGCAATCGTTTGGTTAATTTCCAGAGTTTAAAAAAGTTTATTTTGATCATTCCTGCCAGTGTCCTCATTGATTTTATGCAGAATCAGATATTCAAAGATCCATACTCCACCATTCTGGAAATGTTTCTCTACGATTTTTTTTAATGGGATATATAGGATTTCTCTTAAATTAATATAAGCAGCATCTACTACATTCACTTAGAACACTAGATATTACCACCCATGATAGACCATCTAAATGAGAAAACTGCTTCTCTTCTCAAATTTCATAGAATGTCCATGCTGGTTTCCAAAGCACATGGCATCTACCTTCAGTAAGCAACACAGAATATTAGAACACCAGAGTTCAAGTTCGTATCTATACACTCTTCAGCTCCAACTAAGAGGGCCTAAGGGACAGACTGTTCATCAATGACTGTAGACTAATGGTTTTCACCCCTTCAGGCCCACAGCCACTTTTTATCAGAAATATTTTTAAACATGTTTTATTATTCTAAAACACAAACAATATAACTTACGTGAGGCATATTTTTAAATCATCTATCATGATTAAAGGTATCTTTAATATCTAACTGTAATGTAACAGACAAATAAAAGGAAGCAACTTACGGTAATGTGTAATTCAAACTGGAGATGGCCAAAACTCCTGATGACACAATCATTAGATGCTTGCACATGTACATATAATTACCATTAATGTGCCCACTACAAATGCAGACTACTGCAGTAGTTTTGACCTGGAACTCAAATGCCATGAGCAATGTTGCCACTAGTGACAGTTTTTAAAATGATAGAAAACTCTTGGTTACGTACTGAACAAAGACTACGACCTTCCCTCACTTAACTGGTAATTGCATTTTTGAGCAAATCAAGTACTGCAGATCTACAACAAAAATATAAAATGGAGTTATAATCTAAGCTCAAAAAATTATTGTCAATGTCCACCCGTCAGAGATCATGAGGAACAGATCTGCAGTTGAATCGAGTTGGGTTTATCAGCACACTTTTACACAAGAGAGATCACACACCATGGGGAACCATGGGGTGCCTCAGTATGAGGGTGCTGGGAAGGGCTTTTTAAAGGATTTGGGGTTGTGTTGGGTGATTTCAAGAAGGGCTCCATGAATCATGGTTTTACTCTGGATTAAGTGCTTTCAGAAAGCAAGGGAAATTCTAAATGAGTGTAAATATTGAAATTTTTAATCTAGGAGGAAGAAGGAACAGAGTGATCTAATGGGTAATGGAGCAAATATCACACATATAAGCCAAGAGACAAGAATGTTTGGTCGCTCTATGATTTACACAGAATCTTGCTAAGTTCCAACATGCCTATGGAGTGTCTTAATTTTTGTCTTCCTCCACCACACTCAGAGTGGACTTGTCAGATGTTGGTGTTATATAACATTGTTTATATTCAACAGAATATAATAGCCTAGCCATTAGGGCTAAATCAGCTTCCAGCTGACAGCTGTAGGGGTTGCTCTTCCTTTCTCATTATAAACAGGATTTCTATGTACATAATTATTCAGCGAGGTTCAAAGAAGTCATGAGATACAGGACAATTCTTTGTTGTCTAAAACTGTCCTATGCTCTTCAGGCACCTAGCATCTCTATTCACTTTCACTCACATTTCATTGGCCATTGTTAACCACATGGCCTCAAATTAATTAAGGAAGCTGAGAAATGTAGAACAAATGGAATGTTTAGTGAGCATTACTATCTCTACTACATGCAACCTTCAATAAATTATTTTACTTCTCTCAGTATTAGTTACCTACCTGTAACATGAGGTTACATGGTACATAATGGTCATTCTTCCCTCTTGGGGAGAATCACATGAGATAATACATAAAGGAACTTTAATAAGCTCTAAGAGTTATATAGATTTAAAAGGCCCATAGTACCTATATGTTGGAGTTAATGTGCCATCACTTCTACACACACACACACACACACACACACACACACACACATACACCCTTACCTATTTAGAGGTCTGGGTCAAAGAATACATACTCTGGGGGATGTAGAATTAGAATGTGATTTTACTAGGGCCAGGCGTGGTGGCTCACACCTGTAATCCCAGCACTTTGGGAGGCCAAGACAGGCAGATCACCTGAGGTCGGGAGTTCAAGACTAGCCTGACCAACACAGAGAAACCCTGTATCTACTAAAAATACAAAATTAGCCGGGCGTGGTGGTGGGCACCTGTAGTCTCAGCTACTTGGGAGGCTGAGGCAGGAGAATCACTTGAACCCGAGAGGTGGAGGTTGCAGTGAGCCAAGATTACGGCACTGCACTCCAGCCTGGGCAACAAGAGAGAAACTCCATGTCAAAATAAAAAAACAAAAATGTGATTTTACTTCCATTTTACTAGCACCATTCAGTCAATTCACCTGTATCCAAGGCTGACCCAGGGAAAAAAAATGGAAAACCACTTATCCTCAGTCTCTCCTAATTTCTTCAGTCTTAATGAAATGATTAAAGTGTCACAGATTTTATTTTCTAAAGACTATCTCCCATCCCACATACTTCTTATTATAATGTAATCTTAACACTCCTCTCATCAAGTACTGGGCTCTATGTACCATTCTATTGAAGCTGGATGGACCTTGGTTACTGCTTCATCCAATGAAGTATGACAGAAGACACATCATGTGAATTCCAAGACTAATCATTAAAATGCCATGCACTTCTCTTGCTCTCTTGGAAGGCTCATTGTTAGAACCCAGTGCCAGGTTGTGAAGAAGTCAAATGTGCCCACAGGGAGAAACTACACAGTGTAGGTGTTCCAACCGAGAGCCTAGCTGAGGCCACAGCTGACAGCCAATGTCAACCTCCAGGCCAGTAGCTGAAAAGCTCCCTGCCACTCCCTGGCTCCTTCCCCAGCCATCACTGTGCTCCATCCAAATTCCTGTCCCACACAATTTGTGAGCATAATAAAATGACTTTTCACCAGTAATTCTAGGAGTGGAGTTTTACGTAGCAACAGCATCTGAACAGTGCAACTCGGCAGCAACTACAATATTTACTTAATTACTACATAAAGGACAACTAGGTATTTACTAAATTATTACATCTCTAATACTGTACTAACAACTGGAGTTGTTAGTACAATATGGAAAGTTACTTCAAATGGAAATAATCATGGATAATGCTCAAAGTGCACTGTATTGACAAGAATCCAGTTAGGCTATGAGCAACAGAGAAGCCAGAACATTAACACTTGAAGAAGGTAGTTCCTCCCTTCACTTTTATTAAAAGTTCAAACAGGTCGCCAGATACGATGGCTCACGCCTGTAATCTAAGTACTTTGGGTGGCTGAGGCGGGCGAATCACCTAAGGTCAGGAATTCGAGACTAGCCTGGCCATTGTGGTGAAATCCCGTCTCTACTAAAAATACAAAAATTAGCCAGGTGTAGTGGCAGGGTGGTAATCCCAGCTACTAGGGAGGCTGAGGCAGGAGAATCACTTGAACCCAGAGGGCAGAGGTTGCAATGAGCCGAGATCACACCACTGCACTCCAGCCTGGGTGACAAGAGCAAAAACTCTGTTTCAAAAAAAAAAATTCAGACAAGTAGTTCAGGGCTACTATACCCACAAGATGGGATTCAGACAGTATCTACCTCATTTCTCTGCTATTCACAAAACGAAGCCTTTATCACATAGTCCAAGATGGCTGCTCTAGTTTCTGCTATTGTGTCTACCTTTCAGGAAAAAGGGGGAAGGGATGGGCATGCCTCCTCCTTTTAAGGATACTTCCTGGAAGTGTATCCATTGGCCCAAACTTGGTGATGTGGCCACACCAAGATACAGCGATAAAATCTAGGAAAAGTTTTATCTTTATTCCAGGATGCCATTCCCTAGCTAATTAGGTGGGAAATCTGTAGAAGGAGAAAAACGAGTATTAGGGAATACAGGGTAGCTCCTACCACATGCATATTCTAAAATTCATTGTTACTTGGTTTAGGATGCAGTTCAAATAACACAGTTACCTAAAGAACTACACCAATGTATCCTTTGTTAGACTCTCAACCCTAAAGATTTAGGTTAGATCTTTCAGATTGTATTTTAAAATGTCTTTAGTGCAGTATCAATTCTCACCAGACAGAACAGCTAAGTAAAATAAACAAGCTCTTAACAAATTATTAATTTTTAAGAAAGGAAAGGGCATTTAGAGCAAATATTTTCTCTAAAAAATACTAATATATCATGTTTTATATCCTACAGATATTCCTGCAATCTGTTTTCCTTGGGAAAGTCACTCAATAACCTGAAGTTCAGTTATATCATCTAAAGTATTACATATTTATCATGAGGGTTAAATGAGATTACACATGTCAAATGCCTTGTAAATAGTAGAATTTTATACAAATATAAAGTTTTGCACCTTCAAAGCTATCACTCCAATAAGACACTTATTCAATTAAACAAATAATCTTAAAAACTATTTTAACAATGTACAAATATATTCACAACATAATCTGCTGATTAAGACTTCAACAAAGTTTATAATACCTACAACAGAATTTACAGATGCCTACAATAGTTTGTAGATTGGTTTAATTTACAGTTACATAGATTGCTTTAAGAAATACCATTAATACAAATGCATAATTTACAATATCCCCATTATAGCAAGAAAAAAATAGATTCAGAAAATAAAATGTCTTTTAGGCATTTATTATGCCAAGTATGTAAATTATTATTCTCATTATGACATGAGAATAATGCTCTTTTAGTGGTAAAAGATCTATTAGCTCAAGGTCCACTGAAGAGCTTTCAATCTAGCTATCCTTTCTGTAAAATAAATAGAACAGCAGCAATCTCTGGGTATTCCTTAAACTATGATGATTCCACTTATATTAACTGGGCCTTAAATAGATGACTTCTTACAAACAAAAATAAAATTTTATAAAGTAGTTAATACCACTGGCCCTAATTGTTTTCACTTGCTTGCATACGTCTAAGAAATTTCCCCACGAAGTGCATATTAAAAACTAACAATTATTTCTAACTTATACATAAGCCAAAGTGCTCACTCTTACCATAGAAGCAAAACTTTCTCCTGAAAACAATCTACAGAAATAATATGTAAACATATAGAGCTTTGAGACAGACTAAGAACATCCTCCTATGTTCTATGGATCAAAATGCAAAGGTCTCCATTACCTATGTAAATGAACACTTTCATTAACTTGGGATATACTGATATTACATGGCCGTGTGCATACCTATGGAATGTGCATACCTACACCACAGAACAAATCTTGACAATGTTTCTAGTGCCAACACATACTTTCTAGCCCCAACTGCTGGAAAGGAAATAAAAACTTAATATGAAAACTACTTTTCCTTTTTATAAATAAAGTTTTTAAGTGGAAAAACAAAGCCAACACTCCTCGTTGCAACATGGACTAAGCTCTAAAAGGTTGAGTCAAGAATCTCTTCAGTTGTTCCCCAATGTAACAAAGCACATAAGCTTTCTCTATTCAGGAAGTCTGATCATCTCCAGTGTTCTGCAAAAGACAAAAAAAAAAAACTCCTTAACATCAAAGTTATTTCACTTCACACACCATGGACTTGGGGACTAGGCCTAGGAAAACATTCTATATTTCTAAGCAGAGCATTACCTTACATACAATGGCCCAATCACATTAAAAAGTAGACATGCTAGGCTGGGCGCCGTGGCTTACACCTGTAATCCCAGCACTTTGGGAGGCCGAGGAGGGTGGATCATGAGGTCAGGAGATCGAGACCATCCTGGCTAACACGGTGAAACCCCGTCTCTACTAAAAATACAAAAAAGCCAGGCGTGGTGGCGGCGCCTGTAGTCCCAGCTACTCGGGAGGCTGATGCAGAAGAATGGCGTGAACCCGGGAGGCGGAGCTTGCAGTAAGCCGAGATCGCGCCACTGCACTCCAGCCTGGGCGACAGAGCGAGACTCCGTCTCAAGAAAAAAAAAAAAAAAAAAAAAAAAAGACCTAGTCACTTTTCCCAAGAAATTTAACCAATAATTATTTACCTATGACTACTACTCATCCTGCTGAAAACCCTGATGTTGGGGTATTATAGTAAAATCCTTATGTTCTAGGGGGAAAAAAACATCTGAGTACAAATGTTATGGTCTTCTTGTGATTCAACTGTTCTCCCTAAAACCATACAACATACAGGCTGGGCACGGTGGCTCACGCCTGTAATCCCAGCACTTTGGGAGGCCGAGGTAGGCAGATCACAAGGTCATGAGATGGAGACCATCCTGGCTAACACGATGAAATCCCATCTCTACTGAAAACACAAAAAATTAGCTGGGCGTGGTGGCATGCGCCTGTAATCCCAGCTACTCATAAGGCTGAGGCAGGAGAATCACATGAACCCGGGGGGCAGAGGTTGCAGTGAGCCAAGATTGCACCACTGCACTCCAGCCTGGGCGACAGAGCAAAACTCTGTCTCAAAAAAAAAAAAAAAAAACATACAACATACATTCTGCAAGGGCATTCACTTAAAGCTCCCATAATTGATGAAAAACAACTGAACTTAAAAGTAATTTTTAAAAAATAAGTTATTATCAATGATAGTTTATCCTTCCTGGCTTTAAAATAATTTTAGGATACTGACAATACACTTCCAGACTGTCTTGAACACCCCCAAAGAGCAATTACAACATCTTTATCATTATATTTATACAACTATATGCCTTTAAAACTTCTGTTCAGGAGCGTTTCATAAAAATTAAACTATGAAAGTTAGAAATAATTGCATTAGTCACTGATCACATCCAGAAAACACTTACTTGTCTTAAAAACTGCTTTCCAAAATATGAAGTAGCCATGCTGGTTAAATGCTTTCTGCTGCGCACCTTACACCTGATGTAACCATACAGGTTGGCACCTTGTAGCACCACACCCATGATAACCACCGCCTGGGACAAGGGAAAAAATAATCAATGGTTACTGGCCTGAAATTGACCTTTCTCTGTGCCATAAATGAGACAAGGCAGACTGTCATGAGAAAGAGAAGGAAGAGGAAGCTCTGCAAAGCCATGATTGTGCCAGTTGAGATTTTCCAGAGACAGTTGCCAGAACAGACCCATCTGATAGACGCTCTGCACAAGGCACGAGTCATTCACCCAGCAAATATTTACTGGACACAACTGCTCTTATGTGCCAGGCATCATGCTAGCTGCTGGGGATGCAGTGCAGGGGGAGCCTTCTTGCTCTCTGTTTCCCATTGGTCTGTGAGTAAAGTTAGGAAAAGTAAATGAGACTCAGGAAAGGTTCAAATGTTAATTATTCCTATAAGAATTACAAAAGAACAGTCAAGAGGTAGATCAAGTTCAATAAACTGAGAGCAGGTAGGGGTGAATCTCTGCTCTACGTGACAACTGGCTTCTGGTAGAGGGGATGCAATGCCCTAAGGCATAAATCAACCGATGCCTGCCTTCCCCGAGCAGGGAGACAGCTCCAAGGGGAACTGTACTTTTGCAGAGCTGTTTGTTCCTTTGAGTTTCATTTTCTCACCTATGGTCATCCCACTAGGATCAATGAGAAGTGAGAAAAAGAAACTCAAAACCCATTCTTTAAAAATTTCTAATTAATCTTAATTAGAAAAATTGAGACAATGTGAGGGATTCCCAAGGTTAAAGACTCTAATACAGGGATCAGCAAAGTTCTCCTGTAAAGGGTCAAATCATAAATATTTCAGACCATACGGTCTCTGTTGCAATTACTCAACTCTGCTGTTCTAATCCGAAGGCAGCCATAGACAATATATAAGTGGGCAAGGCTGTTTTTCAATAAAAACTTACAAAAACAGGTGTCGGGCTGGATTTGGTCTGCAGGCCATAGTTTGCCAACCCTTGTTCTGGAATAAACAGCTCATCGACCATTCTACTCTTTTATATCTGTGACAAGCAAAGCAGCTCAATGAAATGTCGTTTTCCAATCTAGATTTATTCTCCTTACCCTTAACAAGATGTATAGCTGATTTTAATGTTTAATTAATAGATTTAAATGTTTGATTAATGAACAGGTTTCACATTCCTAGTAAAAGAAGAGGAGGTGGTACTTTCTGTTCTAAACTTATGTTTCATGGAATTAAACGTGTTAGTGTAATAAGAGGGTGCTAGTTTCCTAAATAAATATAAAACTGTGTATTTATTTGAATAAATTTCCTTTTAATTTCCCATGCTTCTCAAATGGGGCACTGCTGGGTATGTATATATCAACATGCCAGGGTACACCTCAATTCAAAGACCAATCATGGGTCCTGCTAAGGCATCGATTTACTCAATGGCAACAAATGTTAAAATCTGTAAGTTAAACTTCTGGTTTAAGATGGTGCAGTGAAGTCAGACATGAAGATCTCCCTCCCCTTAAGGTACAAACAGCAAACAGCATTTTTAAAAACACAAATAAACTAATACCAACAAACATAAAAAAGGGCTGGTGGCCAAAGAAAGAGCCAGGTTGGAGCAGCTCTACATAGCTCCAAACTCTGCAAAGAAGCTCTAAGGAAAATTTCACTAATTACCATCCCCAGGAACTTATAGAAAAGCAAAAGACCCGAGAAAAAAATGCAGAAACAGCCATGACAGCAGAAACTCCTCCCAACTAACAATGACCCAAACAGGCAGGAAAATCCCTGCAGCTGGCCATAGTGGTGCCACCGGGTGGGAAGAAGGCAGGAGAGGAAGCGCAGAAGGATCATTAATCATGAGAGATGATCATCTTAAGAGAAGTGAGGAGGTGGGAGACTCATGGAGAGACTGGGTGAAGCCCATTCCCGTCCTGTGGTCTTAACCCATTTATTTTTATTATTTTTATTTATTTATTTTTTGAGATGGAGTCTCGCTCTGTTGCTCAGGCTGGAGTGCGGTGGCACGATCTTGGCTCACTGCAAACTCTGCCTCCTGGGTTCACTCCATTCTCCTGCCTCAGCCTCCCGAGTAACTGGGACTACAGGTGCCTGCCACCACACCCGGCTAATTTTTTGTATTTTTAGTAGAGACAGGGTTTCACCATGTTAGCCAGGATGGTCTCGATCTCCTGACCTCGTGATCCGCCCGCCTTGGCCCTCCCAAAGTGCTGGGATTACAGGCATGAGCCACCATGCCGAGGTCTTAACCCATTTATGCTGTAGGCTGCAATTTTGTGAATTTTTGCATGAGTGAAAAATCAGACCTTGGTGATGACCTTGAGCAGTAGGATATAAATAACTCCTACATGCTTAGTGTTCCAATAATGGAACACTAGGCATAAGTAGGTTAACACAGGATCAAACTGGCTTTCACATAACCTCTCCCTGTTTTGTTTTAAGGAAGTAGAAACACTGCTAGAAAAAGACTGGGCTGACTCTCTTGGATGGATGCTAAAGCTCTAAGGTCTTACAAACAATCCAAAGCAGAAGGGAAGAACCAGAAGAGAGTGCACAGCCAACCAGCAGACAAGAGCCCCACTAAGGAAGAGAACGCAAAACCAGGCAGCCCAGCCAAGAGAGCAAGAGCCTGGCAAGTTCTCCACATCGCACATCACACCTGTGTCTTCAGGCCACCAAACCCAGCACTGCAACTCCAGCTCAGAGCAGCAGCCACGTGCCTCAGACATCAGGAGAAGGTGGTCAAGGGGGATTCACCCGCACTAAACCAGCAGAAAGAGAAGGGCTGGACAGGACTGTCACTGTAAGGATAAGCAAAATGGATAAGGAAAAAGGGAAGTGCATTTATGCAAAACTATAGTGAAAAAAGAAAAAAGAAGCATAGTATACAGAAGATAGGTGAAGAATCTACTCGAAAAGAAAAAAACCCCACCAAAATAAAAGCATTCCTCGGACTATTTCACCCTACAGAAAAACCTAAAGAAAAGAACTCAAAAAGCATGAGGGTGAGATAACAGGAGATGAAAACGGAGCTGACAAAGCTAAGGAAATACAGAGAGAAGCCTTAGCTGAGCACTTAAAATAGTTACTGTTCTCTCCTCTGCACTCTCTACCCCATTACTTTGTATCATTAACTAACATCCCCTGTTGTATTTTTTACTGTTTGTCTACCTTCCACTAGAACATAAGCTCTACTGGAGCAGTCAACTTGTTTACTGTCCCCTAACTTATCCCCCTGTGTCTCCAGACAGCTCTGACATAAGAGTGAACTCTTAAAATTGCTGAATAAATAAGGAAAAGATGAATAATTAAAGCAACAAGAAAATAGTAGATGAGAACAAATAAAAATGATCCAACATAAACGTAACTGGTACTTCAAAATGAAAGGTCAAACCATAGAACATAAATAAATGCAAAGATTTAACAGAAAAAATTTTCCTGATTCCAAGCAAAACTTTGGTCTGCCTGTCAGAAAGGCACAGACTCCAGAAAACTTGATATGGAAAGATAAATACAGATACATCTGGGTTACATGAACTAAAAAAAAAAACACCTTATGAGGAGAGATTACAAAGGTTAAGTAAGCCTGGCCTCAGACTTCTCCAAGATATTCAGTGAAAGAAAATGATGGAATAGCATCTTCCAAAAAGAAACAAACTGTGACCCAAGAATATTAATCCAGCCAGGTCATCATTTAAGAATAGTCAATAGGCTCATATGTTTAAACATGAGTCAAAAGAAAATGTAGCCAACCAATAAGTAAAAGGAGAAGCTGCAGTAAGACTGGTGATAGGCAATGAATCGACTTTTTTAAAAAACAGATCAAAGACTAAACAACCAGTAAGAAATATGTTTTCAAAAGATAACTATTATAAAACTTGGTAACACAAAAATAACATTGGAACAAACAAGAGAGAAAGGAGGAAACTCATAGGAAGGAATATGAGTGTTTATTTTCTTCCCTTTCTAAACAGAGTCTATTAAGTCAATAAACAGGTTTAAGTACATTAATTAATGTTACAAAGAAAACCACTAGAAGGACTAAAATAAGACTATAATAAGCAAAACTCTAGAGGTAGGAGGAGGGAGAAGTTAAAGAAACCATATTAGCGTAAAGTTTCCCATTTTCCAGAGCAGGAACTCCATAAATACTGAATAAATTTCCTAATTCATGAAAGAGGGTAATGATATAAACATATAAAGTAATTAAAGGTAACTACCAGAAGAACTGAAAAAAGACAATAAGCTTCCAATAAGCTTCCAAATCCAAAGAAGGAAAGTATGAATGTATGAGCACACACAAAGAAAAAAAGAATCTATATCGCAAAATAGGACTAAGAAAATACTACAAATTAGGAGGAAAAACATAATTAAGGCCAAAATATATCTGATATCAATAAATATTGTGTGAAAATTCACACAATATTTATTCATATCAGATATAAGATAGAATAAGAAAAAATAATATGAGATATAAAAAAGAGTAAGACTCACAAATTGGGTCAAGTGACAAACTATATTTTCCAAAGACAGCAGCAACAATATCTCCTCTTCCACAAAGTCTTCTAGCACCTTCTTATTCCTTATCAAGAGCAGAGCCTAATTCCCATTTCCTTGAATGTGAGTGGGCAGCAGAAGCGATGCTATGACATCTTAGCTAGATTGTAAAAGCTTGCGAGCTAGAACACCCCACAAGTGAAGTACTGGGCTGCCACGTAAGCAGTCCCACCACCATGAGGCCACCATGCCATGAAGAAGCCCAAACGAAGGCACAGGGAAAAACATGTGGAGAGGCCATGGGACCTCATGAAGAGGAGATGGCTCACAACCCCCATCATTCCAACTACTGTCTGACTACAACTACTCAAGACCCCAAGCCAGAATCTCCCAGCAGAGCCCTTCCCAAGATCCTGACCCATAGAAACTGTGAGATAATGGCTGTTGTTGCTCTAAGCCACTATGTTTTGGAGTGATTTGTTAGGCAGCAATAGGTTACCAACCATTATTTCCAGAAAAGACCACTAATAATCTAGAAAACTGGTGGGAAGGGGTTTTTTAGGATCTCTTCTCCAGTATTATAGAGAAAGGTAAAGTTGGGAAGCAAAACTTGGGAATTACATGATGAAGCTGCCTATTCAAGATAGGTCCCTAATGATAAGGACTCAGTTGTAGTTGTTGCTTCCTATGATTACCATCAGACATCTTAATGGATTATTTGAAAGTTCTACACTGATACTCACCAACCACTTTACTCTGAAGGAGAAGAGTGCACTAAAAGCAAATATCACCCACAGTACTGGACAGGCAATAAGTCCCAACCAAAAGATTCTTGATTCAGCCTCTGACACAGTTTTATTCTCTTGAGAGGACTCCTATAAAAGAACATAAATTCAATTATCATGTTGTGAAATTTATCAATAAAAAGTTCAACATGTTTAATAAAAAACATATTACCCACAAGTTCAAATATTAATACACACAGCCCAACTCCTAAGTTAGAACCCAAAAATACATGACTATCACTCTTGTAATTTTAGGAACTGATCTATATTAACTCAAGAATTTTGCATTTTCAGGGCAGGATGGATGGTTTACCACAACTCATGACAGTAAAGAGTGGTCTCTGATAGGATTCTATTCAATTCTTCTTGCACTTGTACTATTTATTCATAAGGAAGCTCTAAATGATACCTTTCCTACCAATGATCAAGGAAATCACAGTTATAATCATTCTGGAGACTAAAAGGTCAAATTAGGGTCCAGAGGAAAAAAAAAAAACGGAATCAAGGGATTCTGGACAATAATCAAAATGTCTTAGCAATACCCAGGAAGTTACAAGGGTGGTAAGTTGTTTCCAAGGTAGATTCTATAATATAAAAGAATACAGGCTCATTGAACACAGTGCCACTTTCTTAAAATAACTTGTCAATACCCTTGGTGTACTGTCGCCAAGAATTTGGTCCTCTGCTTCCAAAACTTATTTCCACAAGGAAAGTGAATATTCACTATAGTGTAGCAGGCTAACCCAAAACAGACCAGGATCCCCAGGGCTCCTGAAGGCAGAAGCTTAGGAATAGAGTGCTCCGATCAGATATTCTATCCAGCTGCACTCCTCCTCCTTTTTCCTGCCCAGAAATGAAAGACGACCACAGGAGCAAAGACAGAACAAGATGTTAAAAGCAGTTATCTGCTGAGCATAGAGGGATTTATGGAGACACTAACAAAGGCAACACAGAGATCTTTTATCAGCAATCCCTGACAGGCAGCTTAGCACACTGTATGAACTCAGACCCAGTGTCTTCCCTCAAAGGATTCTGTTCTGTATATTGCTTGTTTCTGGTCTGAACTAGACAGAAAAATGCATTAAATTCTAGAAGGCCATCTCCTTTAGTGCTGACATGCCAAGTGATTTGGTATAGTGTTTTTAATTCTGAATACTTCATCTTCCAGTATTTAAATATAGTCTACAAATAATTTAGCTGATAACATTATTTAAAACAAAAAAGGCACTTTACCTTTCTAGATTCAAACACCCAATGGCTCTTTCCATCTTCATCAATGTGATTCCACCAACGTAGGCCAACCATTAGTCTACCTGTGACATTCTGGTGAAGATTAATATAAACAGGCACATTTTAAAAGCATTATTTAAAGATCTATCACAAGCTCCTATCTTAGTGTAACATTTCACAAACAAAAACCTTCAGCTTTACCTCCATAATATCCAGTTAGCAAAGACTACTATGTATCAGGCCTGGCTAAGTGATTAAGTAAAATGGTAATGGCAGGACTAATAGGGGTAGAGGTGACAGAGCAAGCAACAAGTCCACCCATAAACATTACACCTTCTCTTTTCCCTCATGAACAATTTGCCCTTTCTCCAGTTCCCTAATTTTCCCTAAACCCCTTGCTATTTGGTTACTGTGACCTACTTTACATCCTGACTATAGCTACATGTATTTTACAACTACATATCCCTGAAAATGATTATAGACACTGGCCTTCAGTCAGTCTCTCAAGTTACCAAGCTCTTTTCCTACTTACTAAGGTAATAAATTAGTTTGATAGCTTTCCTAATCTTTATTTACTCAACAAATATTTACTGAGCATCTACTATGTGCTGGTAATACAACAGTGACTAACAGATACCAACTCCTTCCTCAGGGAAAGAGGTGAAGAGAGGCAGACAACCAATGCACAAATGTACCATTACCAACTGAGTTAAGTCCTGCAAGGGAAAAGTGTGAGATGCTTGAAGAGTATAACAGGGAAATTGGATCTAGTCTGGGTATCAGAAAATGACTCTCTGAGGAGTCAACATTTGGAATGAAATATAAAAGATAAATAAGAATCAACAGTACCATGGATGTTTAATTAATGGTGTCCACTAATAGATTCAGTGGTTCTGTGAACCTCGATGGGTTAAAAAAAAATGTTACCTTCATTTTCATTAACCTCTGGCTAAAATTTAGCATATCTTTAAATTATGAATGTAGACAACAAACTATGAATGTAGGTAAAATTAAAAACACCCTGACACAATAGAAATCACAGGCATTTTTTTATTTTGTACTATATTTGCTGCAGTTACCTCAAAATATTGTAGTTTTGTTTTTTGTTTGGTTTTGTTTTTTGTTTTTGAGACAGAGTTTCGCTCTTGTTGCCCAGGCTGGCATGCAACGGGGCGATCTCAGCTCACCGCAACCTCTGCCTCCCGGGTTCAAACGATTCTCCTGCCTCAGCCTCCCAAGTAGCAGGGATTACAGGCATGCGCCATCATGCCCAGCTAATTTTGTATTTTTAGTAGAGATGGGGTTTCTCCATGTTGGTCAGGCTGGTCTCGAACTCCCAACCTCAGTGATTCACCCGCCTTGGCCTCCCAAAGTGCTGGGATTACAGGCGTAAGCCACCACGCACGGCCTCAAAATACTATTTATGCTCACCACTGCTTTGAAAGTAGTTAGCATATCATTAAATTATGAATGTAGACAACAAACTATGAATATAGGTAAAATTAAAAACACCCTGACACAATAGAAACCACAGACATTTTTCATTTTGTACTATACTTGCTGCAGTTATCTTAACATATTGTTTACGCTCACCACTGCTTTGAAAGTAGTTATTAGACCTGCCACTAGATCTTACCATTAATAAATTCATAAAGTATAGTAGTCCTCCCTTATCTGCAGGGGATACATTCCAAGACCCCCAGCAGATGCCTCAAATTGTGGTTAATACCAAACCTTATATATGCTATATTTTTTCCTGTAAGTACATACCTATGATAATGCTTAATTTATAAATAATGCACAGTAAGAGATTAATAAGAAATAAAAATAGAACAATTATAACAACATAATCTAATAAAAGTTATGTGAATGTAGTTCTCTCTCCTCACACAGTATCTTACTGTTTAGTGTAGTGTATAGCAGTAACTGAAACCGCAGAAAGTGAAACCTCAGATAATGGGGGAACTACTACACATATAACTCAATCAGAAATTTACTTTTCTAATATTTTTAAATTATATTTCAATATAAGTGACTTCCTTTGAAATCTTATGTACTTTATATATGTGAAAACTTATTCATGAGTCTATGAAAGGGACCCATGGCATAAAAAGATTAGGAATCCCTGTATGAAGGTGATGTGGGAGGAAGAAGAGCATTCCAGATAGAGCAGCAGGCACTGATGCCCTAATGAAGAAAGTACAATCTATGGATTTATGGGACTTGGTCATTAATTGGATATGGAGTAGGAAGGAGGCAACTGATACATTTCTGGTTTGCTCAAGTAAAAAAATAGTGATTCCAGGCCCCACGAAAGGGAACACTCAAAGAAGAAGAGCTTTTGGGGAGTGGAAGATGACAAGTAGTATTTTACACATGTTAAGATATAAGTTGCCTGGCCAGGCATGGTGGCTCACTTGGGTTCAAGACCAGCCTGGCTAACATAGTGAAACCCTGACTCTACTAAAAATACAAAAATTCGCTAGGCATGGTGGTGCATGCCTGTAGTCTCAGCTATCTAGGAGGGTGAGGCAGGAGAATGGCTTGAACCCCAGGAGGCAGAGGTTGCAGTGAGCCGAGATCACACCACTGCATTCCAGCTTGGGTGACAAAGCAAGATTTTGTCTCAAAAAAAAAAAAAAAAAAAAAAAAAAAGATTTGAGATGCCTTCAAGACAGCCACATAAAAACGTCAAGAAGACACATGGAGAGGCCTTGAGTTGTGAGGACAAACCTGAATGGAGATACAGATCTGGGAGGCAACACAGCTTACAGATCAGCAATTAAAACCAGAAGCATAAACGGCACTCCTTAGGAAGGGAATACAGGAGAAGAAAAGGAAGAGTCTTATGAGACCAAAATTCCTATGGGAGAGATGCTAAGTAAAAAAAAAAAAAAGAGCTGGCAAGGGAGACCTAAACCAGAGGTCTCTTCTATAGGTATTTTCAAAGAATGCTCTCAGAATACTTTCAAACTCTTCTGTGTTCCCATTTTCTAACTCTTTATTTCCTGCTTTTATCTTTATTAGTTTATTTTCCTGATTTCTCACGCTTATTGCTTGTTTTTGAAATTTCTGGACTCAAGTAGTCCATTATTTTCCCTCTTTCTTGTCTAAAATAAAAGGCTTTAGTCTATTATTTTCCCTCTGAATTCAGTTTTTGACATATTCAGAAAGTTTAACTGTAAATGATCACCATTAAGGTATAAATAACCTATATTTACAGTTTTTGCTTCCTTTTAAACCCAAGATATGTAGTAGTTCGCTTTTTAAAAAGAATTCCAATTTCGACAACTACTTTCTATTAATTTCTAGTTCTGTTTCATTGGAGTAGAAAATGTAGGTGCTTTGGGCAATTTTATTTTGATTTTCTTCACAGTGATATTTAGTCAATTTTTGTAAATGCCCCACAGGCATTTAACAAGAAAGTATTCTGTCATACAAAGTCCCAAATACTGCTATCAAATTGATGTTGCCAATTATTTCATTCAGATCCTTCAGAACTTATTTATTTTTTGGCACTTTGGTTTGTTAAAGATAGTAGTTTGTTAAACTCATCATAATGCTTTTCTATTTTCTAATATTTCCAATTTTTTTACTATACATAGTTTGATATAATTTTACTCTGTGAATGATCTTCACTGTGATTCATAAAATCACCTTTTTCTGTTCCTCTTAGTGCTTTCTTACTCTGATCCATATCTCATCTGATAATAATACAATGCCAAGTTTCTTTTTGTTTGAGTTGATCTGATGTTATCTTTGCCTTCTTTTATTTTTTCTAATGTCATTAATGTTGTTAGATCTTTTGTTTGGACTTTGATTTCTGACCAATCTTAGTATTCTTGTCTTTAAATGGGTAGTTTAATCAAATTACATTTCCTATTATAATGAATTTGCTATTACTTACATCACTTTATACATGTACTTTCTGATTTAAGCTTCCTTGACAGTTGCTTTGTTTTCCTTCTTTTGCTCTATGAACTGTTTTACTTGCTCCATCTTCTCCAATGTTGCAGAAGATACACGACTGGTTTTAAATTTTACTAATAGTTGCCATTATTTTTTTTTTTTTTTTTGAGATGGAGTCTTGCTCTGTTGCCCAGGCTAGAGTGCAGTGGCGCAATCTCGGCTCACTGCAAGCTCCGCCTCCTGCCTCAGCCTCCTGAATAGCTGGGACTACAGGCACCTGCCACCACGCCCGGCTCATTTTTTTTTTTTTTTTTTTTTTAGCAGAGATGGGGTTTCACCATGTTAGCCAGGATGGTCTCGATCTCCTGACCTCATGATCCACCCGCCTCAGCCTCCCAAAGTGCTGGGATTATAGGTGTGAGCCACCGCGCCCAGCCATAGTTGCCATTAAATTTTTAAAACCATTATTTAACCTTTTTTACTCAATTTGTCAGAGTGAAGAATAAAATAAAAACCAATATAAGCTTTAGCATTTAAGCATACCTTTAAATTATTTTCCCTTCTCTACCTCTTCTTTATCTTCATTAACATCACCTAGGGCAAGCCTATCCAACCCTCTGCCCACAGGCCTCATGCTGCCCAGGACAGCTTTGAATGCGGCCCAGGAGAAATTTGTAAACTTTCTTAAAACATTATGAGATTTTTTTGTGTGCGATTTTTTTTTTAAGCTCATCAGCTAATGTTAGTGTATTTTATGTGTGGCCCAAGATAATTCTTTCTTCCACTGTGGCCCAGGGAAACCAAAAGATTGGACACCTAGGGGTTTAGATGAAGATTGATTTTTTGTTTTTTTAGTAAGTACATTGAGATTTATAACAATTACGACACATCTCTATTTTAACTGTTTCAGAACCCTGCTTATCCCAAGTCCACTTAATAATTTCCCTATTCTTGACTTCTTAATTTTGCTTTATATCTCCATTGCTTTGCTATCTATAAGTAGTTTTGCCAAGGATAAAAGGGTGCCATTTTTTAAGCCCTTGTTTAAAAACAAAAATAAACAAATAAACCTTATCAGAAAATAAACTATTTTGATCGCATTTTTTAAAACTCTAAACCCAGAAAAATTTTAAGAGTTTGGAAATTACCAGGAAGAACTGACTGGAAAGCATGTTCTATTTGGCTGAACAGAAATTTTATGAACAACAAAAAGAAACGTGTATCAAAACTGTGAGCAGTATGTACTAAATACTTTGGAGCATAAAGTAACAGAAGAAATTCAAAGAAATGCAAGCCAAAGAAGACTGGACAACAGAAAAACCTAAAGAAAACAGACCTTTGAAATCTTCCTTCTCAGCATTATGCGGCCTATGGAAACTGGCCATCACCAAGCCAACCACTTCAGGTATCTTTAAGAATTAAAAGATGGCCAGGCGCAGTGGCTCACGCCTGTAATCCCAGCACTTTGGGAGGCTGAGGTGGGCAGATCCCTTGAGGTCAGAAGTTCGAGACCAGCCTGACCAACATGGAGAAACCCCGTCTGTACTAAAAATACAAAAAAATTAGCCAGGCGTGGTGGTGCATGCCTGTAATCCCAGCTACTCGGGAGTCTGAGGCAGGAGAATCACCTGAACCCAGGAGGCAGAGGTTGCGGTGAGCCAAGATCATGCCATTGCACTCCAGCCTGGGCAACAAAAGTGAAACTCCGTCTCAAAAAAAAAAGAATTAAAAGATCTAAAAATGGCTACATTGGTGGGTGTGAATAGGGTTGTAACATCTTACTAGTCTTTGAATCAGTATGTGTCTCTGAAACTCCAAAATCAGCCTTTGATTTTTTTCTCCACTATTTTACTATATTTTCGAACACACACAGTTAAATTTTACAGTGAATACCCAAATATCTATCATCTAGAGTCCATATTTAATATTTTATTATGCTTACTTATCTATTTATTATGTACCTATCTATCCATCCATCCATCTCTCTAATCATTGTTCTTGAGTTTGAAACCATTTCTTACACTTCTTTCTATCCCCTACAGCAGGGTGTCTCAACCTTGGCACAACTGACATTTTGGGTCAGGTAGTTCTTTGTTGCAGAGGGGCCGTCCTGTGTGTTAGGATATTTAGCAGCATACCTGCCCTCTAGCCACTAGATGTCAATAGCACACTCCTCCCACCTCCAGTCATGACAACCAAAAACATTTTTGGACACTGACAAATATTCAGTGGGTGGCAAGCTTGTCTCTGGTTGAGAAACACTGCCTTAAAGCATCCATAGGAGCCTTTTCAAAAGGTAGGTATTTTTTAGGTATTTGTGGACAAACTACACTGGGGCCTTATCTAGAAATTATATACAACACACCTACAGGTAAGCCTGAAGCAAAACCCATGGTATGGATTAGAAGCAACATTGTAGGGTCTATGGTTGCTAGTCACTTTTGTTTGTTTATTTGACTTTAAAGCTGATGTAGGTTAGAATATGGCACAGAAAAATCAGCAGCACAGTAACCTGCATGTCTCATCTTGTATTGTCAAAGGGAAAAAATGAAAAAAAAAAAAAAAAAAAAAAAAACTACATGCAATTTGATATATCTAGCACTTCAACACAGATGAGGTTTGAAGTAACAAAAGATTAACAATAATGCAAAATGCTAACTCATATTTTTATACATCATTTTCATATTAAATATAATTTTAAAATAAAAACAATCAAAATTACCTTCACTGCCCAAAAGTCACACGACAACAACAAGATAATTGTCACCATACAGGTAATAAAGCTGCTGCTGAGCAACCCACAGAGAAGATAGACGATGATTGCACTGACTCGAAAGAATAAGTGGAAAAACGATGCTACTGGATGTCTGAAAACCAAAACACAATGAAAGAAATGCAATTACATTTTACTACAGGTACTAGCAAATGTAGAGAAAAATGTTTTAGCCATCGTGTAACTGTGAAGAGTTTTGTCAAAATAAAAGAGGTGACTTTAGTAGGATGAAGCAAACCTCCTAGCTCTCTTTTTCTTAAGCCCCACTATTTGACTAGGCCCTGTAGTTACAGAAAATACACTATGCACAGATGACTTTAACACCTCATTGAATATAAACTTTCACAAAATAGATAATAAAGAATTTTATCTCTCTTGGAGAAATAAGGAAACTGTATCTTAGAATTTGAATCCTATTTTCAAATCACACCAAAAGAATTCCTTAGCCCTCAGAAATCACTCAGACATTAAGACAAAGTTATCAGGTAGTTTGTTTCTTTCTTTCTTTTCTTTTTTTTTTTTTTTTGAGACGGAGTCTCGCTCCGTCGCCCAGGCTGGAGTTTGGTGGCACAATCTCGGCTCACTGCAAACTTCACCTCCTGGGTTCACGCCATTGTCCTGCCTCAGCCTCCCAAGTAGCTGGGACTACAGGCGCCTGCCACCACGCCCGGCTAATTTTTTGTATTTTTAGTAGAGATGGGGTTTCACCATGTTAGCCAGGATGATCTCAATCTCCTGACCTCGTGATCCACCTGCCTCGGCCTCCCAAAGTGCTGGGATTACAGGCATGAGCCATCGTGCCCAGCCTGTTTCTTGTTTTTTAATAGCTTTTTTGAGATATAATTCACATATCATACAATTTACTTATTTAAGGTAAACAATCTAATGGTTTTTAGTACATTCACAGATTTGTACAACCATCACTCCAATTTTACAACTTTTCATTACCCCAGACAGAATCTTTGTACCCACTGGCAGTCATTCCCCATTTACCTTCAAACCCCTCAGCTTCTAGCAACAGCTAATCTATCTTCTGTCTCTACAGATTTGCCTATTCTGGACATTTCATATAAATGAAATCATACAATATGTGGTCTTTTGTGACTGGCATGAAAGATGAAAGAAAAGTAAAAGACAGCATTTTAGCAGGGTTCAAGTAGAATTTGCTTTCAGTAAGTGAATTTCTTTAGAGAGAATTAAATTTAGAATAGAAATGTTATGTGATTTTGAAATGTGCACAATAAATCAAAATGTAATGTATCTATAGAAACTATATAAAGAAATGGTACATTCTTGGAAAATAGCACAGAATTAAAAACACAGGTGTTCAAATAATTGGATTTGCTGATTTTAAAACTCAGTATTAAGTATGCCAATTATTCACAAGAAAATCTGAAATGTCATCTTTGTCGTACACTAAACGTCAAATTAGCAACATGCAGTATTCACAAGCACATTGAAACAACTCTGCCTTGACTCCCATCAGCTAGCACTGACATACATACAGAACAGCACTGGACACTAACACAGCTCATGCAACTTCTCTCCTCCTACCTGATTTTGGCTTTTCTTGGTCTATTAGTCGTCTCCTCTTCCGCATCAAACAGTGAAACATCTTCAGTGTCATCATTACTATCCTGGTAGGAAAAATAAATGGTCAAGAAGCAAAACAAAATTCAGTGTTTACACAGCCACTGCAATGCAAAGCTGCATACTCATCAAAATAGAAGATAAAATAATGTGGTTACAGCATCAGGAATTCAAAACCTAGGAAAAGGACACATGCAGATCCTCCACCCGCCTCCTCAAATCATCTGGCAAAAAACCCAGAGAATAATCGAAGTCTCAGCTCCTCCATCCCTGCCCCTAGGCTGCACCATCTGAGAAAACTCTAGGGTGCAGATGAGGCTACTACAACTTAACACCTGTCCTCCTCACCTGTTCTCTCCCAAGTCACAGAGCAAGCCGAGGCTACTGGGGATAATCTCAAGGTTTCTGGCTCCTTCACAAAATCATCTGACTGCATCCTTAGTTCCATGACCCCTTCTCACAACTCCTCCTCTTCTTATCCAAGGCTAAACCAATTATTTGTGCTCAGAATAACTTCTTTTCATGCCTCCTCGGGGATTTGTTTCATCATTTTCCCCTGTATTTACACTTTCTTCTATCTTCAAGTCTATCTATTGGATCTTTCTTTTTTGTTGTTGTTGAAATGGAGTTTTGCTCATCACCCAGGCTGGACTGCAATGGCACGATCTTGGCTCACTGCAACCTCCGCCTCCCGGGTTCAAACGATTCTCCTGCTTCAGCCTTCCAAGTTGTTGGGATTACAGGCGTGTGCCACCACACCCAGCTAATTTTCGTATTTTTAGTTGAGACGGGGTTTCACCATGTTGGCCAGGCTGGTCTTGAACTCCTGACCTCAGGTGATCTGTCCGCCTCAGCCTCCCAAAGTGCTGGGATTACAGGCATGAGCCACCACGCCCGGCCTCTATTGAATCTTTCTAATCAGCATATGCATATAAACTTCTTCAAGGCCACTTATTAGGCAAAAAAAGATTTTTTTAAGAACCCTGATCCTGAATCTCCCCTTCAATCCTCTACCTTCCCAAAGCATTGCTTCCTTTTACAACCTTAGGCTTTTTTTTTTTTTTTTTTTGAGATGGAGTCTTGCTCTGTCGCTCAGGCTGGAGTGCAGTGGCGTGGCCTCAACTCACTGCAACCTCTGCCTCCTGGGTTCAAGTGATTCTCCTGCCTCACCTTCCCAAGTAGCTGGGACTACAGGCGCGTGCCACCATGCCTGGCTAATTTTTTGTATTTTTTTTTGTAGAGACAGGTTTCACCGTGTTAACCAGGAGATTTCATGACCTTGTGATCCAGCCGCCTCGGCCTCCCATTGCTGGGATTACAGGCGTGAGCCACCATGCCCGGCCCCATAACCTTAGGCTTCTAAGAGTGGTTCACGCCTCAATTCACTGCAATTCCCCTCAACTACAACAAACCTGATCCTGTTCCTCTCCTAGTGGCACTCACCAGCCTCCCTGCCTTTATCCCTCTCTATTCCAGCCTCTCCTTTACATTACCCAGAGCAATCCTCCCAATATGGAAATCACACCATGTCACTCTACTGCTCAAATTTTTCAATGGCATCCCTACAAGTATAGGATAAAATTTAACTCCTTCACATAAAGCATAGAAGATCACAGAATCTAATGCCCCCTACTTGCTTCTGACACTGTCTTCATTGAGCACTGTTGAGCACTGAAGCAATACTGTTACTACATGGTCTCTAAGAACACTACAATCTCTCTCCCATCTCCTGCCTTTCACATGTTGTCTCAGAAAACTCTTCCCTTCCTCATGCCCTGCTCACCACCAAATACCAAATCATCCTTCAAGTTTTTTAGCTCAAATACTGAAATAGCTGAAAACCTGTCTCTGAAATCCCCATGTTCCCACAGCACTTGGACGAATCTCCATTTGAACAATCATCTCAGAGTATTCTTATTGCACATCTACCCGCTCCTACCTCCATATAGATTAAGCTGCTGGAGGACCTAGAAGACAAGGTTTTTTTTTTTTTTTTTGAGACAGAGTCTTGCTCTGTCGCCCAGGCTGGAGTACAGTGGTATGGTCTCAGCTTACTGCAACCTCCACCTCCTGGGTTCAAGCTAGATTCTAGTGCCTCAGCCTCCTGAGTAACTGGGATTACAGGAGTGTGTCTCGGCTAATTAGCCTGGCTAATTTTTGTATTTTTAGTAGAGACAGAGTCTCACCACGTTGGCCAGGCTGGTTTCAAACTCCTGACCTCAAGGGATCCGCCCACCTCACCCTCCCATAGTGCTGGGATTATAGGTGTGAGCCACCACGCCCAACCAAGACTGTCTTTGCATTGTAGTAAATCCTAGTGTCTAGCAGAGCATTCAGCCAAGTGGTACAGTATTTGTTGAAGGCATGAGTAAATAAGCAAAGGAGACGATAATATACAGCTGACTGTGATCAGGGCTGAGAAATCTAAGTGCAAATGGGAGCCAGGGAAGGAAGCAAATCATTCCTACTACAGGGCACTGGAGAAGCTTTCTGGAGGAGAGTTTGTCAGCTGGGCCCTGACAGTCCGCGTAGGCCTCCCTAGACTAGGTATATTTTGAAAGGCACAGGTGGGAATACAGGAAGTTTGTCTAAGAAATGGTCAAGTAGCTCATGCAGTAAGTGATGGATGCGAGAAGCTCCTACTGAGCTAAGGCTGAAAAGGTAAAATGGATTCAGATCTATGAGACTAGTGGTTCTCAACCCTGGCTACAATTAGAATGCTTTTTCTTAAAAAACAAACAAACAAACAAAAAAAGGCTGATACTTGGGTCCAGCCCTCAGTGGTTCAGATATAATTGCTTTGAGGTGTGATCATAACGTACAGCAAGATTGAGATCCACCGTATGATGTTATGAATAAAAAGCTGAGGCCTTCTGCTCTCGATCCCAACAGTCTAATCGCCATCCAGCGGCCAGGGAGACTTTTTCACATCAAATCCTATCATTCCCCTACTGAAACCTCTCAGCACTATGACTGAAAAACAGACTCCCTATCATGACCTATCATGATCTGGTCCCTGCCAATCTCTAAGACCTTATCTCAGGCCACTCACTCTTCATTAACTGTGGTAGGCTGAATACCTCCTCACCCCTCCCAAAAATGTTTAGGTTCTAATCTCTGGAACCTGTGAATATGTAAATTTACTTGGCAAAAAGAATTTCACAGATGAGATTAAGTTAAGGATCTTGAGGTCAAGAGATCATCCTGGATTACCCAGGCTGGTCAGATGACGTGATCACAATGGTCCTTACAAGGGAAACAAAGGAGGGTCAGTGAGAGAAGGTGATGAAACAAGCAAAGTAGAGATGAGAGACAGAGATTTGAAGAGGCTGTGCTCATGGCATTAAGATGGGGAAGGGATCCCAGGTGTTTAGAAGCTGCATCAGGCAAGGAAACTGATTCTCCAGAACCCCTACCCACACCTTGATGTTTAACCCCTTGAGCCTCATTCTGGACTTCTGACCACCAGAACTTTACAACAGTACATATGACTTCACTGCCGCAGTAGCAACAGGAAATTTATACAGTACCTAAGCTCCTGCCCAGACTGGCCATTTTTTTTTTTTGACACAGGGTCTGGCTCTCGCCCAGGCTGGAGTGCAGTGGAGCAATCAGGGGTCACTACTGCAGGTCCTACATCTCAGCCTCCTGAGTACTGCAAGCCACCATATCTAATATTTTAATTTCTTGCAGAAATAGGGTCTCGCTATGTTGCCCAGGCTAGTCTCAAACTCCCGGGCTCAAGCAATTCTCCTGCCTTAGCCTCCCAAAGTGCTACGATTAGAGGCATGAGCCACCATGCCCAGGCTGGCCTTCTTTTCAGTTCCTTAAACATGCCAAACTTGGGCCCCGTCAGGTTCTTTTGCACTTATGGTTCATATTACCTAGAACACTATTCTCTTACCCTGCTCTTTGAAAGACTCATTTCTTCTCATTTATTCAGTAAATACTGAGTGCCTACCAAGTGCCAGGTACTGCTGTAAGTGGTACAGATTTAAAAAAAAAAAAAAAAAAGACAAATAGCTCTGCACTCCTGGAGTTACATTTACTAAGATGGGGAAGACCACGGACACAAAAGATTTCGGGGCAAAATCAGCAGTTTGATTTTGGACATTTTAAGATGCTAAATGACATTTTAAGATGCTAAAACCAAAAAGCGTTGAAAGGGAGATCCATTGGAGTGTTTTAAGTGTAAGACTGCATGTTCTGACTCACCTGTTAGAAAGAGAATTCTGGCTACTGTAGTAAAAATCTGGAGGGGGAGGGGAGAAGAAGGAGGGACAAAAGCACAACGCTAGGAGACTGGTTAGGAAACTACTTTAATCACGAGGCCAAGAAGTAATGGCTTGGTCTAAGATGGATGCAGTGGAGGTGATGAAAAATAGATTCCAAGTACATTTTAAGGGAGAGCTGACAGGATTTGCTGATGGACTGACTGGGGAGGTGGAGGAAGGGTAAATAAAAGGAATCAAGGAAGATTCCAAAGTTTTTGTCCTGAACAACTAAAAAGATAAAGATGGCTAAGACAGACTCCTAGCATTCCAATAATTAGAGATCACAAAGATAAGAAGGAATAGGCTGTGGGGACTGAAAAAGAAGTACCAAGGAACATAAGGTGAGCCAGGAGGGGGTAGTGTCCTGGAAACCAAACAAAGTGCCTCCAGGAGGAGGATCCATCATCTGTGTCAAATGCTGCTCATAAGTAAGATGAAAACCAAAGAGAGACCACTGTATTTTTTTTCTTTTTTTTGAGACGGAGTCTCGCTCTGTCGCCAGGCTGGAGTGCAATGGCGTGATCTTGGCTCACTGCAACCTCCACCTCCCGGGTTCAAGCGACTCCCCTGCGTCAGCCTCAGCCTCCCGAGTAGCTGAGACCACAGGCACATGCCACCACCCCCAGGTAATTTTTGTATTTTTAGTAGAGACGGGGTTTCACCATGTTGGCCAGGATGGTCTCCATCTCTTGACCTCATGATCCACCCATCCTGGCCTCCCAAAGTGCTGGGATTACAGCCATGAGCCCTGCACCCAGCCATGACCACTGTATTTTTAACAGGTCATCAGGGAACTCAGTAAGAGCAGTTCCAGTATGGTTGGGAGAGGGGAAGAGAGACTGACTAGAATGAATACAAGAGAGACTGGAAGAATTAAAAGACAAGCATATATGATACAAGTCTTTAAAGGAAAAAGAATGGAGTGACCAGTGAAAGAGCATGTGGTGTCAAGTTTGTTTTGTTTGTTTGTTTGTTTGTTTTGAGACGGAGTCTGGCTCTGTCGCCCAGGCTGGAGTGCAGTGGCGCGATCTCGGCTCACTGCAAGCTCCGCCTCCCAGGTTTATGCCATTCTCCTGCCTCAGCTTCCCGAGTAGCTGGGACTACAGGTGCCCGCCACCACCCCCGGCTAATTTGTTGTTTTTTAGTACAGACGGGGTTTCACCGTGTTAGCCAGGATGGTCTCGATCTCCTGACCTCGTGATCCACCCGCTTCGGCCTCCCAAAGTGCTGGGATTACAGGCGTGAGCCACCGCGCCCGGCCAAGTTTTCATTTTTTAAGGTAAGAGAAATTAAAGCACGTTTATATGTTGATGTGAGCAAACGTTTAAAAGGATTAAAAAACTGATGATACAAGAAAGAGAATTACTAGAACAATGCCTTCCAGTAGGCAAGAGGAGATGGAAACCAGGACACAGTAGACAGGAAGACCTAAGAATGGAGCACTAACAGTCCAATTATCATAAAAGAATATGAGACCCTGAGTAAACATGCAACTAGGCAGCTAGTGTGAAAATTGTCTTCCGACGGCTTCCATTTTCAGTGAAACAAGAAGCAACGTTACCAGCTGAGAGAGGATAAGAGAAGAAACGTTGAAGATTTGAGTTTTAATAGTTGCCTAAGGCGAGAGGGTGAAGGGGCTATGGAAATGTAGAATGACCGCCTGGCAGCACTAAGGGCTCGACTGAGGTTCACGTCACAAATTTATCAAGTGGGAACCGTCGGCCGGGCCTGGCGGCTCACGCCTGTAATCCTAGCACTTTGGAAGGCTGAGGCGGGTGGATCACCTGAGGTCAGGAGCTCAAGACCAGCCTGGTTAATATGGTGAAACCCCATCTCTACTAAAAATACAAAAATTAGCCGGGCGTGGTGGCAGGCGCCTGTAATCCCAGCTACTCTGGAGGGTGAGGCAGAAGAATCGCTTGAAGCCGGGAGGCAGAGGTTGCAGTGAGCCGAGATCACACCATTGTACTCCAGCCTGGGCAACAAGAGTGAAACTCCGTCTCATAAATGAATGAATGAATCAATCAATCAATCAATAAATAAATAAATAGTGGGAACAGTCAACATTGTTGTGTTTCTCCAGCCTCATCCGGCCTGGGCGCAGGTTCAAATGTCAGAAGCATGTGAACCTGAACAACTCCATCTTCAATAGGAGCTGGGTAAAATGAGGCTGAAACCTACTGGGCTGCATTCCCAGACAGGGCATTCTAAATCACAGGATGAGATGTGAGGTCGGCACAAAATACAGGTCATAAAGACCTTGCTGAAAAAACAGGTTGCAATAAAGGAGCCAGCCAAAACCCACCAAGACCAAGATGGCCACGAGAGTGACCACTGGTCGTCCTCACTACTAGACTCCCATCAGCGCCATGCCAGTTTACAAATGCCATGGCAACATCAGGAAGTTACTCTCTATGATCTAAAAGGGGAGGAATGAATAATCCACCCCTTGTTAACCATACCACTAAGAAATACCCATAAAAATGGGCCACCAGCAGCCCTCCAGGTTGCTCTATGGAGTAGCCACTCCTTTACTTTCTTAATAAACTTGCTTTCACTTTGCACTGTGGACTCACCCTGAATTCCTTCTTGCCTGATCCAAGACTTTTTTTGTTTTGTTTGAGACGGAGTCTCCCTCTGTAGCCAGGCTGGATGGAGTGCAGTGGCCCGCGGCTCACTGCAACCTCAGCCTCCCCAGTTCAAGCGATTCTCCTGCCTCAGCCTCCCGAGTAGCTGGGACTACAGGCGTGCACCATCACGCCCAACTAATTTTTGTATTTTTAGTAGAGACAGGGTTTCACCAAGTTGGCCAGGATGGTCTCGATCTCTTGACCTCATGATCCACCCACCTCGTCCTCCCAAAGTGCTGGGATTACAGGCCTGAGTCACCACGCCCGGCCAAGGACCCTCTTTTCGGGTCTGGATCGGGACACCTTTCCTGTAATACAGCTGAATTTAACCATTATTAGATTTTCTCCACTCAAGGCATCTCCTCATAAGCAGTCTTTCCTGACCATAAATCTTAGTTGTCCTATCCTCAGACACTTGTTATTTCATCACCCTGCCTTTGCAATTATCTGAAAATATCTTTGGTTATACAATTTATCGTGTCTCCCCACCCAACCCCCATCTCCTAGAACCCACTTCCCTAACCCAAAAATACGGGGCAAGAAACCTGTCTGTACTGGTCACAACCCTATCCCTGGGCCTACAACCGTGTCTGAGTCATAGTAATCCCTCAACAAATTTTGTGTGAACCGAAAGAAAAAAACACTTAAGACAATCTAAGTGACCATAAACAGTAGTTTTTTCTAAAAATATTATTAATCTTACGAGTCTCTGGTTGCCAACATGTGGACTACAATTAACTCTAAGAGCACAAAGGAGAGAATCACCAACAACATTAGTTTGGAAACAGCAATTTGAAAGCGAGGCTCTGGCGGTGTCGCCGATTCCTACAAAATAGCATCGCACCCCTGGGTGTCAGGAAGCTAAGAGGCCCGCAGGCCGCTCCTCCTCAACTCCACCCCGGCAATAAGGGTTGAGGAAAGAGAGACCCCCACTCGCGCTGGTTAACAATGGGCGTCCCCACAGCCGCAAGAAGTACTTGCTCTGCGCCGCACGGGTCACGCCGCCCCCAGCGGCCTCAGAACCCCCAGCAGCCCTCCTCAGACAACTACCCACAGCCCTCCACTCCCGGCCGCCCCGCTCCTCCTCGAGTTCGAGTAGCGGGCGCGGGGGACGCGGGCTCCAGTCCCACGGAACCTGCAGAGCCAGTCCCAGGAGCCGCCACCCTCCCAGCGAGCCCTCAGCCCCTCACCTGCTGCAACATGGCGGCCCTACGCCAGCCCTACTTCCGGGAGCCACGTCAGCGCAGCAGCGTACGGGTCCGGGTCGGAACTGAGGCGACCCGTCACCAAGGGCCAGCAGGGACCACTGTAAGAGCCTCAGTCCGGCCTCACTTCCGCTTTGAGGGAGCAAATCCAGGGGCGGGGCGAGCGGGGGCGGGGCGAGCGGCCCGGACACGGCGGAGGCGGAGCCTGGAGCAGGAGCGAAAGGGAAAGGTATTGGGGCCACAGTGGGCTCTAAGTGGAAAGCTTCATGGTCTGTTTTACGGAAGTATTTGCTGTCCACCCAATGCAAATTCTAAAGTCGTTCCCCCAGTGTCGCTGCCCCGAATGCAGGGGGGCGGGGTTTTATTGTATAATATAATTTTCTTTAAATATTTTACAAAGACTTACTCCTGTACAGTATTACTTTTGTACTTTAAATTGTAGAAGCAACTTTTTAAAATATGTTCTTGCAGAGAAGTAAAACGTTAAGAAAAACAAGGCAGGAGGACTCTAGAGTAACTAATGGACGGTATTATTATGGGAGGTATAAACTTAGACGCCAGGAGTTGAGACCTTGCGCCCTGGAGCTTAGGCGCCTGGGAACTCTATTGCCAATCATATCACCAACCTTTATGTACTTCTTTCATCAGTTGTAAAGTGGGGGTGATAATGGTTTCCTTACAGTGTAAGTATCTAGTAAATGGGAGACGTTATACTTACTACAGTTTTAAGTCCAGCCGCTCATGCTGTGATCTTGCCTGAACAAAGGATGTGAAATTAAGGGGCGTTAAGTCATCTTTGAAGCGGTGATGATGACAATATCCTATCTGTCTGGCCGAGTCAGACTGCTGTTGGCATAGTGGTATTTGCACGTGTCCTTAATTGAAGGGATTCTATTAAAATCACAAATTTTACGTGGCTGATTGCCAGTGCCATTTAAAACCTGATATTCTAATAATGAAAGGGGGAAAACACACACACGCGTTTCTAAAGGCAAGACATTTCGGCAGCACAATTGCATTCGTGCCCTTGGAGATGAAAAGCTAACAAATTTGGGGCCTGTACGTCCAGCCTGCCCATGGCAGGTTTTCAGTGGTCCACTCAGTGCTGTGGAGTTTTGTGTTGTTTTTCGTAGTTTTTGGTTTTTTAAGACATTGTGTTTGAATTCATTATCGTCTTTTAATTTTTAATAGCTAATTTTTAAAGCTAATTTTGTATTTTTAGTAGAAACGAGGTTTCACCACGATGGTCAGGCTGGTATCAAACTCCTGATCTCAGGTGAGCCACCCGCCTCAGTCTCCCAAAGTGCTGGGACTACAGGCGTGAGCCACCGCACCTGGTCAAGGCTTGAACTTTCTAATGGGCCATAGCTCTTGTAGTGGGCTGCACTCTTCTAAATTACCTGGTCCCTGCACCATAGTCCAAAGGTTTAAGCAGAAACCTCAATGCACTTGATGTTACTGGCCCTCTTTGTACAGAGGATAAATATGCTAATTCTCTTCCTTAGGAGTTAGCCCTGAGAAGGAAAAGCTCAATGTTGTCAAATGCAACAGGTCCACCCCACTGAGGGCTTCCCCTTTTAAATTCTTAATGGGTTTTATCAGGCTTCTGTGCAAAAATACCAGAAAACACCAATGCATGACCCTGATATAATCCCATAACTTCATTTGCCAGAAGAACTAATAGCACTAAATTGGTAGTGATGAATGGTATCTAATTTCCAGTGATCATCTCCCCATCCCCCATCAACGAAACTGGGCTTTCCTAATGCTCACTAAATTGTTTTCAGTGGGACTACAGATGCTAATCTCGCCCAACCTCCTTCTGTTTTCTTATTTTGATGATATCAAATATTTGGCTCAGAGGAAGATAACTGGGAGTTCCCACATTAATTACCAGGAAGAAACAGTCAAAAAAAAAAAAAAAAAGGCCAAATAGCAACATCCGCTTGGCTTTCTGTTTATTGTAAAACATTGTAATTTCCCAAGGCTGGTTTAGATAAATACATTTTGTCCAAGTTCAGGGGCCGCTGTTTTCCCTTGCTTCGTGAAATTATCAATAGGCAGGCCTTTGATCTTCCTGATCCATGCAGCTTTGCTGACTTTTCCTGGATCAACCACTCCAGTGGACTCCCTGGCCTGATATTCCTTCATCTTGGCTTCCTGGTGCTCCTTCTCCTCCTTCACGGTCAACAGCACGAACTCAGTGTTCACTCTAAAAGGATCAAGGGCTGTATAGATGCGAGGCCGTTCTTTCTTAAGAGACAGGGTGGCTGTGCCCACTTGTGGAGCTAGCATGCGGTTTGGTTTAATGACCTGCATACTGGTCAGGGGACCCGTACTGCACACAGCCCTTTCAATTGAACTGGTCACTTGGTCTCCACCCTTTAAGCTGCCAGAGAACCTGGAGCGGATAATCATGGGCTGGGGTATGGTGGACTGGACTCTAGGACTGTGCAAAGAGATCTTCAAGTTGGGCTGCAGTTTCTGGATTTCAAGGGGAATACTGGTTCGTTTCACATCTATAGGAGGATTGCTCAATCTCAACCGATCAACTGCACGTTGGATTGATTTTCCTTTGAAATTCAAGACCTTCCTTGGGTATGAAATTGAAGGTCCCCAGACATCAGTAATTTCTGTTTGGGGCCTACAGGGATAGGCAAATTCCCCGGAATTATGGGCGTGCTGCAGGGCGCTAACAGTCAGGAGGAATTGGTCAGGTGACATAGGGATTTTCCAAGACTTTTTCTTTGGGTGACTGGGCAGTTTTCCAGGAGTTTCCAATTGTCCTTGTTTTTGTGCTTTCTCCACATCATCTGCTTTTTCAAAAAAAAGAAAATTTTAAAAAATCGGCGTTCTATGAAAAATATTAAGTACGTATGCATTAAGTACTTGGGCATTCAAACTTCGAAGCACATTGAGGTCTTTGTTGCCCAACAGGTATGCCATCATACAGGCAGGCACCCTGAGTGGTATTAGAAATGCTGATACTAGAAACAATTTAATAAAACAAATTTTTTTGTTTGTTTGTTTTTGTTTTTGAGACGGAGTCTCGCTCTGTCACCCAGGCTGGAGTGCAGTGGCATGATCTCTGCTCACTGCAAGCTCTGCCTTCCGGGTTCACGCCGTTCTCCTGCCTCAGCCTCCCAAGTAGCTGAGACTACAGGCGTCCGCCACCATGCCTGGCTAATTTTTTGTATTTTTTTTAGTAGAGACAGGGTTTCACCGTGTTAGCCAGGATGGCCTCGATCTCCTGACCTCGTGATCCACCCGCCTCGGCCTCCCAAAGTGCTGGGATTACAGGCATGAGCCACCGCAGCCGGCCAATAAAACAAGTTTTTAATAAAATGCTAGTATTGAGTAAAGAGTATATTAGCCTCTAAGTGAGCATATTTTGAATGCAACAGATGTGATTTCAATGCTACACATATTTTTGAAAATGTGAAGTTGAGGCCGGGCGCGGTGGCTCACGCCTGTAATCCCCACACTTTGGGAGACCCAGGAGGGTGGATCACGAGGTCAGGAGATCCAGACCATCCTGGCTAACACGGTGAAACCCCGTCTCTACTAAAAATACAAAAAATTAGCCCGGCATGGCGGCGGGCGCCTGTAGTCCCAGCTACTCGGGAGGCTGAGGCAGGAGAATGGCATGAACCCAGGAGGCAGAGCTTGCAGTAAGCCAAGATCGCGCCACTGCACTCCAGCCTGGGCGACAGAGCAAGACTCAGTCTCAAAAAAAAAAAAAGAAAATGTGAAGTTGGGAATGACCTTCACATCTCATTTATGATTCACACAAAGCAGATCTTATAAATTTATAGTAGCATAACTATTTTTCAACAGTAATTATGTTGCAAAATTTGATCTTTACCTTATTAATCAAATTTGACTCCAAGTAATCTTGAATGTTGCCCAAAATAAAACCTGTCTTCAGGCTGGGTGCGGTGGCTCATGCCTGTAATCCCAGCACTTTGGGAGGCCTAGGTGGGTAGATCACCTGAGGTCGGGAGTTCGAGACCAGCCTGACCAACATGGAGAAAACCCGTCTGTACTAAAAATACAAAAAAATTAGCCGGGCGTGGTGGCAGGCGCCTGTAATCCTAGCTACTGAGGAGGCTGAGGCAGGAGAATCGCTTGAACTCAGGAGGCAGAGGTTGCGGTGAGCCGAGATCACGCCACTGCACTCCAGCCTGGGCAACAGAGTGAGACTCCATCTCAAAAAAAAAAAAAAAAACTGAGTGAAATCAAGATGTCAAAATCTTCCCTATTCTCCTTGCAAACTCAAAAAGAGAATTTTTCTCCTTTTATAAAAAAAGGAATTGTGATGAGCTCATTGTTTATTAATTTGTCTTTTTTCAAATGATAATGTATTGTGGATCTCTTTCCAAGTTAGTATATACAGATCCTCATCATACAATTTTTAGCTGTATATAATATTCCATACAATAGATTTTTTTATTACTTAGCCATTGCCCATTGATGGACATTTAGTTTGTTAATGGTCAACCTAGAAGAAAATGCGGACCCCATTTTTACTTATACAAGCAACTACAAAATGCCAGCTAACACCCAGAGTTGGCACAAATGCAGTGGGGTCTCTCATATATTGCAAGTAGGAGTGTAAATTGATACAGTATTTTTCAGGACAACCTTGGCAATATCTTTCTAGTTTTTGAATGCACTTATCCTTTGGCTTAGCAATTTCACTCGTAGGACTTTACCCTTCAGGTATACCTGTACAGGTACACTGACATAGGTATATACAAGGATGCCCATTGTTAGCGCAGCCCTCATAAAATAATTGTTTTCCCGTCAACTTCAAACCAGTCTCTGCACAGAGTTTGTTCCAAAGAAACACTACTATACTAGCCAAAAATATTTGAAAGACATTTTAAATTTTTACCAATGTCCTTAAAAAATAACAAAGGGACATCCCAGTCATGAGTCATGATGTCCAGAAACTTTTTTTTTTTTAAACGGAATCTTGCTCTGTCACCCAGGCTAGAGTTGCAGTGGCACGATCTCAGCTCACTGCAACCCCCACCCCTCTCTGGTTCAAGCAATTCCCCTGCCCCAGCCTCCCAGGTAGCTGGGATTACAGGCACATGCCACCCTGCCCAGCTAATTTTTTTATACTTTTAGTAGAGATGGGGTTTCACCATGTTGGCCAGACTGGTCTCGACCTCCTCACCTCAGGCAATCCGCTCATCTCCACCTCCTAAACTACTGGGATTACAGGTGTGAGCCACCGCGCCCGGCCACTTTTTTTTTTTTTCTTTTCTTTAAGAGGCAAGGTCTCACTGTCACCCAGTGGTGCAATCATAGCTCACTGTAACGTCAAGCTCCTGGACTCAAAGGATCCTCCCGCCTCAGCTTCCTGAGTAGCTAGGAGGTGCGTGCTACCATATCTGGCCAATTTTTTGAATTTTTGGTAGAGACAAGGGTCTTGCTAAGTGGCCCAGGCTGGCCTCAGACTCCTGGCCTTAAGGAATCCTCCCAACTTGGTCTCCCAAAGCACTGGAATTACAGGCATGAGCCACTATGCCCATCCTAGCAACACTTCTTAAAAGGTGCATCCCCATCTCTCTTTCTCCCTTATCTCTTTATCTCACATATATAGCACCTGCCCCAAATCTCTCTTCTTCCTAATGAAGTCTCTTAAAATTCTCTCTGAAACCAGCCTCAACTGCCTCTTCTCTCTTTTATTGTGCCCATTTCTCAGATTGATGACATAACAGTCCAAGAAGTGAGGAAGCTGGCAGGGAACAGAGGCAGGCAGTCAGCCAAAAACTGGAAACGCAAACCTTAGAAAGGTTCTCCCTCTGTGGCCTCAAGTCAGAAAAGGGACAATTAAGGAAAACCAGTCACTCTTGGGAGAAGCCAGGCATTGTATTCATTCCAGTTTCTCAAAGACAAGCAAAGGTAGTGGCCTGCTGGAAAACAATACGAAACTAGAGTGAGAGAAAGAGTTTGGATCTTGCCACTAATTCAGAATTAAGTATGACTTTTTGTCTTATCTCCTGCTGTGGATTTTGCTTCCAAATTCTCCTGCCCACCATCCGTGCCACTTGTTCCCTTATGAACAGAATAAACTCTCTTCTTACCATCTCTTCGGGGTGATTTTGACTTTCCTTGACTTTGAAGTTCCTCTATTAACACTGCTAAATTGAGATTGAGGAAGAAGCTGTAGTCATTATATACTTCGATTAGGGCATAAAATAATATAATCAATAATAATGGGGCTGATAATTGGACTGATTTTTATACAAAATATCACTATCTTGTTTTTTATGGGTACATAATTATACATAATTATGGAGTACATGTGATATTTTGATACATGCATAAAATGTGTAATGATCAGATCAAGATAATTAGGATATCCATCATCTTAAACATTTATCATCTCTTTGTGTTGGGAACATTCCAAATCTTCTCCTCTAGCTATTTTGAAATATACAATACATTATTGGTTTTTTGTTTATTTGTTTGTTTGTTTTTGAGATGCAGTTTCGCTCTTGTTGCCCAGACTGGAGTGCAATGGCACGATCTCGGCTCACCGCAACCTCCACCTCCTGGGTTCACGTGATTCTCCTGCCTCAGCCTCCCAAAGTGCTGGAATTACAGGCATGCGCCACCACACCGGCTAATTTTTTTGTATTTTTAGTAGAGACGGGGTTTCTCCATGTTTGTCAGGCTGGTCTCAAACTCCCGACCTCAGGTGATCCACCCGCCTCAGCCTCCCAAAGTGCTGGGATTACAGGCATGAGTCACTGCGCCCGGCTATACATTATTGTTAATTGTAGTCATCCTACCGTGCAACCAAACGCTGGAACTTATCCCTTCCATCTAACTGTATTTTTCTACCAAACACCATATTGTTTATTGTCGTATGAAACCAAGTAGTTACCTGGAGTCTGTGAAAAGTAAAGAGAGTGTAACAACCTTCTAAACTGACGTATGTGACAGGGAAAAGTGAAACCCTGGAAACTGAGTCACATAGCGCAGCTGTTTTCCTGCTCTGGTGCGTGACCATTCCTTCCAGACCTTTGTGCTGAGGTCTTTTCCATTAACCAGACTCTCTATTCTTCATTGAAACCAAGACTAAATGATGTGGAGATAGACACCCTTGTGATTGTCACCTCTTTACAGCAGAATGTTAAGCAACTCCCCTTGTGATTGTCACCTCTTTACAGCAGAATGTTAAGCAACTCCCCTTGTAATTGTCACCTCTTTACAGCAGAATGCTAAGCAACCATTAGAGTGTAATCAATAGTAGCCGATCTAGTCTTACATCTGTATGTTAGCCTTTGTATGGAAAACTGAATTCTGTTCAGCACCTCTGTTTTTGTCTATTTAAAGGATCTTCACTTTTCCCCACTCCAGGAACACTGGTCACTAGTCTTTGGTGCCCCTGTGTCCCTGGATGCTGCCCTCAAACTTTGCACTCGGGTAAACTCTTTTAGCTAGATCCTGAATCTTTTGGTTATTTTAGGTTGGCAATTCTAAGGCCTAGATCCCATCCTGATTCCCCCTCCCACCCACTTTTCCTACTGTTAAGCATTAGCTAACACTCTCAGTTCCCTCCTCTCAAGAGATAGCTGACTATTTGTAGTGTGATATGCTTGGGGGTGATTTATCATTGTTCTCTATAGATCTGTGGATCCAATTTCACATGCCAAATATAGGGCTGGTAAAAGGAAGGAGTCTTGCTACTCTAACCCACACATAATGTATTATTTGGATGTCTTATAAATGGCATTGGCCATGCCTGCACCCCCACCTACATACACACACACAAACACACACACACCTGCTTTATACGTAAGATTTTCCAGCTACAAACATTATCTCTCAGGTCTAAAAACAATACATTCTGCACAGATCATTTTTCTGCTTATAACAACTTCTGTCTCTGTCTTGAAGAAATAGTTATGTAATATATGTTTTGAATTTGGGGGGTGGGGGTATTGGTTGCTTGCTTTTTGTTTCAGTGGTAAGTATTAAGGCTAGTCTTATCTACTGTGCAAAGGTTCTTATAAGTTTGAAAATCTAGCTCTTGCAGGCCGGGCACGGTGGCCCACACCTGTAATCCCAGCACTTTGGGAAGCCAAGCCGGGAGGATCACCTGAGGTCGGGAGTTTGAGACCAGCCTGATCAACATGGAGAAAGCCCATCTCTACTAAAAAAAAAATACAAAATTAGCCAGTCGTGGTGGTGCATGCCTGTAATCCCAGCTACTCAGGAGGCTGAGGCAGGAGAATCGCTTGAACCTGGGAGGCGGAGGTTGCGGTGAGCCAAGATTGTGCCATTGCACTCCAGCCTGGGCAACAAGAGCGAAACTCCATCTCAAAAAAAAAAAAAAAAAGAAAGAAAGAAAGAAAATCTAGCTTTTGCAAACCAGAATGTTCCCTTTAACTGGCTGATAAATTGTTTAGTGGATCAGAGAGAATGGCTCCTACCTTCCTGGAGGGTTAGGATTTATATCCTCAGGAAACCACTGGCCAAAATATTCCACAAACGAACCAGTCCTCCCCGTCTCCCACCACCCCCACCAAACCCCGACCTGCTCTGTGGGTTATCACTGAACTTGCTGGTATTTCAGTTTTTTACCTGAAGAGAACTTGGCCGGCTTCAGGAGTACTCGGGACTTGGGAGGTTTGCCTGGTAGGAGCTCTTGGATCACAGTTTGTTTACTGGATACAGACTCTCTTGGGCTGTGAACCTGAATATTACACTTAGAGAGAATTTCCATGAGACTATTTTCTTCTTTTTCCTCCTCTTTCTCCTTATTCTTCTTTTGTTTCGTTTTTTCCACGGCATACTGCCACTTTATGTGCTCAAACTGGAACATGAGAACATTGCTCTCTGTGTTGACCACCATCCTGGAACCGAAACAACAGGGTTGTCCACAAAAGGACTGTGGAGGCCACCGAAAGATGCACTGCAGTTACCATCCCACCTGGTCTTTAGACTAAAGGAACAGTGCCCAGGTGATGACCAAACAGACTAGTAGTGTAGGCAGCTGGAGGGTGGAGAGTGGTGAAAGTTACCAGGAGATGCAGCAGGAGTCGTTAGCTTTGTCACTCTTTTCTTTAAAAAATAAACATGATCGGGGCACATATGTTCCGATTGTTTCACTTCTCAAGTCAAAATGCTTTTTTATTTTTTATTTTTATTTTTTTATTTTGAGAAGGAGTCTCGCTCTGTCACCCGGGCTGGAGTGCAGTGGCATGATCTCAGCTCACTGCAACCTCCGCCTCCTGGGTTCAAGCGATTCTCGTGCCTCAGCCTCTTGAGTAGCTGGGATTACAGGTACGCACCACCACGCCCAGCTCATTTTGTGTTTTTAGTAGCGACAGGGTTTCGCCATGTTGCCCAGGCTGGGCTCAAACTCCAGGACTCAATGATCCACCCACCTGGGCCTCCCAAAGTGCTGAAATTACAAGCACGAGCCACTGCGCCTGGCCTCAAGTTAAAATGCTTTTAAATGAATTTCTGTTCCTGGAGTGAGTGCCACGTACCTAGGGTGCCAAGAAGGTACTCTGCACACAGATGTCTTGAAATTCAGTGTTTTTGTTTCTTTGTTTGTTTTAAGCACAGCTTCCAAACCCAATATTACTATTGCTGCTGGGAATGAGGAAAGCTCTCTAATGGGGAGGCCTCTTCTCCTTCATAGACCCTCCACGCAGACACCACACACTCCATGCTGTCACTCCAGGATCTCTGCACACACTCTAGATGTAGACAGAACATCTATACTTTATAAAGTGAGATGATTTCTAACTTCTCTGATCCCCACTTTAATGCTCCATAGACAAAGAGCTCCGGAACTTGCCCTCCCTGTCCCCTTCCTGTGCCCCCACAGCACTGCCTCCCTAACCCACCAGTTTTACAAGCAAGCGGCTTTCCCCTTTCTGTGCTCTTCCCTTAACTATAAACAAGAAATGAAAATACTCTGCACAGGTTTCTTTCTGCTTCAAAAGGCTGCAGTGTTAAGACCTTAACCAACAGCATAAACTCTCTAGAAAAGTAACTTGTTTTGGCTGGAACTGCTGGAATGGAATGCGGGGTGTCATTCCAATAAGAAATCCCTTTTAGACTTACGTTCACTCAAGCCGAAAGAAAAACACCTTTCTTTGGATGCTGTGAGTAAAAAATGGCCAGAGTTTTGTTTTGTTTTTTTTTTTTAGCAGCATGACTGAAAAGTGTTCATTAATTGAGCCTTATTACCAGGCTGCCCTCTTTAAGATGGTAAATAATACTAATAAAGTTTCACTAAAAGGAAGGCAATATGGTTTAGGGACATTAAGAGATGTCTCAAGTGAGCTTGAAGTAGAATTTACAGGTTAGTTCTATTTGGTTATTTTCATATAATAGCACCCTGAGTCTACGCATATATAAAGCACAGTACTGTATACAATGCAGTCAGTCATGGTACTGGTTTTGTAAGCTCACCAGCTCAGCTTTCCCCCACTGTACCCCCTGCTGCTGCCACCCTCCACTCTCCTATAATGTCTCTTTGCATTAGAAGTGAGGCATCAAAGATAGCTGATAGAGCTCTCAGGCAGCCAAAGGCATGATCAAAGAGCAAGCAGGGGCTGCACATTGGTAGAACTGTGGTCCTTACAGAAGCGTTATGTTGCACCCACTGCAATTCCCACAAACACCTAGGATGAATTAAGAGTCAAAACAGGCCGGGCGTGGTGGCTCACACCTGTAATCCCAGCGCTTTGGAAGGCCGTGACGGGTGGATCACGAGGTCGGGAGTTCAAGGTGAGCCTGGCCAAGATGGTGAAACCCCGTCTCTACTAAAAATACTAAAAATTAGCCGGGCATACTGGTGGGCGCCTGTAATCCCAGCTACTCGGGAGGCTGAGGCAGAGAATTGCTTGAACCCGGGAGGCGGAGGTTGCAGTGAGCCGAGATCACATCACTGCACTCCAGCCTGTGCGACAGAGTGAAACTATGTCTCAAAAAAAAAAAAAAAGTCAAAATGAACAGTTGATTGCTTCCTGATTACTAAGTTTTGTGCAAAGCCCTGTTAGTCCCCACCACAAGACTATTGCTCCACCCAGCCAGAATTGTAGAGAGGCATTGCACACTCTCTCCTCCTGACAGCAAATCCAGGGCTGGTATCCCAGGGGAGGAAAAAAATCAAAAAATCCAACAGAATCACTCACAGTTCTGACCTCCACACCTACCACCCACCTGTTGCCCTGAATAAAGAAGGACAGCACAGGATCACCTCTGCCATTGGCTTTTAACACCTTCATACAGTTCCCGTTGAGGAAATTGTAAATTCGGATCTTGCCATCTGCACAGGCGCTGATGACCCGGAGGAAGAGAAGGGACACGTCGAGCACCTCCCTGGAAGGGAACAGAGTAGCAGGCAGTACCCATCCTCTCGTAAAATGCCTGGGTTTGTTTGTAGGTTGGGAGCATTTTGTGTGTGATTGAGCAGCACTGGCCATAACTGGCCTCAAAATGGTGTTTGCTGTCTTTTTTTTTTTTTTTTTGAGATGGAGTTTCACTCTTGTTGCCCAGGCTGGAGTGCAACGGTGCGATCTTGGCTCACTGCAACCCCCACCTACCAGATACAAGCGATTCTCCTGTCTCAGTCTCCCAAGTAGCTGGGATTACAGTGATGCGCCACCACACCTGGCTAATTTTTTTGTATTTAGTAGAGACGGGGTTTCACCATGTTAGTCAGGCTGGTCATGAAATCCTGACCTCAGGTGATCCACCTACCTTGGCCTCCCAAAGTGCTGGGATTACAGGCGTGCGCCACCATGCCCGGCCTGCTGTCATTTTATAATTGTGGAAGTAAACCGTGAGCTTCTCTCAAGACATACCTCTTCCCATTCTGCAGCTACTTTCCCCGCAATTAGGTCACAGGGCCACAAGATGACAAAACAAAAAGGCTGATGTCACAATCTTTTTTTTATCTAACATATAGATGATCATGTTTGTCTCTTGCAATTTGATTCCTAGCGTTTACTTATACAATAGTCATGCTGAGAATTATTTAATGTTTTGATTCTTTCTAAAATAGTATTATTGGCTGGGCAAGGTGGCTCACGCCTGTAATCCCAGCACTTTGGGAGGCTGAGGCGGGTGGATCATGAGGTCAGGAGATTAAGACCATCCTGGCTAACACCGTGAAACCCCATCTCTACTAAAAATACAAAAAATTAGCTGGGTGTGGTGGTGGGCGCCTGTAGTCCCAGCTACTTAGAAAGCTGAGACAGGAGAATAGCGTGAACCCAGGAGGTAGAGCTTGCAGTGAGCCAAGATTGCGCCACTGCACTCCAGCCTGGCAACAGAGCGAGACTCTGTCTCAAAAAAAAAAAAAAAAAAAATCAATAACTTCTCAAAACCCCCAGTTTCTATAGTTACTTCACAAGAAAACAAGGGAGAGTAGAAGAGGTTAACAGTCAGACAGAGAAGATGGTGGGGAAAAATGGGTCCCAGGTGGAAGAGGAGGGAAGCAGAGAGGGTGAGGTGCAGAGAACACGATGTCTACAGGGAGCAGAAGGTCTGCCAATGATTGCAGTCTAGGCTATGACGGGGAAGGGAAGGACACCAGGTTCATCGCTCCGGGCTTCACAGGCACCTACTTGGGATGCTTGAAGGCCATCAGGCAGCGCTCGTACTTCCCCACCATGCTCCAGGCCATGACCAGGCCATCAGTACTTCCTGAGAGGAGATGCCACTGGTCAAAGAACAGGCATTTCACGGCTCCCTCATGGCCACTGAGAGTCTGCAAGAAAAGATACCACTGTCTTCAACTCAGACTGTGACTCCTCCAAGAACCAAAGCTGAGGCTTCTTCAGATGAATCCCAAAGCCACCCCCCACCAATCTGTGACTGCCAGTCACTCGGTAGGTACCTGAGCTAATCCTGCTTTTGCTCTAAGAAGGCCGATGGAGGCCGGGTGCGGTGGCTCATGCCTGTAATCCTAGCACTTTGGGAGGCCGAGGCGGGCGGATCACAAGGTCAGGAGATTGAGACCATCCTGGCCAACATGGTGAAACCCTGTCTCTACTAAAAATACAAAAATTAGCTGGGCATGGTGGCACACACCTGTAATCCCAGCCACTCGGGTGGCTGAGGCAGGAGAATCGCTTGAACCAGGGAGATGGAGGTTGCAGTGCGCCAAGATCTCACCACTGCTGTGCTCCAGCCTGGTGACAGAGTGAGACTCTGTCTCAAAAAAGAAAGAAGAAAGAAAGAAAGAAAGAAGGAAGGAAGGAAGGAAGGAAGGAAGAAAGGAAGGAAGGAAGGAAAAGAAAAAATAAAAGAAAAAAAGAAGGCCAATGGAGTCCATTCCACATAGAGCTCTCTCTCGGGTTAAGGAGGAATGGGATCAGGGTGGGGCCTTGCTCCTGGTGGGTCTGTGTTTGGGACAGACACTACCTTCTTGGAGCACTAGAGAGGGCCAGAAATCACTGTCCTTTGCTGTGAGAAGGACGAAGGTAAGGTGTGCCATCCCAGCTCCTTGCCAGAACCCAGAGTGCACATGGGCCATCCCTGTGCCTGCAACCGCTGGATTGGCCATAGTGACAAGATTGGTGGGGAAATTCCACAGGCCAAGCCAGCCACTTTTCACTGTGATCCTGTGTTCCTGCTGCAAATCATATATCAACACCACCCGCTAAGGCTAGGGGTTCAGATCCAGCAAGAATATGTTTCATGACCATCCAATCACTTTCAAGACCATCCATGTTCTCTCTTCATTAGAGAGCATGGAGAAAAAAAAATTCTCTGTTCATCCCCCAGTGTTTTCTTCTTAGGAAAAAATGCTTTGTTCATCCCCTCACCCCATGCCAGAATTTTTTTTTTTTTTTTTTGAGACGCATGATCTCGGCTCACTGCAACGTCTGCCTCCCTGGTTCAAGCAATTTTCCTGCTTCAGCCTCCCAAGTAGCTGAGGTTACAAGCGCCCACCACCATGCCCGGCTAATTTTTTGTATTTTCTTTTTTTTAGTAGAGACAGGGTTTCACTATGTTGGTCAGGCTGGTCTCGAACTCCTGACCTCATGATCCGCCTGCCTCGGCCTCCCAAAGTGCTGGGATTACAGGTGTGAGCCACTGCGCCTGGCCCTACAGAGTGCAATACTCTGGAGGAGAAAAAGGTACTTCACCTCCACTGCTGTTAGAAGGCCCTGAGCCCATATCTCATGCTGAGTCAGAATGCAGCCTTCCTCTACCAACCCCATGATACCGTGGGTCATGATGTGGGTGGTGGAGCCCCTACCCTCCACAGACTCTGAATGCCTCACTTTGGGGCCTTCCCCTTTAGAGCTTCAGGACTGTCCTTCTTGAAGGTCATACTCAGTTGCTCTAGGATGACCTGAGGAGCTAGGTAGGGGGAGCCCACCCATCTCCTCCCCAGTGCCCTTTCCGCCAAGGTAGCCCACTGCCCACTTACCTTTACCAACTGGGCCATGGCAATGTGCCACACTTTCACCAGCCCTCGCTCACAGCTGCTCACAATGTAGGTATCATTGATCCTGGTGGCCAAGATGGGGTCTTTGTGTCTAAACGTCTTCAGGCACTTCCCTGTGTCTACATCCCATACTGAACAGGAGGGAGAGAGAGGAAGACATGGGAGTGGGGAAAAAGGGGGAAAAGGAAAGGTTACAGTGGAGTTCTGCTCCCCATCACAGAAGCAAAGACTCATCAAGCCCATCAAGTCAGATTCTAGAAGGACTTCCCGTGGCCTAGCACCTCCGCAGAGCAGGCTCACCAACCGCTCATGTGCCCACAGCACAGAGCGCCCTGAATACAGGTGGTTGAGGGAGCCCACAATCCAGAAGACCTTGGCTATGGCCCTGGAACTTAGCCTTGAGGCCCAAGTGCTAGACAGCTCATCTCTAATCAGCTAATTCCTCAAGCCTGAAAAATGCTTGCTATCGAGTAGATTTCATAAAAATCATGGCATACAGCTTGAGTAGGGGCAGGTAAAATTAAAAAAAAAAAAAGAAAATCATGGCATACATGTAGTGTTGTCATTTTTCCCAGATGTTGTCTTCCTGACCCACACCTTCTATCCCCAAAATGAAAGAAGGTCATCTACCCTCACTTACATTTTTAAATACTTCTGAATCTGACTTTTCAATTTTATGGAGAAATGGTCACAGCTAGGGGTGGGTTTACTGCTGCTTCAACACAGACTGTGTTAGAGCAACTGCCTGGCATCTTGTAGTGGGGATGAGAGTGGGTGGGTGGGTGGCAGAACAGGGTTTTCTAAAATGAAGAAGTTAATGCCGGGCCCAGTGGCTCATGCTTATAATCCCAGCACTTTGGGAGGCCAAGGCAGGTGGATCACCAGGTCAGGAAATCGAGACCAGCCTAGCCAACATGGTGAAACCCCGTCTCTACTAAAAAAAAAAAAAAATTAGCTGGGCGTGGTGGCGTGCGACTGTAGTCCCAGCTACTCGGGAGGCTGAGGCAGGAGAATCACTTGAACCCGGGAGGCAGAGGTTGCAGTGAGCCAAGATTGTGCCACTGCACTCTAACCTGGCCACAGAGCAAGACTCCATCTCAAAAAAAAAAGGAAGAAGTTGAAAGTGATCTCTATGAATTCAGGAATGAAAACATTAAAGTCTCCTTCAAAGGTGCTCCCCAAAAGCACCTTCTTCCTCAGGCAACAGGACAAGTGGCCTGAGACAAAATATAACAACAACCAGAGTTGACACTTGCATGGCACTAACAGCCGGCGATGACTCAAGGTGTGTGACATGCTCATCGTCACAAGACAAGTACTATTATTATTCCCCACAACACAGATGAGGAAACTGAGGCATAGAGAAGTTGGGTTGCCTGCTCAAGTCTTGCAGGTGGTGAGTGGCAGAGCCGGGATTTGGACCTAGGGAGTCTGGATCCAGAGGCCATGTGCTTAATCATTTCTGCTCGGTTAGCCCTAACTATGTAAGTATGCTTTCCTTCACTTATATTTTATGTATATATCTTGGCCCATTTATAAAATTACCAATGGGGCTCTAGTGAGGATTAAATAATGTATGTTAAGCATCTGTCACAAAACTGGTACTCAGTAAATGGCAGCCATTGTTGTTCATGGACTTATTATATTCCCCACTATATATTTATGTATCTGCTTCCATTAGGAGACAATGAGCCCTTTGAAGAAATAAAAAGTTAAATCTAAAGGGCCATATCCTATTATTTTTTTTCTCCTCAGCACTTAGCTCAGTGTGTAGCTTGTTGTAGGTATTCTACAGACAGCTGTTGAATGGATGGATTGATTGATAGATGGAAGGAAGGAAGGATGGGTGGGTGGGTGGATGGATGGATGGATGATAAAGAATAAATGACTGCCTGCCTATAGAAATGAGCAAAACAAAGCATTTTGGTAACCCGTGGGTCGGGGGAAACTTCTTAGAAAATTTAAGGCACTTCTTTCTCACCTTTTACCTGGCAATCTCTTCCTCCAGATACGAGCCTGTTCTTACACAAGTCCATGCAAGTGATAGTCCCCTGGTGACCACCGAAGATTCGTGTGCAAACCCCACTTTTCAGATCCCAGTATCTGCAGGAATCAGGCCAAAAGAATGTGAGAGTTCCTGAGGGCCCAGAGGATCATACTGCGTAGAACCCATGTAGATAAGTAGTTAGTTGGGAGGCAGCAGATTCTCATGGTTCAGCTTAGAGTCAGGGGCCTGGATTTGAATCCCAGCTGCAGCACCTATTTGGTGTAACTTTGAGGAAGTTAATTTTTGTGTTACGTTTCCTTTCCTCATTGATAAAATGGAAATAATAATAAGAGTCGTTGGTCAGGCACAGTGGCTCACCCCTGTAATCCCAGCACTTTGGGAGGCTGAGGCGGGCAGATCATGAGATCAAGAGATTGAGACCATACTGGCCAACATGGTGAAACCCTGTCTCTACTAAAAATACAAAAGTTAGCTGGGCGTGGTGGTGTGCACCTGTAGTCCCAGCTACTCAGGAGGCTGAGGCAGGAGAATTGCTTGAATCCGGCAGGCAGAGGTTGCAGCGAGCTGAGATTGTGCCACTGCACTCCAGCCTGCCAATAGAGCGAGACTCTGTCTCAAAAAAAAAAAAAAAAAAAAGAGTATTTACATCATAGGGTTTTTGTGAAGAATTAAATGGACTAATACAGTGATTGTCAATCTTGGGTAACTTCTACCCCCATAGGCCATTTGGAAATATCTGGAGATATTTTTGGTGGTCACAAGCCGGGAAGGAGGTGCCACTGGCATCTAGTGCATAGAATCCAGAGATGCTGCTAAACATCCTACATTGCACAGGGCAGGCCCCACAGTAAAGAATTTCCCAGCCCCAGATGGCAATAGTGCCAAGGTTGAGAAACCCTGCACCAGTGGAGATAACACTGGAATAGTGACTAACATGTACAAAATGCTTGATCAGTGTCAGGTGGTTTTTAGATAGAAGCGTCCTGAATGACCACCAGCCTTAGAATCCATGGCACTGATTCCACGGTACAGTGGATCTGCAAACAAGAGCAACAGAATCCTTTACCAATCACTTAGATCCAAAATATTTATGTACATATAGAGCATATCTAAGAGATAGATGGGAGCAAAGATGAATTATCTGTTTTTTAACAAGAACACTTGCCCAAGGTCTCTCAACTGCCATTGATGCTTCCGCTTCAGGTAGGCTGCTTTTGAGACAGGACAAAGCAGAATGCTGAGATAATGGTTCTGGAGAAGGCTGCCTGAAGTCCATTCCCAGGGCCATCACTTACTAGCTGTGTGATTCTGGGCAAATTACTGAACTACCACTTACCTCAGTTTCTTCATCTGTAAACTGAGAATAATAATTGTACTTAACAGCCGGGCACGGTGGCTCACACCTGTAATCCCAGCACTTTGGGAGGCTGAGGCAAGCAGATCACGAGGTCAGGAGATCGAGACCATCCTGGCTAACATGGTGAAACCCTGTCTCTACTAAAAATACAAAACATTAGCCGGGCGTGGTGGCAGGTGCCTGTAGTCCCAGCTACTCGGGAGGCTGAGGCAGGAGAATGGCGTGAACCTGGGAGGCAGAGCTTGCAGTGAGCCGAGATGGCGCCACTGCACTCCAGCCTGGGCGACAGAGTGAGACTCTGTCTCAAAAAAAAAAAAAAAATTGTACTTACTTCACAGAGTTATTGTGAGGCTTGGCACATAAAAACGATTAATATGTCTTTGTAGTTTTTTGGATATGTTAAAGCTTTTTCTTCTAATATTCCCAAGGGTTTTGCAGCCTTACCAATGCCTTACCAGTTTCTCAGAGCCTACAATGCAGCCACAGTGCATTGAATGATGGCACAGTGCTCTGAAAGAAAGCATGTTTTGAATTTCTGTTTCTAGCAATATGGTGGTATATGTCTTCAGGTTGGTTTTTTAAATTTATGCAAGAAAAGGTATTTGATAAATACTTTTAGAAAAATAGGAAAAGAAGGAACTTTCCAGATTTAGTAAAAGGTATAAGCCAAAGTCATAACAGCAGGTATTATGCTCAGTGGAGAAACTGTAGATGTATTCCCTTCCAGAAGGGGAACAAGATGAAGATGCCCACTCTCACTGCTACTGCCTGCCATGGCACTGGAAGGCCTAGGCAAAGTTAGAAGAAAAGAAAAACAAAAGGTGGTATAGGCATTAGAAAAGAAGATAATATATTGTCGGCCGGGCGTGGTGGCTCATGCCTGTAATTCCAGCACTTTGGTAGGCCGAGGTGGGCAGATCATGAGGTCAGGAGATTGAGACCATCCTGGCCAACATAGTGAAACCTCGTCTCTACTAAAATACAAAAAAACATTAGCCGCCGGGCGTGGTGGCACATGCCTGTAGTCCCAGCTACTCGGGAGGCTGAGGCAGGGGAATCCTTTGAATCAGGGAGTCGGAGGTTACAGTGAGCCGAGATCGCGTCACAGCACTCCAGCCTGGCAACAGAGCGAGACTCCATCTCAAAAAAAAAAAAAAAAAAGATAATATATTGTCATTTGCAGTTGATAGGATTGTCTACGTAGAAAAACCAATTATTGGCCAGGTGCAGTAGCTCACGCCAGTAATCCCAGCACTTTGGGAGGCCGAGGCGGGTGGATCACAAGGTCAGGAGATCGAGACCATCCTGGCTAACGCAGTGAAACCCCGTCTCTACTAAAAATACAAAAAATTAGCCAGGCGTGGTGGTGGGCGCCTGTAGTCCCAGCTACTCGGGAGGCTGAGGAAGGAGAATGGCATGAACCCAGGAGGCGGAGCTGGCAGTGAGCTGAGATCGCACTACTGCACTCTAGCCTGGGCGACAGAGCAAGACTCCGTCTCAAAAAAAAAAAGAAAAAGAAAAAGAAAAACCAATTATGAAACATACATGCTTTTACAACTAATAAGAGAGTTTGGCAAGGATGCCAGACACAAGATCAATTTACAAAAATCAATTGCATTTCTCTATGCCAGCAATAACTAATTTGAAAATATAAGCAAAATTAAGATACCATTCACAATAGTAATAAAATTATAACTGTACAGGCATTAAGTAAAAATACACAGGACTTTTATGAAGAAAACTTTAAGGCTCTAAGAAAGAACACAGATGATCTAATTGAGTGTGTTTACCAAACTAATCTATAAATTCAATGCAACCCAAATAAAGTCTAGTTAGGTTTTATTGAAAGTTGGTAAACTTACTCCAAAAACTCAAAACTTATATACTATAGCTGTTACATAAAAAAGAAAAGTGAGGCCGGGCGCGGTGGCTCATGCCTGTAATCCCAGCACTTTGGGAGGCCGAGGCGGGCGAATCACGAGGTCAGGAGATCGAGACCATCCTGGCTAGCACAGAGAAACCTTGTCTCTACTAAAAATACAAAAAATTAGCCAGGCGTGGTGGCGGGTGCCTGTAGTCCCAGCTACTCGGGAGGCTGAGGCAGGAGAATGGCATGATCACGGAAGGCGGAGCTGGCAGTGAGCTGAGATCGCGCCACTGCACTCTAGCCTGGGCGAGAGAGCGAGACTCCGTCTTAAAAAAAAAAAAAAAGAAAAGTGAAAAGTAGAATTTCCCTCCCCGTCACATTTTAAAACATTCTCCAAATGCATACCTAAAAACAAAACAAACAGTTTTCAAGGAGGGGGATTTTGATTAAAAACAGAAAGGCAGTGGACTAGATCAGAGAACTCAGGGACATTCTCATGCACATATGGGAAATTTCAATGTGATAAAGATAGCACCTCAAATCAATGCAGGAAGTGGCAGGTTATATAGTAGTTGCTGTGGGGGAGAAACTGCTCACTTTATCTAAATATGAATAAATGAAATGGAAACCCTACCTAATGCCACATACAAGGTTGAATTGCAAAGAGATTAAAAAACTGAATGCAAAAGATAAAACTGTAATGTTGATAGAAGAAAATATTAGAAAATATCTCTATGACCTAGAAGAGGGAAGAATCACAGAAATGAAGAAAAAAAAAACCCTGATAAACTGATATTTTATTACATTCATATTGAGATTTTTTTTTTTTTTTTGAGACCGAGTTTCGCTCTTGTTGCCCTGGCTGGAGTGCAGTGGCACCTCCCAGGTTCAAGTGATTCTCCTGCCTCAGCCTTCCTGAGTAGCTGAGATTACAGGCATGTGCCACCATGCCCAGCTAATTTTGTATTTTTAGTAGAGACGGGGTTTCTCCATGTTAGTCAGGCTGGTCTCAAACTCCCGACCTCAGATGATCCGCCTGCCTCAGCCTCCCAAAGTGCTGGGCTTACAGGCATGAGCCACCGCGCCTGGCCCATATTGAGAATTTTTGTTCAACAAAATTCATGTAGATACTATGAACACAGTTAATAGATAGTCCTGGCAAGAGGGTATTCTCTGGCAGATGGCCTTTGGGCTTCATCTGCACCGTTGGCTCTCCTGGGTCTCCAGCCTGCTGGCCCCACGCTGCAGATTTTGGACTTGCCAGCCACCTTGATCACACAAGTCAATACTTTATAGTAAATCTCCTATGTATATACACATTGTATTGGTTCTGTTTCTCTGGAGACCCTGACTAATACACATATGAAAAGGTGTTCAACTTCATTAGTAATCAGGAAAGTTAAAATTTAAACCCCAATAAAACACAGTGGGTTTCATTTAATACCCATCAGATTGACAAAACTGTTAGACTGTCAATAGTAAGTGTTGGTGAGAATATATAAGAAGAGATATTCTCATATGCTGCTAATGGGAATGTAAATTAATACAACCACATTGGAAAACAGTTTAGTACTCCTTCCTAGAAATTCCCATACTAAGAATATACCTTTAAAAAACTCGTGCACATGGGCACCAGGGGACACATCCAAGACCCGTCTCTGGCAGCATTCTTTGAAATAATTAAAAACTAGAAACAAGGGCCCGGCGCGGTGGCTCACACCTGTAATCCCAGTACTTTAGGAGGCCGAGGCGGGTGGATCACGAGGTCAGGAGATCGAGACCATCCTGGCTAACATGGGGAAACCCCTTCTCTACTAAAAAATACAAAAAAAAATAGCCTGGTGTGGTGGCGGGCCCCTGTAGTCTCAGCTACTTGGGAGGCTGAGGCAAGAGAATGGTGTGAACCTGGGAGGTGGAGCTTGCAGTGAGCCAACATGGCGCCACTGCTCTCCAGCCTGGGTGACACAGTGAGACTCCATCTCAAAAAAAAAAACAAAAAACTAGAAACAATGCAAATGTCCACCAACAGAAAAACAAATAAATGAGTTACGATACAATCATCCAATTTAATACAGTATCTCAGTGAAAATAAGTTAATTACTGCCACCTGCATCATATAGGTGAATCTCAAAAACAGTTCCATGTAAGAATGAGGTACCAACAAATTTTTAAAATATGATTCTTTTTATGTTGAGTTCAAAAACAGGCACAAGTAACTAATACTTCTGGAGATGTATAAGAAGGAAGCAAAAATGATTAAGAAATGCAAGGGAATCATTAGTATAAAATTAGAATAATATTACCTCTGGTTGGCAGGAAGAAGCAAGAAGAGAAGGGCACAGTGGGAGGGTTGGGGAATGGTGGTATCTTATTTCTTGGCCTGAGTAATGGATGCATGAGTGTTTGTTATATTGTTTAAAAATATACATATGTGGTTTTTTTTGAGATGGAGTCTCGCTGTGTCGCCCAGTCTGGAGTGTAGTGGCACCATCTCGGCTCACTGCAAGCTCCACCTCCCAGGTTCACACCATTCTCCTGCCTCAGCGTCCCGAGTAGCTGGGACTACAGGCACCCGCCACCACGCCCAGCTAATTTCTTGTATTTTGTTTAGTAGAGACGGGGTTTCACCATGTTAGCCAGGATGGTCTTGATTTCCTGACCTCGTGACCTGCCCACCTCAGCCTCCCAAAGTGCTGGGATTACAGGCGTGAGCCACCGCGCCTGGCCACGTATGTGTTTTTAAAGCACTATTTTGCCTCTATAGTCTGTCTCAAACCCATAAAAACCACGTTCCCCTGAAAGAGTCTGTAAGAACAAATGTAAATTATTTCTTCCTCTAAGAATGCTAATAAAGAAAATTTTTCTGATTTGCAGTCATCAATTAGAAAATATATCTGATAACTGTTATAAATCCATCTCATTCAAATTTTAAGCAATATATACATTCCTGACTTTTTCCTTGCCAAAAAAAAGCTGAAGGTATTCTAGAAGTCAGTATCTTCTAGGAAAACTGTTAAATATAAAAAGAAGAAGCATGCACACTTCTTCCATGAGCTGCCTCTAGGCCCTAGGTGGGACAGGGATCATGATGCCTTTGGACTCCTCACCTGATACTTAGGTCATAGCTCCCGCTTAGGAGAAAGTTTTCCTCCTCACACAGGAAGAGGGCCCGGACACTCCCAGCATGGCCTCGGAATTCAACGGGTATCGCTTTCACTTGTATGATGTCCAGAAGATGGATCTTTCGATTAGATGACACAGCTATCAGATCTCCCCCGGAATAGTGGATGACTCGGTTTTGATCCCACCTGAGTGCCAGGGGAAAAGGATTATCCATGAAAGAAGAGTCAGTGTCCCTCCTGGGACTGACTTAGCCCCATGACTTTTGCCTACAGCAGTGGTGTAAAGGAAAATCCAGGGCCTTTCAACAAGGGAGGCAGCAGAAGGCAAGGTCGAGAATTAACAGGCCTTGAGGGATCCCCACTCTCACACGATGACAAAAATCCATTTCCGTTAAATTTAAAAACTAGAGACACAAGGCAATTTTTTAACAATTCTGTAAATGTATGCTAAATCCCCAAGAGAGAGAATGGAGTATGTGGCATTGCCCGGATTTAATTGATCACGGAAACCTTTTTTCTTGGAAAACGTCAGAGGAACACAGTTGGGAAGTCCTGTGCACACTGTATTTCTTTTCTTTTGTTTTTTCCCTTAATCAATATCCAGTGAGCATATATTAGGTTCAAAGTCCTGTGCTAGTAGATACCACAGGAAATATAAATAATTATCAGATAAGGACCTTACTTACAATGAGCTTATTGTCCCATAAAACTAGGTGAGTTGAATTAGTCTTTCAATCATAGGATTATTAGCAAATAGGTAAAGTATGAACAGGATGACCAAATAATGTATTGTCCAAACTGAGAGTTTTTTATTGTGAAAGGGGACACTATTTATTTATTTTTAGAGACAAGGTCTTGCTCTGTCACCCAGGCTGGAGTACAGGGGCGCAATAATAACTCCCTGTAACCTCCAACTCTTGGCCTCAAGCGATCCTCCTACCTCAGCCTCCCAAAGTTCTGGGGTTACAGGCATGAGCCACCACGCCCAACCTGGGGACACTATTATTAATGACACTAGGACTGCAGACTAGAGAGGGATTGTTCCAATAAACAGGGATGTATAGTCACTCTAAATATGAGGAGCTTTGAGACCAACCTGACCAGAGAACGAAACCCCGTCTCTACAAAAAAATTCAGAAATTAGCCAGGCATGGTGGCATGTGCCTATAGTCCCAGCTACTTAGGAGACTGAGGCAGGAGAATCGCTTGAGCCCAGGAGGTGGAGGTTACAATGAGCCAAGATTGCACCACTGCAGCCCAGCCTGGACGACAGAATGAGGTTCACTCTGAAAAAAGAAATACAGATAGTATGGTGATAATTGTTCTTTAAACTACATATATATGTGTGTGTGTATATACATATATTTTTATGTATATATATACATGTACATATGTGTATATGTGTATATATATATGTGTGTGTGTATATGTACACACATATATATAAGGAGCAATTCTTGACATTTTTGCCCTTATTCCGTTGGTCATACCTAGAATTCAACTAGTCACCATCTCTTCTAAAGAGCAGTTATCACCACACTAAGCATAAAAACTCAACTTTGCCTTTCCCCTGTCTTATCTGTTCTGTCTTCCCCATACCGACTGTTCTATTATCAAGATGCAATTTGTTAATAAGATTCATGGCCAAAAATAAAGTAGAAGTGGACTTTGCAAAACCTTGTGAATATAAAGTGAAGTCCTAGGCCCAAAATATGGCAGAAAGTTGCTTATTAAAGGAACTTCGTCTCTCAGCATATTGAAATGATGTCAGAGTATGCAATTATAAATACGATTGTCATATTTACCATGGGAAGATATCTATAGTACTTTGCTGGGCTGGGTTACAGAAATATGTGTAATATAACACCACTTCTACTAAAATATGTGCTAAGTATGCAAAGAAAAGAATTCTAGAAGGGTAGACATCAATATTAATGGTGGTTATTGCTAGGTGATAGACTACAGGAAAACTTTGCCTTTCTCTATACATTTTCTGGCATTTGAAAGATTTTTTCCAATAACCGTATATTATTTCTAAAATTAATAAAACAAAATAAAGATATTTCAAAAAATAAAGATTTTATGTGTGACTTGTGCAAAAGGTTGTTGGTCAGCATACCCAAAATTTAGAAAGGGAAAGTGTCCTTTACCCACTGCCAAGAATGGTGCAAAATGAAGCAGGTATTGTCTACATGGGATCATGTGCAAGTTTAGGGCTGGAGCTTGAGGTGAGGAGAGCTTGCCTTTCCATGTACACAAAGGTCAGGGAAATCCCAAATGTCAGTGTGGGTAACTCAAGCATCCCTAGAGACCCAGATTCTGACCCCAGTACCTACGTGTCAGAGAGAATGCGAACATTGTAGGTCCCACAGAAAACATTTCTCTCCTCTATCAGGACCTGCTGCGTTTCCTCGTTCTGGTATGCAGTCCACAGGTTGTACTCATTCTAACAAGGGAATATTTGAAGTTAAAGCTCAGTGGTAACTTCAAATACCCACAGTCCCAGAGCCCCTAGGGTCTCCCTGGTAAGGGCACAGGGCTCACGGATTCTTCCTCTGAAGGCTGAGGCTGCTGCTCTGCAGAGAAGGGAGCAGCCAGTGAGCAAGCACCAAAGGAAACCATGAGTTAGAAAATGTTGGGTCAAGGTTCTTAATTCTTCTTTCATCTCTTTGATTTTCCATGTGCCCTGATTCCATGAACTTTCAAGGCTGAATTCCAAATGTCACCAATAACACAACTTTTTCAAAAATCAGCTCACAAAGGGTATCCTCACAACATAAAGTCACAGGTGCCCTTTGACCGACCATTTCACAGAAGTCGGAACGTCATATGTATATTACATCTACGTGATAGTACAAAGCACACTCAGGGGATTTTAAGCCAACTGTGAAATTACTGCTACACATGCTATGCTATGCATTTGCATTTTTTTTTTTCAGACGGAGTCTCGCTCTGTCGCCAGGCTGGAGTGTAGTGGTGCGATCTCAGCTCACTGCAACCTCCGCCCTCCTGGGTTCAAGTGATTCTCCTGCCTCAGCCTCCAGAGTAACTGGGACTACAAGCGTGCACCACCATGCCCAGCTAATTTTTGTATTTTTAGTAGAGACAGGGTTTCACCATGTTAGCCAGGATGGTCTCGATCTCTTGACCTTGTGATCTGCCTGCCTCGGCTTCCCAAAGTGCTGGGATTACAGGCGTGAGCCACCAGGCCCGGCCGCAATTTTTTTAAGACGGAGTTTCACTCTTCTCACCCAGGCTGGAGTGCAATGTCATGATCTTGGCTCACTGCAACCTCCGCCTCCCGAGTTCAGGCAATTCTCCTGCCTCAGCCTCCTAAGTAGTGGGGATTACAGGCATGTGCCACCACGCCTGGCTAATTTTTGTATTTTTAGCAGCGACGGAGTTTCACCACGTTGGCCAGGCTGGTCTCGAACTCCTGACCTCAGGTGATCTGCCTGCCTCAGCCTCCCAAAGTGCTGGGATTACACGTGTGAGCCACCACGCCCAGCCTGCATTTGCATTTCAAAGTTTTCATACATCTGCAACTTTCATTTGTCCTTGTAGCTGCCTTACAAAGTAGATCCCTTGCCCCACAAAATGTTCTCATTATTTTACAGATAAGGTATCTGGGACTCAGGGAAAGGAAATCAATTTTATCAAGTCGTGACAAGGGCGCTTTCATTTGCTTCCCAATCTTTCTTTATTTCCTTCCTGCCTGCCTGCCTTCATTCCTCCTCCCTCCTTCCCTCCCTCCTTTGCTTCCTCTATCACACACCTTCTGGCATTCCAGACATGCTAAATTCTGGCATAGATGACTGAACTAGACTCTCAGTTCCATTTATATTCCCTGCCATATTCTATCCTCAAATAGCCAGAAATAACAGTCCCATTAGACTAGCAGGAAGAAAAAGCAGAATATATTTATCTTGAAGGCAAAGAAGAACACAGCATCATGTTTGCACCTGAGAGTCCTCTTGGGGACATCTCTGAAGTCTCCTTCCAAACCTTAGCCTTCTGCTCCATGCCTTTAGACTCTTCCTCAGATGCCCTCTTTCCTCTGCTCCCTCTCCTTCTTAATCTTTAACCATGTAGTCTATCTCTGCTCAGAAGAATCTGCCAACCTGCCTCCCCTCCAGTGTCCAGGGAGTTTTCCATATCCCAGCCTGAATTAAATAATGCTGCCCTGGATTCTCCCAACCCAGGTGAGAATTCATTGGCCCTTGCTCATCTCCTAAGTTTTGTGAGCCCAAGAAGCCACATGGTGGAGTCATTGGGAAGGGAAAGACCTGAGTTTAAATTCCAGCTCTGCCACTGCCCAGCTGTGAGACCTCGGCCACTTTCTCACACCATATCCTTCATTTCCACATCCATAAACTGGGAGCAACAACACCTCCTCGATCTATGGTGAAATCAAGTAAATGCTGTATGCAGAGCTGCGGGCATCAGGCACACAGTTTACACTCATGCTATTACTCACCACCCTGAGAAGCACTCACCTCCGCTTTTCCTAGGAGACTCTGTAACTGCTTAGTCTTGCTATTTCATGTGTTCTCCATACTGTTTCACCTGCTTCTCTGCTTCTCTCCCTTTTCTCTCTCTTTCTTTTTTTTTTTTGAGATGGAGTCTCGCTCTCTTGCCCAGGCTGGAGTGGTGCAGTGGCGTGATCTCGGCTCACTACAACCTCCATCTCCTAGGTTCAAGTGATTCTTCTGCCTCAGCCTCCCGGGTAGCTGGGATTATAGGCATGCACCACCATGCCTGGCTAATTTTCTATATTTTTAGTAGAGACAAGGTTTTGTCATGTTGGCCAGGATGGTCTTGAACTCCTGACCTCAGGTGATCCACCTGCCTCAGCCTCCCAAAGTGCTGGGATTACAGGCATGAGCCACTGCGCCTGGCCCCTTTTCTTAAATTACACATGTAAGAATTAAAGAAAGAGGAGAGAAAGGCGAAGGGTGGCTTGACAGTCAACAGGTTTATTTCAAATCTGGGAGGGAATTCTGACCGAGTTACATTAGAAGCCGCACTCTCTTACAGACTAAGAGTCTTTAAGGATTCAGGGTGGGAGAGTTTATCAGATGCTTGGACTGCTTCTGTGTCTCTTTGTTGTGCTTATCTGGGAGGGAGAGTTGTGTGTCTGTCCCTATACATCTTTCTGCAGCTGCAGGCATACCCCCGAGTCTGCTTTAGCTTCACTATCTTAGTGCACTTGAATGGAAAGGAATGTGCTCATGATGGCCCACTGTTTTACTCAGGCCCACTGTATGAGGGTGAAGTTTGGTAGTTACCCAAGAGACTGTCCCCCCACTTCCCTCTGTGCCCTAGATGTCTTATCTGTGTTTTACTGTCTGTTCTTTCTGGCTGCTTGTAGTTAGAAGAGATTTCCTTGAAATGCATGAGACTAGAAAGGGACCTGGAACTTAAAGTGGCGGTGTTTGTCCAAGATGACAGTACAATTCTGTCAATACAGTCCAGTTCTGTCAAAACATTCCTAGAATGTCAAACACTGGCTGGGTAGTCCTTCTGTTGGGCCATTACTGACTGTATCACCCAAGGAAGAAGGGTATTCTTTGTGTTATACTTAAAAGAGCAACAGACTTGAAAACAAAAACAGGTCCACGTTCAAATGAATGCCTCTTTCACTCAGCTGGCTGGGAGAGCTTGACCTCTCTGAGCCTCAGTTTCTTTATCTATAAAATGGGTGAAGGGACCAGCTCAGAAATGAAAAACTGCAGGTCAAAGGAAATCCAGAAATGTGTTTTCTTTTTTTTTTTTTTTGAGATGGAATCTCACTCTGTCACCCAGGCTGGAGTGCAGTGGCGCAATCTCGGCTCACTGCAAGCTCTGCCTCCCGGGTTCACACCATTCTCCTGCCTCAGCCTCCCGAGTAGATGGGACTAGAGGCACTGCCACCATGCCTGGCTAATTTTTTGTATTTTTAGTAGAGACAGGGTTTCACTATGTTGGCCAGGCTGGTTTCAAACTCCTGACCTAGTGATCCGCCCGCCTCGGCCTCCCAAAGTGCTGGGATTACAGGCGTGAGCTGCTGCACCTGGCCCAGAAATGTGTTTTCTTTGGCCTATGTAGTTTTTAAAACTGCTTTTAAATGGTTGCCAGCATTTAATAAAAGCAAGAGATTTCACATAATACCTCAGGTTTCTATCTTCCAAGACTTAGATGGTCTAGCAGGTCAGGGGCCTCAAGACAATCTCTCAAGACAATAATTAGCCAGAACTGATGAGCAGCTGGCCCTTCAGATGCAGGTGAACTGTCCAGTCCATGACAGCCACACCGTCCGCTACTGCCCACACGACCCGTCTCCTCCTTTGTGTCACCTGCCTGGCCCCTACAGGTCATATGAGCTAGATGCTCTCTCTGGATGCTTCTGTTTCTCAAATTCTAATTTAACATAGCTGCCTTATGGGAAGCGACAGTCAAACCATCCCTCATCAACTATCCTTTTGGGGCCAATTAAATAGACTTTAAAATAGACTTTAAGCAGAGTGGGGGGCAGAAATCTAATGGTTTTAGGAATATCAACCATGCCTTGATAGTCAAAGCAAAGAGCTCGAAGAGTCTTCCGGTCACTCTTCATTATTGCCCAAGAACTAGTGGAAAGGGCTATATTTAGTTAACTCTCCCCTTCCATCCTAGAGCCAGAGTAAACCTGGAAGTGAGGGATGAGGGAGCCGAATTCGTCTAGGCCCTAGGCATTCTGGAACCAGCCCTGGCCCTCCCCTCGGGTCCTCCTCAAATTCCTGAGCAGCAGATGCTGGAGCCTCCAGAGGCATGGGCTGATGGGGTTGCTCCTGGCCTCTGAACTTGCCACTAAATGACCTGGTGCCATGGACACAAAACACGGCCAGGGGCTTTGAAGTAAGGAAGAACCCTGAGAGGACAACCAAATCAATCCACCCATCCAACACATGAGTAAAGCAAGGCTTAAGAAGAGGAAGTGTCGGGCTGAGCGCGGTGGCTCACGCCTGTAATCCCAGCACTTTGGGAGGCCGAGGCGGGAGGATCACAAGGTCAGGAGATCAAGACCATCTGGGCTAACACGGTGAAACCCCGCCTCCACTAAAAAAAAAATACAAAAAATTAGCCGGGCGTGGTGGCGGGCTCCTGTAGTCCCAGCTACTCAGGAGGCTGAGGCAGGAGAATGGCGTGAACCCGGGAGGCGGAGCTTGCAGTGAGCCAAGATTGTGCCACTGCACTCCAGCCTGGGTGACATAGCGAGACTCCATCTCATTAAAAAAAAAAAAAAAAGAGGAAGTGTCTTGTAAGTCAGTAGCAACACAGAACTCTCGTCTTCCTTAAGGAGTGTCACCTGCCGTGATCCTCTGTCCTCACTCCAGGGCTGAGTCTGGACCTCAGCCTTCAATGACAATTAGAATGAGACGCTCACAGCTACTTGCCCCAGATGCTGTTGGAACCCACCTTCGTTCTCAGCTTCCACTTCGGATGTTTCACACGCATGCTCTTCCCGTCATCTACCATTTTAGGAACTGGGATAGAAACCTTATTGGCATAATTAGGATCAATTCCTCTTGTGTAGGACCCCTGGAAAAAGACAAAAAATAAAAAATAAAAATAAAAACAGAAAATGGCTTCTCTTGGCTCCAACTCTGCAGGAGGAAGGGAAAAACTAGTTCTTGGCAAAATGTGAAGGATGGGTAAGCCCTGGCTGCAGCAGGCAGGCCCACTTCTGGCCAGTTCCTCTGGCAGTGTGTGCAGATCGAATGGAGGAGAAAAATAAACACCAAATGCCACAGGGGGACCAGTAAAGACGGTCAGACTGTCGCCAGCCTCACCATAGCTGCTGCTTCTCATCCTCTGTCCTCTCTGCTGGGGGAAAAAAAATCCAAGTTACCAAAATCCATGGTTTAGGGTGAGACTTCTGGCAAGAAACTGAGAAGTAAAAATGCTGGAGAAGATTGCCATTGGGGAAAATTTCATTTTAACTTAAAAAAAAACTTTGCAGCCTTATAAACATCTGTGCTCCATATGAGGTTGATGCAGAGACACATTTATGGCTTTCTTGCTGCATAAGCTGCAATATAACTCCCTGGGGGCTGGGGGTTCTCTGCTTTGTGAGGTGTTGGAAAGGCTCTGTCTCTCTGCTCCTGAGCGGTCTCTATCCCTATTGTCCTTGTGAGATGCACTGACAATGAAAGAGTACTCAGTTATTAACAGGAGTTTGGACCAAAAAGAAGGGACCCAGGAAGCCTAAAAGGCCACAAATGTAGAGGAGGAGGCCAGCTAAGGGTTTACTGAAAGGTCCACAGTCATATCAGCCTCAACACGAAAATGAAGCTGGTCTCAGACATTCCCCTTTCAGACTTGCAGGAAGTACCTGCAAGAAGGTAATCTGGTTCTGAATGAAGCCGTGCGCTGACAAGTCCATCTTGACCTGTTGAGCCATGGCGGCCCAGTGCTGGCTCACAGAGGCGCACTTGTTCAGGGTGTGTCTATCCAGCATTCCTGGAAAAAAAAAGATGGACCCAGAAACCCCAGAACTGGGCCAAGAGGGGAGGTGTCTGGGAAATCCCCTCATACACCCCAGCATACTTAGAATGTACTTGGAGAGGTGGATGGGCAGGTAACGGATGAAGTCTCGGTATTTGCTGAACCCAGAAGACAGGTCTCTGATGTCATCCAGGTCAACCAATAGATTGCAGGGATCGTACCCTGGCTTGGTTATGTCTCCTTTTCCAGAAAACAGCCTATTCATTTCGGATATACACCGGAGTGAATTCCTCCATGGTTCCTCTAGAGTGAAGCCAGAGAAAGGTACGTGGTTGAGTTGGCTCTGTAGAAACTCCAGGCCAAGAACAAGTCCCCACCAAAAGCTCTCCCAGAAAATAAACCTCCTCAGACTCTAACCTTAGGCCACTAGATTTTTGTCATCTCTTCTGCCACTTGAGAATAGAATCTTTTTTTTTTTGAGACGGAGTCTCGCTCTGTCGCCCAGGTTGGAGTGTAGTGGCGCGATCTCGGCTCACTGCAAGCTCCGCCTCCCGGGTTCACGCCATTCTCCTGCCTCAGCCTCCTGAGTAGCTGGGACTACAGGAGCCCGCCACCACGCCCGGCTAATTTTTTGTATTTTTTTTTTTTTTAGTAGAGGCGGGGTTTCACCGTGTTAGCCAGGATGGTCTCGATCTCCTGACCGTGTGATCCGCCCGCCTCGGCCTCCCAGAGTGCTGGGATTACAGGCGTGAGCCACCGCACTCGGCCGAGAATAGAATCTTTTGACCCATATATACATGTACTTTTCAGCTTTTTCAGCCCAAGGAGAAGTCTAGAGTATCAGAGTCTGAAATGATATTGTGCCTGGAATTTTCTTAAAAATACTCCAACAAGAAAAAATTTTAAACAACTTAAGAAAGGGGGGGAAATGAATGGAATAAAATTGGTAAAGTGTTGATAATTGTTGAAGCCAGTGCTATGTGGGTGGTTATCATACTGTTCTACATACTTTTGAAATTTGAAATTTTCCATATAAAAGTGTTTTAGAATCTATGCCTTGTATTTCCTATGATATTGTGTTTCCGATGATATTTCATGTATATGTCTTGCTTCAGTTCCCAACTTTGGAGTGCCTTGAGGTGGGGAACCAAATTCCCCATTAATTTTGTTCCCTCCTCAAGACTGAATCCAATACTGCAAAAATAGCCATTGGTGGGTTTAATTCTAGAGCTGGCCACCATGCCAGAGCCCAGGGACTAGACAATGGATTGTGGCCCAGAGCAGAGAAAGACTCCAAAGGAAATCATTGATAGTTTCCTTTCTGATCTCTATCTTCAGATGTGTCTTGTGGGCACTGCAGCGGAGAGGTGCAAATATGGGTTTGGGGGCCATATTGATCAATTTAATCCTTGCTCCTCCCCTTACCAGCTGTGAGAATTAGATGGGAAAGTAATGTCAAAGAGCCCAGCACATTGTAGATGCTAAATGAATGTGAGTTCCTCAAATCTGCCATCCCCAGATGCTATCACCCTGCCAGCCCCTCCAGTTCCACTGGGTCTTCCCAATCTCACATTGGTTGCATATTGGCTTTCTTTTTTTTTTTTTTTTTTTTTTTTGAGACAGTCTCGCTCTGTTGCCCAGGCTGGAGTGCAGTGGCATGATCTCGGCTCACTGCAAGCTCTGCCTCCCGGCTTCACGCCCTTCTGCTGCCTCAGTAGCTGGGACTACAGGTGCCTGCCACTGCGCCTGGCTAATTTTTTTGTATTTTTAGTAGAGACGGGGTTTCACCGTGTTAGCCAGGATGGTCTCGATCTCCTGACCTCATGATCTGCTTGCCTCGGCCTCCCAAAGTGCTGGGATTACAGGCATGAGCCACCGCACCTAGCCCATATTGGCTTTCTTGCTGAAAGTTCACTTACCAGGGTTAGATGCTGCCCCAAGCAAGTGTTCATTTTCTGGGGCTTTGGACAAAGGAAGGGATGTGTGCTGAGTTTTGGCTGTCCAATAGACTTGTGAGGTCGCAGACTTGGAGCTGTGGTCTTTCTCAGGGGAAAAACACACATCTGTGATGTCTTGATTGAGCCCTGAAACACAGAAGACCAAGACAAGGTTGCTCTTGAAGCGGGTGTGTTGAGGAAAATGAGGTGGAGAGAAACTTTTTCATTTTTTCTTCCTTCTTTTAAAGATGTACAGAATGGACCAGAGCAGTTATGTCTGTTTTTATTTGGGGCCTCCAAACTTCTATGCAAAAATCTCAGAAAGCTTCCTGTTAGCTTTTCAGCACGCCCCCATTGTAAAATTTCTCGAGTTGTTTATACAAGCAGAGAGAGAGAGAGTCGAGGTCAGGAATTGCAACAGGGAATGCTCTTCGGAAGCTCAAGCTGAATTTTCTTCAATGATAGAAATAACCACCCTCGAGTCAAAATAGAACATTTAACTTTTTTTTGGTTTGTTTGTTTTTGGTTTTTGAGACTGAGTTTTGCTCTTATTGCCCAGGGTGGAGTGCAATGGCTCGGTCTTGGCTCACTGCAACCTCCGCCTCCTGGGTTCAAGTGATTCTCCTGCCTCAGCCTCCCAAGTAGCTGGGATTACAAGTGCATGACACCTGGCTATTTTTTGTATTTTTAGTAGAGATGGGGTTTCGCCATGTTGGCCAGGCTCGTCTCGAACTCCTGACTCCAGGTGATCCACCCGCCTCGGCCTCCAAATGTGCTGGGATTACAAGCGTGAGCCACTGCGCCCAACCAGAACATTTAATTTTTTAAGAGAGAATCTGCTCTAAGAAAAGAGAAGGTTGTTGGCCCGGCGTGATGGTTCATGCCTGTAATCCCAGCACTCTGGGAGGCTGAGGCAGGCGGATCACAAGGTCAGGAGATGGAGACCATCCGGGCTAACACGGTGAAACCCCGTCTCTATTAGAAATACAAAAAAAATTAGCCGGGCGTGGTGGCGGGCACCTGTAGTCCCAGCTACTCGGGAGGCTGAGGCAGGAGAATGGCGTGAACCCGGGAGGCGGAGCTTGCAGCAGTGAGCCAAGATCAGGCCACTGCACTCCAGCCTGGGCAACAGAGTGAGACTCTGTCTCAAAAAAAAAAAAAAAAAAAAGAAGGTTGCCACAACCTGTAATAGGACTTAACACAACTCCAGTGTAAATAGCCCATTCCTATGGTGAATGGGATGAAGTTTTGGAAGAGCACTGTGGAGCATTGCATCTGTGTGTACAAGCCAGGCCTTCCGCTGCTGGCAGCACTCACTCCAGAGTGGAAGGGGCCCAGGAGGGGATCCTGGTTTTCAGCCCACGTGGTGGGTGACCTAAGCAAAGTCAGATGCCCTGGACTTTGGTCTCCTTATGTAAATATTAAGGATATTAAGTCGGTTGATCTCCAGTCTAACTTACTGTTTTTGACACCCTAGGATTCACTGTGTCTTCATTCTATATTATCATTCTTCTATACCCCTGACACACCAAATAAATCAAGTGACATATATTGTGATCTAATTGTGTCCTAGGCCATCCAGCTTTAAAATTCTTTTGGATTCCACTAGTCTACAAATATGACCACCTGTCAGGTCGCACTGGTGACAGGAATTACACACCTTCAAGAGCTAAAACTCCAAAACGCCTCCATGTGACCACCCCCTCCCAGCTTTCTCCCACCTCTGCTTAAATCTGAGCTTCCCCATGTTGGACCTTCCACTCCTGGACCCCTCCAAAGCTCAATTCTCTTGCCTCCTGATACAGTTTGGATATTTGTCCCCTCCAAATCTCATGTTGAAATGTGACCCCCAGTGCTGGAAGTAAGGCTTGATGGGAGGTTTTTGGGTCATGGGGGCAGATTCCTCATGAATAGCTTGGTGCCCTTCCCACAGTAATGAGTGAGTTCTCGCTCTATTAATATAGTTCGAGCAAGAGCTGGCTGTTTAAAAGAAACTGACACCCCTCCCCTTCTCTTGCTACTTCTCTTGCCTCATGATACATTGATTTCCCTTGCATTCCACCATAAGTGGAAGCTTCCTGAAGCCCTCACCAGAAAGAGATGCTGGTGCCATGCTTCTGGTACAGTCTTCAGAACTGTGAGCCAAATAAAACTCTTTTCCTTAGAAATTTCCTTATAAATTACTTAGCCTCAGGTATTCCTTTATAGCAAAGCAAAACAGACACCACCCTTATTGTTTCTTCTGCTTCCCTGAACTATCTGGCCAAACACTTCCAAGATTCTCCAACACCCTAGGCCTGTGATTCTCAAAGACAGATCCCCAGACCAGCAACATCAGCACTAGCTGGAAACTTGTTAGAAATACAGAATCCCTGGTCGAGTGCAGTGGCTCACGCCTGTAATCCCAGCACTTTGGGAGGCCGAGGCAGGCGGATCACGAGGTCAGGAGTCCGAGACCAGCCTGGCCAGCATGGTGAAACCCCATCTCTACTAAAAAATACAAAAAAATTAGGACATGGTGGCACGCACCTGTAGTCCCAGCTACTTGGGAGGCTGAGGCAGGAGAATTGCTTGAACCCAGCAGGTGGAGGTTTCAGTGAGCCAAGATCGCACCACTGCACTCCAGCCTGGGTGACAGAGCGAGACTCCATCTCAAAAAAAAAAGAAAAGACATACAGAATCCTGGGCCCACCTCAGACCTGCTGAGTCCGAAGTTCTGGGGGAGGAGCTTGTTTTAACAGGTCCTGCTGGAGATCCTGATACAAGCCACAGCTGGAGAACTACCACCCTAGACTTATTTGGCCCTTAAGCTATCTCCAGCCTTGGAGAAACTCTACTTTAAGGTTTCATTTCATGGATAAGCAAGGAGCATGGTAGAGTGAATGAAAAAAAAAAAAAAAGCCCTAAGTTTTGACTTCTTGGTCTGGTTTCTGTGCAGGGCAGCTGAAGAGAAAAACAAAAGCTTCCCCTTTACAACCCTCTCGAGCTCAGTCCAATCCCTAAAGCAGGAACGACACCAGCATTAAGGGGTCAGGGGCAGGGACCAGCCATTTCTGGGCCTATGAGATGCAGAAATCCATGATAAATGCTTGTGAGTTAAAAGTTGTGTACTTCCTCCTGCATTGATCATTTTCAAGAAGGAAGTTACACTCAGTCATTTCTCCTTTGGTAAACAGGATCGGGTGTCAGGACAAGGTGTCAGTTCAAAAAACCTATGCTGAGTTCTGTGCAATCTCTGTCTACCTATGTTGTCTACAACTGCAGTTCCTTACAGATTTCTGAAGCCTTGCCTTCTGGTCTTCGGGGGCCCTCTAGTCTCTGCCTGTGGCCTTGTTTACCTGAGATATTGTTCTCCTCTCTCAGAAACAGGACTCTGATCACATTGGCAGCAGTGAGCAGTAATTTGGGGTTGCACATCTGCAGCAGTAAGAGAGTATAATTCGCCTTGGTCCACTGGGTGCTGTTCGCAAACCAGTACAAGATCTCTTTCATCTTCTGTTCTACTGTTTTATCCAACATTTGGTTCAAGGAGGACTTCACAACTTTCCCCTCTTTCTTGCTGAGGTTGATCCGGGACCTGTTATAGATGAAATCCTTTCCCTGTGTGGTCTGAAGGATATTTTGGAAATAGTGTAACAAATATAAGCTATTTAACTGCTTCAGAATGCCAACTAGAAACCTCCTCTGTGATATGTCATTGATCCTGCAGAACCACTCTTTGGTAGAGAAGATCTTCCAGGCTAAGACACACGTCTCACACTTCCGGCATAGAGGGATGGAATCGGTTCCCTTCTCACAACGAAAATAGGGGGCATTCTTGAGCCTTGATTCCAGGTTTTCCATGATCCTAAGATAACCAGTCCATTTTAGCCCTGCGCACTTGCAACGGCAACGCCACCAAACACTAGAGGAACGGGGGGAATGAATAAATACCCCAGTTGTGCCTTTTCTATTACAAACGTCTCCCAGAGCAAAAGTAAATGGCTGCCATGGATGGAAAGCCTATCTCTCTCAGTAACTGCCAGCAGAAGTCTGGCTTTTTGTACAGACCTCCTTGGAAACATGGCTTTACCGTAAATCTCCTAAACCTGGCACTGCTTTATGTGGAGGCAGTTGCTGTATATTCTGAAAGAGCTGGTCATCTCATTTCTAGAACAACAAGAATACTGTTAGTCAAATTTAAGTAATATGTGGACTATTACTGGTATTGCACTTTAATTATTGTTGTTATATATGGCTTCTGAATATTCATGAATATAAAATAAGATGCAAACTTCTTATGTTTATATCTGTTCAGTTACAAACTGGCTATCCCAATGATGCTAAATATGTTTATATTCATTTTCTTAAGTCATCATCAAAGTAAAACCAGAAATGTTTAATGTAAATTTAAGTTATTTAACTGCTTCACAATACTAACCAGAAATCTCACTGTAGTCAAAGGGCCCAGGCAAAACATATTGGGCAGCTCACAGAAAGAGTTTCAAAGTCATGCTGAGATAATTCTCCTACTGCAGGTAAGACTCGGTTCAAACATTGACTCTGGTACTTAGGAGCTATATGGTCTCGAGCAGGCAACCTGTCCTCTCTGAGCCTCAGTGTCTCCATCCTAGTTATGAGGATGGAGAAGATAAAGGTGGGTAATAAAAATGATAACTACCTTCTAGGATTGCATTAAATATATGAGATCAGTTGTTGCTGCTATTGTTACTGTTACTAAGTATTATTACCCTAGATAAAATCAAAAGGTTTGCAATATTGTGTGCCTTTCTAATGCCCATGTTGAAAGACCAGGCACAACCAGAGAAAGGTAATGGAGTCCATCGCTGGGGTTTTGTTGGCAATGGCAGTCACATACTAGGGTCAGAATGGGGAATAAGAATCAGGTTAAGAATGAGATCAGTTCTCACAGCTCAACCTCTTCTGTCTGAAGAGGAATCTGGAGAAAAGGCATGAGTAGATTAATATTTAATTAATCGGGAAGGCCAGACAAAGGAGGGTGGCAAAGAGAAGGGAGGCCCGAAGCAGACTCTTTGGATCTGTAAGGCGAGCACGTTACCCTAAGAAGTGCTGCAAGCTAAAAGTAGCTCTTTTTTTTTTTTCGTAATTAACTTGTTTATTTATAATTGACAGATTATAAATAGCTTGTTTTTAAAGATTTAAATAAATTAGGATTTTAATCTATGAGGCTGACATTCTTCAAGGAAGCATTTTTTTTTTTTGGAGGCAGAGTCTCGCTCTATCCCCCAGGCTGGAGGGCAGTGGTGGCATCTCGGCTCACTGCAACCTCTGCTTCCCGGGTTAAAGTGATTCTCCTGCCTCAGCCTCCCGAGTAGCTGGGATTACAGGCATGGGCCACCATGCCCAGCTGAGTTTTATATTTTTAGTAGAGACGAGGTTTTGCCACGTTGGCCAGGCTGGTCTTAAACTCCTGACCTCAAGTGATCCGCCCGCCTCAGCCTCCCAAAGTGCTGGGATTACAGCGTGAGCCACCACCCCAGGCCAAGGAAGCAGTTTTAATCACCCAACTCAGTCTTTATTTCACATTTCAGGGCCACAAACTTGGGAGTCAGAGAGACTAGATTTCAGACATGAGTCTTATCCCCTCTCCCTCAACACTGCACACACACGGTTCTCCTCAAACACCTGTGGACCATAGTATGTTGTTGCCCCTCGGCACCTCCTTTTCTAAACAGCTTCTTTGAGAAGATGACAACGGGCTGCCTCCTGAGAATAGAGGGACAAGGGGTGCTCTAGAGCAAGTGAGTGCGAGAGGACAGCGCCTCACTCCCTTCCTCCCTGCCTCCTGCTGGCCTGCACCTTTCAGAGGTTGGGCCATACACCTGACTTTGGGGGGAAGTTGAAGCCATTTGGGATCTGATGTTACAGTTAAAAATGTGGCCTTAGGCCAGGCGCAGTGGCTCATGCCTGTAATCCCAGCACTTTGGGAGGCTGAGGCAGGCGGATCACGAGGTCAGGAGATCGAGACCATCCTGGCTAACACGGTGAAACCCCATCTCTACTAAAAAAAAAAATACAAAAAATTAGCCGGGTGTGGTGGCAGGCGCCTGTAGTTCCAGCTACTCGGGAGGCTGAGGCAGGAGAATTGCGTGAACCCAGGAGGCGGAGCTTGCAGTGAGCGGAGATGTGCCACTGCACTCCAGCCTGGGCGAGAGAGCAAGACTCTGTCTCAAAAAAAAAAAAAAAAAAAATGCGGCCTTGGCACAGGGCAGGATAGATGGGCCAGATGGGATAGGCCAATGCGGGGACATGGCGCCAGTGGTACTCAAACAGGCAGGTGGGCAAATAGGCCTCATCAGACCGACTCACAGGAGTCCAGTGGGGGAGAGCACTTCTCCGAGGAAGGCTATAGGATGCGAAGGACATCTGCGACCTCTCAAGTATTTAGGCTACGAGCAGCCTGGAGGCTTCATGCCAGTCCCCTATCTTTCCTTTCTGCCCTGTTTTATTCACGATCCCGATAAAACCTCCTCAGCACACAACCCTAAATCTGCACTTGCTTTTCCTGCCTTCCCACATAGTATGGAGAAGCTTGGAAGGTGCGGCCGCTGCTGGGCCAGATAGAGGACAATGTGTCACACCCATCCGGCTCTGATGTCACACTTGACACTGCACCAGAGGACCTGAGCCTCTGCTGGCTCCAGCCCAGCCCCTTTGCCTTCCCCTGCTGCCACCTGGCCTGGCCAGCCAGCAGGGACTCAGGAAAGCACACAGGTTTCAGAGTAGGAGGGCAAGGAATGAACTGGGCTCTGCCACGGAGCAGCTTCATATGCCTGAATAATTCACTTGCTAGTCTCAGCCTGCTCCTCTTCCATGAAGTAGAGACCATGGTCCTACCTAGCTCATAGGTGGCTGTCGGGGTCAAATGAGTAGACTTTTACACCATGTGAGGAGCTAACAATTATTATTAGTATCATTAGGGAGTGTGGAAAAAGTGTGATATCTCATCTCTCGCCTTCCCATCATGTGGTATTACACTTGTTGGAAGTTGAATTTTAAAAAGCTTGGCTGGGCGCGGTGGTTCACGCTTGTAATCCCAGTACTTTGGGAGGCCGAAGTGGGCGGCTCATGAGGTCAGGAGATCGAGACCATCCTGGCTAACACGGTGAAACCCCGTCTCTACTAAAAAATACAAAACATTAGCTGGGCGTGGTGGTGGGTGCCTGTAGTCCCAGCTACTCGGGAGGCTGAGGCAGGAGAATGGTGAGAACCCGGGAGGTGGAGCTTGCAGTGAGCCAAGATAGCACCACTGCACTCCAGCCTAGGCGACAGAGTGAGACTCCGTCTCAAAAAAAAAGAAAAAAAAATTTAAAAAGCTTTTGTTCATGAGAAACCAGCGCATGCACATATATACACACTTTCTTTCAGGTGATCATCAGGGTCACTACTTAAGTTATTAATGTGGGGGAAAGGTTTTTCACCTAAAATGACTGACCACTGCTATATTGACCCTTGGTCCTTATGAAATGATCTGTTCTCCCTCCTTTTCCAGTACTTGGACTACTTCCTTCTGGGAGACAGTGGGATTTTCCCAACAAGACTACAGAGCAAGCCAGAAATAGAGATTAAAAACTAGGCACATTCCAGCAAGGCAGGGATGGCCAACACTCTACCCGAGCCATGCACAGTCTGTGCCCTGCATGGACATATTGGGGGCATATCAACAGCAGGTTGCCCTGCAAGGGCCTCCTCCCCAGCTGCCAAGATGTCTAATCACAGGTGCAGAGGGAGGGAGTCAGTGCTGAAATCTGAGGAAGCCAGGAGAAGCAGGAAAGACATGCACTACCTTTTCTTCCATCTTTCATCTGGGGCTGGAGTGGTGGCCCCTGGAATGGAGGCAGTGGCTGCACAGATGGGGGGAAACCAGGGACTAGGTCACTCAAGGACACAAGACAGAAGCCAGTCCCTAAAGATGGCCTGCGAAAACGCAGCAGCACCCTAGGACACAGAGTGAGAAACCTGTTTCATACATCACCTTGTCTATTATTGTCTTGAAGAGCAGATTCCTATTTAGCTCTTCACATATGAACAGTTTTACTTCAGTTTAAATCCCCTTCTTGTGATCAAATGACACAGCTAGTTAGTTCCTGGGTTACTCTTTCTTAGCGTCTAGCACAGCAGCTTGCGCATTATAAATGCCACGTATATTTAGTCTACTTAATTTAGGGACATCATTCCAAAAACATGCTGAGCCAGACTGAGGGGATAAGAGCTCCGTGATTGGGCCAATCCCATTGTCATCATTTCATCATGCCTCTTGGGAGAAAGTGGGAATTTACTTATAATTCATAAGATACTCAGAAAGGAATGCTATATACACTCAGATTTCAAAAAGTTGAGACAAGAATAAATTATGGACGTGGTGGTTAAAATTACATTCTGACTCTGCAATTACAAATGGTCTGGTAATGGAGCAGAATCATGTGGCACCAAAGTGAGCTCTTGGTGAATTCAGATTTTTGTTCAGTGTTTTTTTTTTTTTTTGTAAGTCTACATAATGGAAGAAAAGATAAGGATGGGTGAATACAAAAGAGTGGCATACACACAGCTAAGGAAAATGCCAGAGAATATAAAATAAACCCTTGTTCTATTTTTTTTCTATTTGTTTTAGTCATTTTTCAGTTTTTAGACCAAGAAAAAGAAAAAAGATGCGCCCACTGCTTGAGGCAGTGACAGAAGGCAAATAAGTCCAACTCTTTTTTTTTTTTTTGAGACGGAGTCTTGCTCTGTCACCCAGGCTGGAGTGCAGTGGTGCAATATCGGCTCACTGCAACCTCTGCCTCCGGGTTCATGCAATTCTCCTGCCTCAGCCTCCTGAGTAGCTGGGATTACAGGCACGCACCACCATGCCCAGCTAATTTTTTTGTATTTTCAGTAGAGACAGAGTTTCACCATGTTAGTCAGGCTGCTCTCGAACTCCTGACCTGATGATCCACCTGCCTTGGCCTCCCAAAGTGCTGGGATTACAGGCATGGCCTCCCAAAGTGCTGGGATTACAGGCATGAGCCACCGCACCCGGCCCAAATATGCCCAACTCTTAATTCTGCTTTGCTCTTCCATATCAAGAAGAAAGGTCTTGAACTTGAAAGCTAATAGACAAAAAGTTAACAGGAAAATGAAGTTCAAGACAAGTAAAGAGACACCTAAATGGTTCCTTTTATATAAGCTCAAGTATTCTGGTCTAAGTAAATTACATTTCAGGAATCTGACACAACTTAATGACATGACTGCAAATCAGGTGGGAATCTTTGAGAAACTAGGGAGAATGAGAGAGGACGGTGTCTTAGTCCCATTGTGTTGCTATAAAGGAATACCTGAAGCTGGGTAATTTATGAAGAAAAGAAATTGATTTGTCTCATGGTTATGCAGGCTATACAAGAAGCATGGTGTCTTCATGGCCATTCATGAGGGATCCAACCCATTATCCAAACACCTCCCACCCAGCTCCACCTCCAACATGGGAGATCAAATTTCTGCATAAGATTTGGAGGGGACAAATATCCAAATTGTATCAAATGCAGACAGGCATCTCGATTTTTTTAAAAATAAAAATAAGATAGATTCTGGAAACAACAGACTGGTAAACATGGTATTAACCCACAGCAGAAATCTAAAGTGGTTTATCAAATATTTTGTGAACATTTAGAAAAGAAAATGACCATGACCAAGCACCAACAACCCGCAGGGATTCAATAAAATAAGGCAGTCCAAGCTGATCCCAATTTGTCTTGAGCTCATTATTAGACAGATAGATCAAAGAAGTTCAGACATAGCATATCTTTTTTTTTTTTTTTTTTTTCTGGCTCTGTTGCCCCGGCTGGAGTGCAGTGGCATGATCTCAGCTCACTTCAACCTCCACCTCCTGGGTTCAAGCAATTCTCCAGCCTCAGCCTTCTGAGTAGCTGGGATCGCAGGCACGTGTCACCATGGCCGGCTAATTTTTGTATTTTTAGTAGAGTCAGGGTTTCACCATGTTGGCCAGGCTGGTGTCAAACTTCTGACTTCAGGTGATCCTCCTGCCTCAGCATCCCAAAGTGCTGGGATTACAGGCATGAGTCCCCACACCCAGCCTAAACATAGTATATCTTGATTTCTGCCACTGAAAATGTCTTTCATCATGTTCAGTGGATAAAGGTGAAAAAGGTGGGGCTACATTATTGCACAGTTCCACCCGTGCATAATTTGTATATAATTAAACCTAGAAGCTACTGACTGAGTGCCACAAGATTCTAGATTTGGTCCTAATCTCCTCGATATATTTATCAACAAGGATAAGACTTAAGAAGAAAGGGTTATGGCCGGGCGGGGTGGCTCACGCCTGTAATCCCAGCACTTTGGGAGGCCGAGACAGGCAGATCACAAGGTCAGGAGATCGAGACCATCCTGGCTAACATGGTGAAACCCCGCCTCTACTAAAAATACAAAAAATTAGCCGGGCGTGGTGGTGGGCACCTGTAGTCCCAGCTACTCGGGAAGCTGAGGCAGGAGAATGGTGTGAACCCAGGAGGCGGAGCTTGCAGTGAGCCGAGATCGTGCCATTGCACTCCAGCCTGGGGGACAAAGCGAGACTCCGTCTCAAAAAAAGGAAGGGTTACTAATTGTGCAGGTGACACTAAGCTAGGAAGGAGAGCGAATATACTGGATAAGGAATCATGAATCTCAAGTATCTCAGCATAAAGCAATGATGTGATGAAATTAAAGTAAAATCATTTTAAATCCTATACTGTAAACATCCTTAGATACAAATATAGGTAACAAGTCAAGTTATGCTAAAGTAATATACTCTTGAGACAGGCCAATCAGACTGATTGGAGAAAAAAAGATTTGCCTTGACAAAGGTCACAGGAACAGACTCAAAATTTATATTTCTGGTGAATCCCACCAGAGACTTCAGGTTATAGCTTCAGAAACCCATTTAAAGACAGTTTGCCATTTGCCTAAAGGCTTGATGAATGCTTGTGATTAATCTTAGGAAGCTTATCTGTCAAAAGAAGAATGAAATAATCAGGGGGAAAGGACTGAGAACCATAAAGGAAGGTGGAAAATTTCATATGAAAACAAGAACACCTGGGGCGTGGGTATTACGTGACAGTTCTTAAAAGAACCATTCTTTGAATGAGAAATCAGACAAGTCCACATATTCCAGGTTACTTTAGAGGAGAGGAGTAGGGCCCCTTTCCAGAGGTCACAGGGACTAAAACTCAGACACTGTTAAGACATTTCTTCTAATCCTTGCTGTCCCCAAATAGAAAGGACTGCTGTGTGAGGCAGTGAGGCAGTGAGCCAGTGCAAGGCAGGATGGCTGAGTCAGATGTTGTGTGTGGATTTGCAAACTTCAAGAAGTTTCTCTGCTATGCATTTTATTCCCTTTTATACAATGTCCATGATCTAATAAGGAAGGTGGCCGGGTGCGGTGGCTCACGCCTGTAATCCCAGCACTTTGGGAGGCCGAGGCGGGTGGATCACGAGGTCAGGAGATCGAGATCATTCTGGCTAACACGGTGAAACCCCGTCTCTACTAAAAATACAAAAAATTAGCCGGGCTTGGTGGCGGGTGCCTGTAGTCCCAGCTACTCGGGAGGCTGAGGCAGGAGAATGGCGTGAACCTGGGAGGCGGAGCTTGCAGTGAGCCGAGATTGTGCCACTGCACTCCAGCCTGCGCAACAGAGCGAGACTCCGTCTCAAAAAAAATAAAATAAAATAAAATAAAATAAAGGAAGGCAATATGATGTGGTGGTTAAAAGTCCAGTGTCATTCTACCCACACTTGAATCCCAGCTCTGCCCCTCACTCACCATGTGACCAGAGTGACCTTGAACAAATTAGCTAACTGCCCCGGACCGCAGTTTCTCCATCTGCAAAATAAGGATGATATAAGCATCTACCCAATGGGTGTTCTGTGAGGACTGAGTTAATGTGCAGGAAGCACAAGAACGGTATCTGGCACATAGGAAATACGCAAGTTAGCAATTTATTATGATAACTCTGCAATCTTTTCAGCCACTCTTGAAGGTTCCTGGTCATCCATTCTGGGCACAGTGTGACATTTACCTGAACAGAGAGGAGAATGGCACTAGAAGATGAGGGAGATTTGGTGCCTAAAAATTACTACAAACAGGCAGGGCGCAGTGGCTCACGCCTGTAATCCCAGCACTTTGGGAGGCCGAGGTGAGTGCATCACGAGGTCAGAAGTTTGAGATCTGCCTGGCCAACATGGTGAAACCCCATCTCTACTAAAAATACAAAACGTTAGCTGGGTGTGGTGGCAGGCACCTGTAATCCCAGCTACTCGGGAGGCTGAGGCAGGAGAATTGCTTGAACTCGGGAGGCGGAGCTTGCAGTGAGCCAAGATCACGCCACTGCACTCCAGCCTGGGCAACAGTGCGAGACTCCGTCTCAAAAAAAAAAAAAAAAAGAATTACTGCAAACACATAGAGAACAGCACCATATGGAGCAAAAGAGAGCAGCTGGAGAATGTTTTCATTCAGAGACCCCATAGGATTTCAAAAGCCAGCTACCATCAGCAGTTATTTTTGCCCCCAAATCACCCTAAAATGCAAATCCCATCACTGTAGCTGGCAAAGGTCTGGGATATGGCTCCTGGAGTCTAGGGAGCAGTCCCCACCAAGGACGGTGCTGGCTTCTCGGGTTCCTCTCCCAGATCTACAATCCGGATGGCGTTTTCCTTCTTGGAAAGCCAGAAGGCAGCATAGACTGGTTCTGAAAACTTGCAGGCAAACTTGTGAACCAGAGTCATGGAATCATACTCTACGCCATAGAAGGAAAGGATCCCTCCTGGGAAGTCAATATAGACCCCGAGCCTCCAGAAAGGGCCAGCTTTGAGTGGGGTCTCCATGTCACTGTACCAGGCCGTGAACTCCTTCCCGTTCCATTGGAGGCTCCAGGAGAAGTTGTTTCCGGAAATGCAACTGCTGCGCTCCTCCCCTTTCTGGTCGATGCCTTTGCAGGTCAGGCCAACATAGGTGCCTGCCCCGAAGATCTCCACCTCAAAATAGTACCTGTGCAGGTACAGACTCTGCTGGGACAGCACCTGCCGCCAGTGCAGGAACCTGCTGGGGAGGTCCGGGTAGGGATGCTCCCAGGGCGTGGTGTTGGTGACCTTGCGGTTCTCCTCCTGCAGCCGGAGATACTTGTGTGCTGTGTCCGGGTCGAACGTGATGTCATGCACATCTGAGGAGACACAGAAGGCAGGAGAGTGGTTCAGGAACTGACAGCTGATTCAGACAGAATGCTTTAAACCCAGCTGGGCTCCAAAGCACATATGAGAAAACATCCATTTCTCTGTTCTCTATTTACCCAGGCTGCTGTTTCCCTAGGAAATGAGGTGAGTGAAGACCAGAAAACAGAGAGCACAAATCATCTACTCCCTTCCCTTATGAAGCTCAAATTGCTTGACATTGATGATGTTATTTGATGAACCGAATCAAGAAATATATTAATTTACTCATTCATGCATTCATTCATTCATTCAACAAACACGTATTGAATGCCTGGCATTATCCTATCCAGTGTTGGCAAGTGTTTGGGGAAGCAGGTACTCCTATACCCACATTTGATCCATTCATTCATTTTTTTTTTTTTTTTTTGAGACGGAGTCTCGCTCTGTTGCCCAGGCCGGACTGCGGACTGCAGTGGCGCAATCTCGGCTCACTGCAAGCTCCGCTTCCCGGGTTCACGCCATTCTCCTGCCTCAGCCTCCCGAGTAGCTGGGACTACAGGCGCCCGCCACCGCGCCCGGCTAATTTTTTGTATTTTTAGTAGAGACGGGGTTTCACCTTGTTAGCCAGGATGGTCTCGATCTCCTGACCTCATGATCCACCCGCCTCGGCCTCCCAAAGTGCTGGGATTACAGGCGTGAGCCACCGCGCCCGGCCCATTCATTCATTTTTTAAAATATTTAACCAACATCTTAAAAATGAATGAATGGATCAAATGGAGCATGAAGAATTCTCAAACACGCCCTCATATTCTCCTCCCACTCCCAAAGAATAATAGGGTCTCATGCACCCCATTGCTCAAGTCAAGCTCTATGTCATTTCTGACATTTGTTTTGCCCTCATCCTCTTCCCCTATCCTCACTACACACACAGGAAGCAGTAACTCCTACGGATTCTACCACTTCTCTCCAGCCCCCTGCTTTACCCCCGACCTAAGCCACCACTCATCTCACTCAGACTAGTTCAGCGGGTTTCTGACTGGTCGTTAGCTGTTCTCTCTTGCCCCCTTCAAGACCTTCTCCACAACAGAGCCATGCTGCTTGTTTCCAGCTGTAGGCTGAGGCCAGTCGTGTTATTCTAGCTTAATAATTCTAGTTATTCATGGTGCCCCTTGCTCTTATGATAAAGCAGCAACCCCTTGCCCTGGCCTACCAGGCCCCACGTCCCTGGTCCTTTCCTGTGTCTCTGACTCTCTCCCTTGATTACTACATTTCCACCGTGCTGACCTCAGACCTACTCAACACTCAATCCTCTTTGAGCCTTTGGTACAGCCTGTTCCCTCTGAGATGTGATCATGCCCTACTCTGAGTCTGGTGATTCCTACCAATCCATTCAGGCTACAACTGAGAGTTCATGTCCTCGAAGAGGCCCTTTGTGACTCTAACTCACTCTCTCTCAGAGCACCATGGCGTTTTAAACTTGGCACCCCTCTCCATTTGTAATAATAGATATTCATGTGAGTGTTTGTTTCCTGCTTGTCCTCCCTCTAATCTATGAGCTTCACATTTTGCATGGGATTCTTCTCTAGCTCAGAGAAGATGCTCAGTATATACTTGCCAAATGAATTAGCATATTAAAGGCTATTAAAACAATCCCATAATTAAAAAAGTTCTCACTGGTGCAGCGGCTTATGCCAACACTTTGGGAAGCTGAGATGGAAGAATCACTTGAGGCCAATAGTTTGAGACCAGCCTGGGCAACACAGCAAGGCTCCATCTCTACAATTGTTTAAAAATTTTTTTTTTAATTAGCCAGATGTGGTGGCATGCGCCTGTGGTCCCAGCTACTCAGGAGACTGAGGGAGGAGGACTGCTTGAGTGTGGGAGGTCAAGCCTGCAGTGAGCCATGATCAAGCCACTGTACCCCAGTCTGGGCAACAGAGACCCTGTCTCAAAAAATATACATACATACATATATATATGTCTACATGTATATATATGTAAACATACAAAATATGTGTTTAGTGACTGTTTATGTCAATTAACAGAAGGCTATTACTAGTTAAGTTCTTGAGGAATCAAAAGCTACACGTGGATGTTCAACCATATGAGGGATTGGTATCCCAACCCCTACATTGTTCAAGGGTCAACTGTGCAGTGTTTTAAAAATGCTAATGGACCAAGTCAATAACACTTAATGATAGGTCAATGAGTTATGCAATTCTGGCCAAGTCATACATAGAAATGAATCACTTGGTAACTAGCCAGGACTCTTCAAAGTGCTATGGTCATGAAACACAAGGATTGAAAGACTGATCCAGACTGAAGGGGACTAAGAAGACATGGAAACATCTGTGACCTTGGATTGGACTTTGGGCCAGAAAAAAAGGGCATTGATGAAAGACTTGGTGAAAGCTGAATAAATTCTGTAGATTAGTTGATAGCATTGTAGCAATGTTATTCCCTGGTTTTGATCAATGTATGGTAGTTATGTAACGTGTTAACATTAGGAGAAACTGAGTGAAAGATATATGGGAATTCTTTGTCTTATTTCCGTAATATTTTTGTAAGTTTCATATTATTTCAAAATGAAAAGTTAAAAAAATTGTTTAAATTAAATTTTAAGAAATGTATCATTTAGGGATAGACATGAAGTTGCAAGAACCTGAAACCTAGATGAGAGATGGCGGTTCTGACTTAGCAAAGCACTGCACTGATATCAACAACTGGAGAAGGGGGTGCCGTTCACAACTTACATTGGAGGAACTGTTCCCTGGTGCTGGGCTCAGGTTTGGAAGTCCAATATTTGCGCTGAACAATGGCAGACACTTGAGTTCTGATGTCATACTCCTCTAGAAAATCAAGAGAGTTGTGAATGCACACCTGTCCAGGTGGTCAGGAGAATCTGCAAATCAGGACTTCCCAGCCACCCTTCCCTGGGCTTCCTGGGGAAAGAAGGGGCTGAAGCCTGGTAATGTTTCACAGAAATACGCTCAATAGACTACATTTCTTTCATAGGTAAGGCATAAACCACTGAAAAAGTGATCCAGACCGTCTTGGATTTAACTTAAAAGTATAGGCATCAGCAACCTGGGAAGCTACTCACAGAAATGCCAGCCGATGGCATAATATAAGCATGACTAAGTGTCCTTCTCTGGGTCTCAATTGTAAAAGAAAATCATCAAGATGAGAGTCCATTAGTAACATACCCTGTCTGAAGCATGGCTTTGAAAATGAGACATTTGGCTGGGCACGGTGGCTCACACCTGTAATCCCAGCACTTTGGGAGGCCGAGGTGGGCGGATCATTTGAGGTCAGGAGTTCGAGACCAGCCTGACCAACATGGTGAAACCCCGTCTCTACTAAAAATACAAAAATTAGCCAGGTGCCTGTAATCTCAGCTACTAGGGAGGCTGAGGAAGAAGAATCTCTTGAACCCGGGAGGCAGAGGTTGCAGTGAGCTGAGATTGCGCCATTGCACTCCAGCCTGGGTGACAGAGCAAGACTCTGTCTCACAAAAAAAAGAAAAAAAAGAAAAAAAGAAAATGAGACATTCCCCTGATTTCATCCTCCCTTCCCTGACTCTCTCTCACCTTCCTATCATCTACTGCTAGAGACACACTCACTATAGTCCATGGCCCAGAATGTGTCTCACCTTCCTTGGAAAACTCCTGGAGCTTTTTCTTATAGTTCTCCAGCAACTGGATTAAGTGTACAGTGGATTCCGTGATAACTTTGCGGATGCCCGAGAGTTTATCCTTCAGCCCTATGTAAACACTAGGGAAGGTGATGTCTTCAGTGTTCTTAAACTTGCAGTACTCCTGCAGAAAAGGAAACAGCAGAACTTGCTGTGGTTTCTGTATTTCTAAACTCGGGCTTCTCTCCTCATTAAGTCACTTTTTGCATCTGTAAAATGGGCTGACGGTAATGTGTCCTTCACAAAGAAAGTACATGTAAAGTGTCAAGCTCAGGGTCTAACAAAATAGATAGCACTTCTCTAGCTGCTAGACCCTCAGAATAAGTGGGATTTTAAAAAAAAGAAGTGAGAACGTGGGATTTTAAAAATCAAGATGTACTAGATGGCCATGAACAGCTCCAATACACAGTCCAGACTGGGGACCAAAAAATAAAGAACATTCTTGCTTTGTTCATGCCGTCAGTACTTGTTTTTTGACAATTTAAACACAAGCCATGGTGGAAAATGGAGGAGCTCTCAGGCAGGAGTGCTGCCTCTTCCTTGTCAGTTTCATCCAATGCATAAATTTCTGTAATTCTTGTACCTTGCTTTAGTATTTGGAAAGTGTTTTCACACTGATAATCACATAGTTTCATGTAAGTTTTGAAACAACGTGTGATCAGGAAAGATGCTTTCAGATATAACACAGTATCAAACTTCAGCTGCAACTGAAGCATTAAAGAGCAGAACAGGTACAGCAGAAAACATAGCAATGAAAACAGTTGTATGAAAATGATTAGATAGAGCCATGGAAATCAAAACCAGAGAATTGATAGAGAAAAGGGTAATTCAACATTTTAATGCTATATACTGTACAAGACAAAAGTAGCATTTTAAATCAGTGGGAGAAAGGATAAGTTATTTGGATAAGTTATTCAATAAATCTTGTTTTGAATGCCTAACCAAAAATTTGGGGGGAAATGTTATCTTTTGCCAAAATAAATAAATATCTTTTTTTTTTTTTTTTTTTTGAGACATAGTCTTGCTTTGTCACCCAGGCTGGAGTGCAATGGCGCGATCTTGGCTCACTGCAACCTCTTGCCTGCTAGGTTCAAGCGATTCTCCTGCCTCAGCCTCCCAAGTGGCTGGGACTACAGGTGTGCGCCACCATGCCTGGCAAATTTTTTTTATTTTTAGTAGAGACAGGGTTTCACCATGTTGGTCAGGCTGGTCTCAAACTCCTGACCTCATGATCTGCCGGCCATGGCCTCCCAAAGTGCTGGGATTACAGGTGTGAGCCACCGTGCCCAGCCAATAAATAGTTATCATACACTAGAATTTATTTTATATGTATTAAAGTCTTTTATGTTAAAAATAAACTTACAGGCTGGGTGCAGTGGCTCATGCCTGCAATCCCAGCACTTTGGGGGGCCGAGGTGGGTGGATCACAAGGTCAGGAGTTCGAGACCAGCCTGGCCAAGACGGTGAAACCCCATCTCTACTAAAAATAAAAAAAATTTGGCCAGGCGCGGTGGCTCACGCCTGTAATCCCAGCACTTTGTGGGGCCGAGGCGGGTGGATCACGAGGTCAGGAGATCGAGACCATTCTGGCTAACACGGTGAAACCCCGTCTCTACTAAAAATACAAAAAATTAGCCGGGCGTGGTGGCGGGCGCCTGTAGTCCCAGCTACTCGGGACGCTGAGGCGGGAGAATGGCATGAACCCAGGAGGCGGAGCTTGCAGTGAGCCGAGATCGTGCCATTGCACTCCGGCCTTGGGGGGAAAGAGCAAGACTCCGTCTCGAAAAAACAAAAAAAATTGGCCGGGCGTGGTGGCTCACGCCTGTAATCCCAACACTTTGGGAGGCCGAGGCGGGCAGATCACCTAAGGTTGGGAGTTCAAGACCATCCTGACCAACACGGAGAAACCCCGTCTCTACTAAAAATACAAAAAATTAGCTGGGCATGGTGGCCCATGCTTGTAATCCCAGCTGCTCAGGAGGCTGAGGCAGGAGAATCGCTTGAACCCGGGAGGTGGAGCTTGCAGTGAGCAGAGATCGTGCCATTGCACTCCAGCCTGGGCAACAAGAGTGAAACTCAGTCTCAAAAAAAAAAAAAAAAACAAATAAAAATAAAAATTAGCCAGGTGTGGTGGCGGGCGCCTGTAATCCCAGCTACTTGGGAGGCTGAGGCAGAGAATTGCTTGAATCTGGGAGGCGGAGGTTGCAGTGAGCCGAGATCGTGCCACTGCACTCCAGCCTGGGTGACAGAGCAAGACTCCATCTCAAAAAACAACACACACACACACACAAATAAATAAAGTTACAAAACGAGAAAAGAGAAATAATTTATATACTCTTTGGGTAGATCTTAAGGGAAACTTGTGAGGCGGGAAGCCAAATGGTTATTAAATGGTTATTCATATTTTCTTTGTGTTTTGATATTGAAAAGCAAAGAAACTGACAAACGCTTTGTTGGTGTTTTTGTCTGTCTTTCTCTTTTACTCATTCAAAAGTTAACTATGTTGTACTTGTGTAAGGATTATGGATTTTTTTTCTTCTTTTTTTGTACTTTCCAAGTTTTTCACAATAAACATTTGTTTTTTGTAACTAGCAGAGAATTTTTTCAAAAATGCAAGCAAGAAAAAATTGTATTTCAGAATATCAGAGCTTGGATGGAGCCTTCTGAATTATTTACTCCAGTGGGCTTGTTGATAAATGAGAAATTTGAGACTCAGGGATGTGAAGAGCTGTTAACAGAGCTGTTTTCTGACAGATTCAGGATGTTGCAGCTTACCCCCAACCTAGTGTTCCTTCCTCGAAAGGTTACATGTTCTTTAGATCTCGTTCCAATGGCTTACGGTTTGATGTCTAATGATACATTGTAATGAAAAGCATTTGCTCTTCTGAGCCCTCCTCAATTACTCCAGCCACAGCCCTCTCTGAAAAGCAGCAGGCTCCAGTCTCATCCCTACCAAGCAAACCTCCATGCAGTGGACTGCTGGAGCGGTTTATAAAACATACTCACTGACTCCATCATTCTCCCATCTGAAACCCTTCCCAGCCATACACCTGCCTGGCCGTGCCAGTCTCATCACTCTGCACCCAGTACCCCAGGCTCCACCCCTATTAAAGTACCTTGGCTCCCCAAATCAGCTGTGCTTCCTCAAACCTCTCTGCCTTTGCATATGTTGTTCCCTCTACCTGGAACATACTGCACGTTGAACCTGACTCATCTTCCGGGACCTGCTTCAAGCTTCCCTGCTCTGAGCAGTTCTCCCTCCCTACCCCTCCTATACTCTGCTGAATGAAGAATCTGCTTCTCTCTGTTCCCACTGCTCCCTGTGCACACCATTTAACAAAAAACAGTTCCATTCACAGATGGCCATGGGCCTAGCAAAGAGAGGGTGCTTCATGGGGCAGCTGTGGGATGCTTCTGCCCCCACAACCCCCATACCTCCAAGAACTGGACAGTGTTGCTGATGGCCGCCATCGTCTCCAGCTCCTGCTTACTCTTCTCCATCTCGGCACTCCTGTACTCCAGGTGGGCCTTGATACCGTTGGCCTGGCTCAGCGCAGCTTGCTCCTTCTCCTCTAAGAAGAGCATCACATTGGCCTGGGCCTTCCTCACAGCAGCAAGGAGTTCCCCAAACTGCATTTCAGCCACTGCTTTGACCTCTGACACCGACACCTGGCGGGGGGTGGGGGTGGAAGGCAGCCAAACATTTCTTAGTGAGGCATCCAACTTGATAGAAGCTCAACATACAGAAATGTCAGAAACACATATATTAGGGAGCAGTTCCCTATTGTAAAAGGAATCCTTTATTCTCATGTGAATTCCAGGTTCCTGGAAAAAGGATTTACGTATTAACTTGGTCTCCTCATCCATTTGATGAGACAGTGAATTCCTCTATGACCTCCGAGATCCCTCACAACTCTGACACTCTGGGATTGTTAGTCAAGTTTCCGAAACTGATTTTCCTACCAGAGCAATGCGTGTATTCAGTCTACTTGATAGTCATATTTCAAGAGGTAAAGAATTTGGCTTTTTTTTTTTTTTGTATAATCAGCATGAATTAGCTTTCTTAGCATTTCATTATGCCCGGTTAAACTGACCACTGAGTCCATCAGAGCCAAATGCATGTCTAAGATGATACTGTCTCTACCACATACAGAATCCCCATAAAATGTTTAGGGTGCAGATGACCATGGCACCCAAGCAATTCCAGGACAAGCATGTATATGCAGAACAGAATGTGACATTCAAATAAAATATAAAAGAAAACCCATGTGAGAAACATTAAGGTTTTGAATGATGGGGGACATGCATGTGGACTCTTTTGCATGGTAAGCATCCTCTATGAATGCCTTCAATCAATATCATGTTTACAACATCTTTCCAAGCTCTGAAGGTTTCCTCTTCTCTGGTATTCTTAAGAATTGGTGTAGACAGCTGGGCGTGGTGGCTCATGCCTGTAATCTCAGCACTTTGGGAGGCTGAGGTGGGCAGATCATGAGGTCAGGAGATCGAGACCATCCTGCCTAACATGGTGAAACCCTGTCTCTACTAAAAATAGAAAAATTAGCCGGGTGTGGTGGCGGGCGCCTGTAGTCCCAGCTACTCGGGAGGCTGAGGCGGGAGAATGGCATGAACCTAGGAGGCAGAGCTTGCAGTGAGCTGAGATTGCGCCACTGCACTCCAGCCCTATCCCATCTGAGACTTTCTGAGCACCCCTCCAGGTGCTGTTTTCTCTTTCTCCTCCCAATGTTAAGGGCAAGCTCTGAACATCAGGGCTCCAAAGTGAGTCAAACAGCAGATATCCTTGGGCAGAGGCTTCAGGGGCACCTCCCATCCCTGGCAAGGAAGGAGAGAGGGAGAGAGGGAGGGAGAATGAGACCCAGATCAAAAAGGGGAGCACAGTAAGGAAAGGACTCAGAAAGGATGGGATTCTGGGCCCAGGCTTAGTGGGAACCTAGAGGTTTGGAGGGAGATGGGAAGAAAAAATGATGACACCAGATAGGTCTTCTGCCTGGCTCAGGCCCTGGCTTAGGCCAGGGCTCAGCAATTCACTCCACGAGAATGGTCTCTGATCAGTCTTCAATCTGGTGGCAAAGGGAAGAATAAGCAGGGGAAAGAAAGCAAGGGGTATCCCTACTGGAGGGGGATGGTGGGAAGACACAGACAATCCCCCTACATTCTCTCTCTCTCTTTTTTTTTTTTTTTTTTTTTTTTTGAGACAAGGTCTCCTCTGTTGCCAGGTTGGAGTGACACAATCTTGGCTCACTGCAGCTTTGACATCCCAGGCTCAAACGATCTTCCACCTCAGCCTCCGAAGTAGCAGAAACCACAGGTGCATGCCTTCATGCCCAACTAATTTTTATATTTTTTGTAGAGATAGGAGCTTACTACGTTGCCCAGGCTGGTCTCAAACTCCTGGCCTCAAGCAATCTGCCGTCCTTGGCCTCCCAAAGTGCTGGGATTACAGGTGTTATTACAGGTGGGATTACGTCCAGCCTACATTCTCATTTTTATGCCAACTTTTCCATCGCCTGTTGGCTTCCTTGAGGTTAGGTAGCTGGACAGAGCTGGGAGCAAAGAAGCTGTGGTAATAGGATTAAGGAAGAGCGGGGATGGTAGACTTTATCCAAATTCTTCCAGCCCACACCAAGAAAAGCTTTTAGACAGGTGACGGTGTTGAGAAGCCAGGGCAGCAGGAGAGGCGATTTGGGAAACCTGAGGCTATCTGGTTTTGTGGCTCCCTCCGGAGCCCTTTTGTTCAGGGCTGGCCCTCACCCTTGGGAGGAGGAATAGTAGCACCTTAACCAGCTGCTCAGAAAGACTGCAGGTGGCGACAATAGTAGAGAAGGAGGCAGGCAGAGAATGGGCTCTGGACTGTGGATGGGAGGCTCAGAGCACTGTCTGAAATGAAGACCTGAGAACCAGGAAAGCTACCTGGGCCCCACCCAGGCCCCCCAAGTGGCAAACCTGCTGCCTGGGGCTCTGCCAGGTATTGGCTCTGCAGCCCTCTGACACTTCACCTCTCTCCCTCTTCCCACTCTCCTGAGAATGAGGACTCTCTGCTGCTAGCCTGGTCACTCTTCTAATTATATAACAATAATCATAAAAACAACCAACATGTAGTAAGTTCTTACTATGTGCCAGGCACTTTTCTCCTAGCAACCCTAAAAGGTAGGTACTATTAGGGTCTCCATTTCTTAGATAAGGAAACTGAGACAGTGATAAATGGACTGATTTGCCCAAGATCACACAGCAAGGTTTGAACCAAGACTGTCTGTCTCTGGAGTCCAGCCCTTTGACCACCACTCCACACTGCCTCAAAATAGGGCCCAGGGTTGGGGATCCATGTGCCTGCAGTATAGCACTGAGCTGGCACAGCCTGACCTCTCCCTCTGGGCCCTGGCACATTCACTAGGATGAGCTGGGGAGGTACAATGGGAGTTCAGCTGAGCTTTCAGCCCATGGGCTGTGGCTGTGTGGGGGTTGCAGGGAAGGACCTTTAAGTTCAGCCCATTAAACAGAAGCCCTCCTAAGACCAGACGAGAGACAGGGCTTAGCCCCTTGTTCACTGTGGGCACCAGTTAGGGTAACATCCTATGCCCATAATGGACTATAAATACACAGGCTGCTGCTGAGCAGGCGACCAAGAGGGAAAGAGGCCAAGACTCCCAGCAATTCCTGAACCAACTGTTTACAGGTGTTGCCTCCTTGACATTGCAAACACTGTAAATTCTGATATATTAATCATTACTAGATTTAAATCTAAAAGTCAAATTACATTTCCATATGGCAAAGAAGTAATGATGAAGAAATCTACCTCAGAAGACAGGAGAGTTTTGCTTATAACCATTTGGGAGCGGGGGCAAATGGTGGTGGTGGTGTTTGATCCAGGCTCTGCATTAGCTAACGTGTCCTAGTTCCCCGGCTTACTCACCCTTCATGCCCACTCAGGCTCCAGGTAGCCAGGCTCTAGGAGTCACAGAGGCCACAGAGTGCTCCCTGCCTGCAGTGCCCGCTCCCGATGACCTCCAGAAAGCAGGAGCAGGACACAGCATGGGAACCAGCATGAGGGTGTTGTGGGAAAGGAGCAGAATCCTGTCTACAATTATGACCTGTAAGTTCCTCATAGAAGCACGATAGCATGAGGCTAAGAGGCATGAGACTAAAGACAAACTCCGGATCCAAATCCTCACCCCCGGCCCCAACTGAGGCCATCCTGAGAAAGGATAGTGGAAGGGAGGTGTCAGATGATATTGGTGGATTGAGGTTGACTTCTGCTGTGGCCTGGCCCTCATTCCTAAACCCTCCCATTGAGAAACACTTCTTTCTTGCATGTAAATGTAATGTGCAAAGGGCATTACTTACCACGAAAATGATGACAAGCAGAAATAGTACAGAGAGGAGAGGCCTCAATACATTCAAGGAGCCTGCAGGTAATGGTTTAAAGATTTGAGGGTGGTGTACATGCCTATCAATATACTGAGTCATTCTTAGGTCAAGGGAGCAACAACTCTAGGTTCTCACATTCCACCAATCTAGATGGCCCTAGACAAGTATTGTCATCTCTCCATGTCTTCATGCCCCTTGTGCATGGTAGCTATTGTAATAACCAACTCCCCTGGTCATCATGTACTTATGAGAACTGAGGAGGGATCAAAGTGTCTGAAAATTAAAGAGCTGGGAAACACAAGACCCTCCATGTGGTTCTACAGGTTATCTTGAGCCTGGAAATCCATTATCTCTGAAGGTTTATAAGACTTTAAAGGGATAATTCTCTTTCTTCCTTTAATAAGATATTGTGGGTAAGAAAGAGGTGTTTCATCCTTCAGTAGCTAGTTGGTTGTAAACACCCAGGAGGTGAAAATTAAGTTGAAATGAATACATGCATTAGGGGTAGATGAATGGATGGATGGATGATGGATGGAATCATTTATTCTCAGGATATAAAGATGACAATGCTGATTCACTTCCATAGGGTAGGTGTTTTGCATTCTCTCTTTTTTTGAAACAGAGTCTTACTCTGTTACCCAGGGTGGAGTACAATGGTGCAAACTCAGCTCACTGCAGCCTCCACCTCCTGAGTTCAAGCAATTCTCCTGCCTCAGCCTCCTGAGTAACTGGGACTACAGGTGTGCACCACCATGCCTGGCTAATTTTTGTATTTTTTAGTAGAGTCGGGGTTTCACCGTGTTGGCCAGACTGGTCTCAAACTCCTGACCTCAAGTGATCCACCCACTTCAGCCTCTCAAAGTGTTGGGATTACAGGTGTGAGCCACTGTGCCCGGCCTGTTTTGCATTCTCTTCTGAGTGGTGGTTACTGGCTTGCCACTGACGAGAGGCATTTGTAGAACTCCTCAGAATCCACTTGGAGACCATTTACTGCCTACTTAGCCTGGCACACCATGGCCTTCTCAAATACCATCACTAATCCTGAGTTCTCAACTCCTTTTTTCCAGCTGCCAGGTCATAGGACTGGTGAGACTCACATGCAGAACGCCCTCTTATAATGGAAGAAGCCAAGATTACGTATAGTTTTTGGACCTCTGACTAAACTCCCAGCCCCCCACACACATACACCCTGTCAAGACAGCATAAGCAAATGTAGAAATAAGAATGTTGTTATTACAGGATTAGTCTTGGTTCTAATTTATATTATTAAAAAGCAAATCACTTGCCAGGTTTAAAACTTAAACTAATTTCATAACAAATCCTGACATCAAGGTGAGGCTACCCCACGGTGTAGTCAACTGTACCTACAATTCTCATTTGTGGAGAAACCCCAAGGAACCTACAGGAATGGAGGCTAGGCATGCAGTACCACGTCCCACACCCTCACAGGCCTGGCTGACCCAGGCTGGTCTTACCAGAACAGACTTTTGGTTAGCCTGGAGCCTGGAGATGGCATTTTCATTCAACTTGAGTTTCCGCTCCAAGTCTAACTGGGTGCACTGGAGTTCAGCCTAAAAGTGGAAAGCAGAGAATTAAGGAGGAAGGAGCCCAATGCACACAGAAGGACACGGGCACTCTCCAGCCCTGACATCCCCGCCCTTCTTCCCTGGAAAGAAGTTTAACTTCTGTGGCTGATCTCAGAAACCAGCCGGGAGGCACGAAGGGTTGGCGGTGAGCCCGTGCCCTCCTGGGGCTGCAGTCAGCATGAGTCAGCGAAAATACAGTGAGCACGGATGCCGTGCTGCTCACCATTTCAAGCATTTTGTGGATTACCCCACACCATCCTTGCCATACCCATACTAGCTGTAAACCAGAAATAAAATCCTAAGCCCCCCAACAATCTGAATGGATCCCTCCTCTCAGCAAAGGGCATTCCAAAGTTAACCTGAAAAACCAGTTCAGGCCATGATGGGAAGGGAGGTCAGACATGGCTCATTATAACTTCCTCCCTTTTGGAATTACTGATACAGCAGACTCTTTCAGTCTGATTAGAAACATTTACAATCTGTTCTCTCCAAAACCTCCTCCCTGGAGGCTTTACCCACATGATAAAACCTTGGTTTCCACCACCTCTTATCTTAACCCAGACATTCCTAAGTCTTTAGACAATAACTTGACTCTTTCAACCAACTGCCAATCAGAAAATCTTTGAATCTACCTATGACCTGGAAGCCCTGGTTTCCAGTTGTCCCACCTTTCCAGACCAAACCAAATTACATCTTACATGTATTTGATTGATGTCTCATGTCTCCCTAAAATGTATACTAGGCTGTACCCCAACCACCTTGGGCACATGTTCTCAGGGTCTCCTGAGAGCTGTGTCACAGACCATTGGTCACTCATATTTGGCTCAGGATGAATATCTTCAAATATGTTACAGAGTTTGACTCCTTTTGTCAACATAGGTAAACATGATTATTATTTCAAATGTACAGGTGATAAAATCATGCTTCCAAGTTCATCAATGGAGTTGAGCCTAGGCTGACCCCACAAGAGCCAAACAGGGAGTGTAGGGTTGGAGCCAGATGGCCAAGTGGGAAGTCTACATTTTTTTTACTTAGCAGTTGAGACTTTGGCCAAATTTACTTATGAATAGGAAAAACAAACTTTCTTTGTCTTATAGTCACACAACACAGAACACTTTCATAACTAAAACGTGTGGGTTTTTTTCCACATGAAGCCATTCTCCAACAACAGCTGGGTGTCCTAAGATGTAACTCAATTCTGACACTCCCTACTTGGAGATGGAAGAGATGCACGGGGCAAGGGATGTGGGAGGGAAGTGACACCTCTCTTCCCTCTCCAGTGCAGGGTGCACACCCTCCACGGACTTCCACCCCTTCAGCAATCCAGAAGCTCCCGGAAGCCCAGCCTTTTGGGTTTGTGTCTTTGTTTATTTTGAGATGGAGTCTCGCTCTGTCTCCCAGGCTGGAGTGCAGTGGCGCGATCTCGACTCACTGCAACCTCTGTCTCCTGGGTTCAAGCAATTCTCCTGCTTCAGCCTCCCGAGGAGCTGGGACTACAGGTATGTGCCACCACACCTGGCTAATTTTTTTGTATTTTTAGTAGAGACAGGGTTTTACCATGTTGGTCAGGCTGGTCTTGAACTCCTGACCTCAAATGATCTGCCTCCACCTCGGCCTCCCAAAATGCTGGGATTATAGGTGTGAATCACCGCGCCTGATGCCTTTTGGGTTTATGTGGAGGCTTCATGATGTAGGCATGATTGATTACATCACTGGCCATTGGTGATCCTCTCAACCTTCAGCCTCACTTCCCTCCCTGGAGGAGATCAGGGAGATGGGGCTGAAAGTCAAACCCTTTCATCATAGGGTTGGCTCCTTTGGCAACTAGCCCCCATCCTGAGGCTCTCGGGACCCCCCTCAGCCACCCAGTCATCTCACTGGCATTCAGACACTTACCACTTCAGAGAGTCTGGGGGTTCTAAGAGCTGTCGGGTGCCAGGAAATGGGGGCAGAGACCAAATCTAAGTTTTTGTTGTTGTTGTTGTTCTTCTTCTTTGTTTGTTTTTTGAGATGGAGTCTCACACTGTCGTCCAGGCTGGAGTGCAATGGTGCAATCTTGGCTCACTACAACCTCCACCTCCCGGGTTCATGCGATTCTCCTGCCTCAGCCTCCTGAGTAGCTGGGATTACAGATACACACCGCCACACCCGGTTAATTTTTGTATTTTTAGTAGAGACAGGGTTTCACTATGTTGGCCAGACTGGTCTCGAACTCCTGACCTTGTGATCCGCCTGCCTTGGCCTCCCAAACTGTTGGGATTACAGGCGTGAGCCACGGTGCCTGGCCTGTTTCTTATTTCACAACTTAATATCTCTAAACTTCCATTTCTTCACCTGTGAGATGGGGCTCAGTAAAGTGTTTGCTTCATAGGATTAGGAAAGAATGGACTAATGAGATAACGTATGTCAATAAGAACTTTGTATAGTACCAGGGACATTATTAATGAGCTCCATAAATGTCAGTGGGTGCCAGCATCGTCATCATCATCATTATTACTCCTGCTACCATGGCTGCTTTCCATTCATGTTCTGTATTCGAAGGCAGAGCCAGCCCTCCTAGCCCAGGCAAGTGCCTGCCCAAAAACCTCAGGTTTGCCTGCTTTGGCCCCAGCTTCAATCTTGCCTCCTGGGATGCACTAAACACCTTCCGCCAAGAGGTGTGCCAAGGCGCACTTAAACCTTTGCAAACCTCAAAGACCCTGTCACTTTCCTACTTCCAAAAGGGCAATATACAAAAAGAAAAAGAAAAAAAAAGAATCGCTTTCACTGCTTTTAATAGCTTCTGTCTGCATTTAAAGCTGCGAGTCATTATGCCCTAATAGAACTCAGAGGGCATAAACTGTCTCTCCATTCTCCACTGAAGACTGGGGGAATTCCAGGCCCCCTGGGGAGGGAAGCAGCTGCGGGCAGAGGACTCGCCTCTCCAGGACACTGCAGAAGGCAGGAAATGTTTGCTCAGGCTCCAGGTCACTGAGAGTGGAACTGAGGGGGCCCCAGTGACCTCTCACCCTTGATACCTGAGACGTGATGCCTGGGAGTGGGGAGTGGGGGTGGGTCTGGCCTATTTGGGGGCAATCCTGGAATCTTGAACTATGAAAAAGGCTTACACAGTGACCCATTCCAGGGGAGAGAAAAGGAACATGAGCTGCTTGTTTAAAGGTGGTGGAAGACACAGCAGAACACACCTTAGCAACAGGCTCCTACAACACGACATCTAAACAGCAGGGACAGAAGAATGTGTTGAAGCAGTCGGCAGCAGCAGGGCCATAGGGAGGTACCCAGGGAGCATCGAGAGTGAGGGGCTTCTCTCTGCTATTTGCAGACTACCACAAAAGGAGAGAAAAGGACTCCTTAAGTACATAATCGGGGACTTTCCTGACTGAGTCACCCCAAGAAAATGCACTCCCAGTTACCTCAAAAGGTGGAGCCACTTTGAAAGACTTGTTTCTCCAGTTATTCCTGTTCCTTGAAAATGATGGGGTGCCTCAGACACTGGCTTCAGGGTTTCCCAAGAGGTCAGCCACACACACATCTCAGGTCAGGGTGGGCCCTGCCCAGAAGCGGGACTGTGGTGCCCATGAGCACAGAAAGTTCTGGAAGGCAGGGCACACAGAGCTCTGCCTGCTTCAGCAAGACAATGACAGATGTGTCAAAGGCACACTATTTGGAGTCCGAAATATTTTGGGACCTGCCACTTGCTGGCCATATAGGCTTTGTCAAGTCATTCAAGCCATTTAGCTTCTCATCTGGTGCAAGACTACCTAAATATGCTAACAGAAGGGTTCCTTCTGCTACAGGGCAAAGGTGGCACACAAAGAGTGGCAGCCAGGTCATGTTAGAGATGAAAAATAGGAAGAACAGGGAGAGTGGGAAGAGAGAAGAAAAAATCCCAGACTGTGCCAGTTCCTTTGTATTCCAAGCACACAGGGTTAGCCTTTCTAGAGAAGGAAGAACTAGAGTCCACCTGGACGCTGACTGCATGCCTCGGTCAGGTGCTCAGAATTCACCATAGTACATATGGCCAGCTCAGTCACATAGGACACACACTGCCCCCTCTCAAAATACTTACAGCCTGGGAGAATAAGAAAAACAAGTTACATAATACTGAGTCCTGGGCATTCCCCAAAATGGCTGAAATAAATTCTTTTTTTTTTTTTTTGAGACGGAGTCTTGCTCTGTCACCCAGGCAGGAGTGCAATGGCGCGATCTCGGTTCACTGCAACCTCCACCTCCCAAGTTCAAGCGATTCTCCTGCCTCAGCCTCCTGAGTAGTTGGGATTATAGGCGCCTGCTACCGTGCCAGGCTAATTTTTGTATTTTTTTTTTTTAAGTAGAGACAAGGTTTCACCATGGGTCAGGCTGGTCTCAAACTCCTGACCTCAGGTGATCCACCTGCCTCGGCCTGCCAAAGTGCTGGGATTACAGGCGTGAGCCACCACGCCCGGCCCAAGTAATTCCTTTCCCAAGTGGCCACATACACCTATCATCCACCTTTCGGCTGCCAGCAAACAGGCTGTGAGTGATGCCAGTTAACCACTCCCCAGATGAGCGTGGATACTTTTGGCTCTAGATACTTGGCTCTTGCTCACCATGGAGACTGTGTCTGCAGCCAGCATCCAGTCCTGAACTTTCTGGGACTGATGCTGAGGTTCAGCATCGTGGCCTGGCATTAATGTTCTCCAAAGATCTAGGACAAGGCTCAGCTCAGGTCTTCCTGCCTTAGGAACCTGCACTGACCTCGCTCCCAGGGTTGGTTCCAAAGGTGCAGTAATTGCACCGTGCCAGCCTCTTGGCACTCTGTGGAGTTAGGGTATGTGCCTTGGCTTCCTGATTAGAGTCCAAGCTCCTAGAGGCTAGACAGTGCAGCCCAGCACTTAGCGATAGGAAGCACTCAGTAACATTTGATACGCTTGAGGAACACGAAAGAACCATACCTGCTTCATGGGTCAGAACAAACAGGAAAGGCAGTCATAGAAGGAGTCCAGATTTCATACACACACACACACACACACACACACACACACACACACACACATACACATGGTCTCATTTCTACATAGCAAGCCTGAGATTCAGAGAAGGTGAGAAGACTTGGCAGCCAGCAGGCAAGATCAGCTGCTCTTAAAACCAAAGGGGGCTGGGCGTGGTGGCTCACACCTGTAATCCCAGCACTTTGGGAGGCTGCGGCGGGCAGATCACGAGGTCAGATCGAGACCATCCTGGCTAACCCAGTGAAACCCCATCTCTACTAAAAACACAAAAAATTAGCCAGGCATGGTGGTGGGTGCCTGTAGTCCCAGCTACTCGGGAGGCTGAGGCAGGAGAATGGCGTGAACCCAGGAGGCAGAGCTTGCCATGAGCCGAAATGGTGCCACTGCACTCCAGCCTAGGCGAGAGTGCAAGACTCTATCTAAAAAATAAAAAGAATAAAAAAATAAAGAAAGAAAACAACACAGTGTATCGGGAAACCAGATAATGAATGGGTAACATTCAAGTGATAACACGTTCTCCTGGCTGCCCACATCTCGGTGGCCATTACTTTTCAGTCCAATTTTCTTATTCCTCTTCCTCTGCCTGAAAAGGTGAGAGGCTCTTTGAAGCTCAACTCAAGATCACTTCTTCTTCCCAACTTAGTCTCTCTTCCTAGATGAGCTCATCCATTCCTACGCCTTCAGTTACCACCTGTTTATGGCTCACAAATTGATGTCTCAGCTCAACTTTCAGACCTGTATATCCAACTAATTTCTAAGTATAAAGACTTGACTTTCTCACAGGCACCTTGAATCTAATGCATCCAAAATTAAATGTAAGGCCTCCCTAGATCCCACCACAACAAATTTAACCCTCCTCATGGTTCTTTTCTCAGAGATTGCCACCAGCACCCAACTAGATTACAAATCAGAAACCCAGGGAGCATCCCTACCTCCTCTCTTTCCGTCACAACCCATGTCCATCCCATCACCATTTTACATCTCACACATCTCCAAACCCTTTACCCTTTATATTTCCACTGCTATTATTAGAGTCCAAGCCATCATTGTCTCTCGCCTGGATTATGGCAATAGGCTCCACACTAGAATTCCTACATCTACTCATTGCTTTTGCCAATCCATTCTCCATTCTGCATCCAGAGAAAGCTTTTCATTTATGTATTTATTTACTTTTATTTTTTAGAGATAGGGTCTCACTGTATTGCCCAAGTTAGACTCGAACTCCTGCTCTCAAGTGATCCTTTTGCCTTGGCCTCCCAAAGTGTTGGGATTATAAGCGTGAGCCACTGCACCCACCCTCAGAGAAAGGTTTTTAAAAAAATCAACTTTACTGAGGTATAATTTACATGCAATAAAATTCACCTATTTTAAGCATCCAGGTGAATGAGTTTTGACAAATAACTCCATTCTGGTAACCACCACCCAATCAAGATAGAGAATATTGGCAGCACCCAGGAAGCTCCCTCATGCCCTTTTATTCAATCTTTCTACCATGCCTGGTTCCAGGCAACGAAGAATCTGAGTTTTATCATTATAAATTAGTTTTGCTTGTGCTGGAACTTCATATAAATGGAAATATATAGTAGGCACTATTGTGTCTGCCTTATTTCACTCAATAAAACATCTATGAGATTCATCCATGTCATGGTGCGTATCAGTAGCCTGTTGTTTTCACTGCTGAGTAGCATTCCATGCTATGTCTGTAACCAAGCGTGTTCATCCATTACCCTGCTGATGAGCATTTGGGTTTGTTATACATTTGGGCTATTTGGTATTATCTTTACCCCATCCTTTTACCAGCCTACCTGGCTCTTGATATTAAAATGCATCTCTTATGGGCATCATGTAAGCAAGTCTTGTTTTTTATTCAGTCTAATAATCTCTGCCTTGAGCAGGGGGTGGTGGATGGAGCAGAACTAATAGGCTTATGAATGGGATAAGTCTAAAAGCATAAAGTATTTGTAGAGTCTTGCCTTCCTTCATCTTACATAAACTCCAGATACCTGCTGTTACCCAGTGGTTCTAAAAGCAAGATCTATGGACCCTTGATGCTTCACTGAGACCCTTTCAGGGATGTGTGAGGTCAAAACTATTTTCATGATAACACTTGAGTATTCTTTGCTATTTTCACCATATTGTCATTTGCGCAATGATGCAGGAGCAATAGTGAGTAAAATTGCTGAGGCCTCAGCACATATTAAAGCAGTGGCACCAAACTGTGCTAGCAGTCATTGTACTTTTCCACACACTCAAAAATTGAAAATAAATTTTAAAAAGAAGCCAGTTTCATTTAAGAATGTACTTGATAACAACAGTAAAAATTATTAATTTCATTATATCTCAACTCTCGAGTAATGACTTTATAACATTCTAAATAACAAAATATGACTTCTGATTGTTTTCCAGCAAAAATGTACACGTGCAATTGTGTAAGATGCAAGCAGAAGTAGCTTTTTTTTTCCCCCAGAGAGAATATTTATCAATTAACTTCCTGATACACATCTATGATACTTTCTTCTTCCTATATGTTTTGGCTGACTTCTCTTTGAATGCTTCTTCATCTAAGAATTCCATCATTTCTATGGAAAGAATAAATTCTCTACCATGGTAGATCAAACTCTTTTTTAAAGAGTTCCTATATACCCCACACCCAATAGGGGTACATAAGACCCTTCAAACTTTCTACCACAGGGGTACACAACACCTCTACTGTTAACATCTTACGTTACTCTATGATAGTTTGTCACAATTAATGAACTAATATTGATACATTATTAACTGACGTCCATACTTACTCAGATTTTCTTTTTTTTTTTCTAGTGTCCTTTATATGTCCCAGGATCCCACCAGGACACTGTTCCACTCTCAACCCCACAGTAGCCACTATCTTATAACCCTTGAGTGATCTCACCTAGCTCATGTTCAGCTTGCCTCTCAACCTTCGGTTTACAAGGGACCTATCCATGTACTCGTGTACGCTCTTATACAACTCCCTCCTCTCTGTATCTCACCCCGCACTATCTATCTGCTTCCGCTGCTCTGAACCCTGATTTCCACATCCTCCACTCAGTGGGACCACTGTGCTCTACATGGACTCCAGCTATCTGCGCCATGGTTGGAAGTAGTTCTAAGACAGAAAGTTGGGTGATCATGGGGTTCACCTCATGAGTTTCCCTCTGTCTGGGATCAGTATTCTGTGCTACCTATTGTTCACTGCCTGAAAATAGTTGTCTCATCTATTTTGTCATGTTGTATAGCAGTTTATGGTGGGAGGGCTAGCCTAGTACCAGTTACTCCATCATAGCCAGAAGCCGAAGTCCAAAGAAAGCTTCAAAAAATATAAGTCTGATCATGTCACTTCTCTGGTTAAAATCTTTCCATGGCTCTAAGAATAAAGATCCAAATTTGAAAATGGCCCATGGGGTCTTGTATGATCTGAGCCCCACCTGTGCTCCAGCGTCATTCCCCCTCCTCCTCAGGCCCTCGTTCCTTCCTTAGCCTCTGGCCTTCCTTCAGTCCCTCGCCGTTTTCTCCTGTCTCTAGGCTTTTGCACACGAAAACACACTTTTGCACATGAAAACACACCACCAAACATTCTTCCCATCCTTCTTCACCAACCAGCTACAAGCCACAATAAATAAAACACTGTGAAACTAGCGCAGCATTAGATGGAACAGAGTCCAAAAACAGATTCATATACGTATATATTTCAACTCAGTGAGAAAGGGAGGAATTATTCAATAAGGACAGTTAGTTCAATTGGCTAGCTATGTTATCCTTAACTTATCCCATATTCAAAAAGAAACTTCAGACAAAGCATTAATAAGCAAAATGTATAAGGAACTACTCCAAACTGATAAAAAGAAAGCAACCCAACGAAAAATGGAAAAAGGAAATGAATAGGCAATTCATGGAAGAACTACAAATAACTGATAAACATAGAAAAAATAAACATAGGAAAAGACATTCAACATTATTAAGAATAAAATATAATAAAATATATATTAAAAATAAAATCTTGATAGTATCCAATGTTTGGGAGAGAAAAAGGCACTCTGCTACACTGTTAAGAGTATAAACTAGTACAGCCAATTCATCAATATTTTAAATGTACTCTGACCCAGCTCTCACATTTCCAGGAATCTATCCTACAGAAATAGCGGCATGACCACTGAATTGCCTGTATCAGGAAAAAAAACTGGAAAGAACCCAAATGCCCATTAATAAGAATATATAGAAATTATAGGACATCCATACATCAGAACACAATGCATCCATTAAAAAAAATGAGATACCTCTAAATTATTTTTAAAGATGTCTAAAGTATAATGTTGAAAGTTATAAGTGAGTTGAAAAACAAACAGTACACTACTAGTTATGCATGCATACATATACACGCACAAGAAAAGAATCTAAAAAGATACACATCAATTCTAAAGGGTAGGATTTCAAGGGGGAACTCAGGAAGCCCTTTCTTTTACTTATACACTTCTACAGTATACTATTTGATTCTGTCACAAAGAATATTTCACTTTTGTAATGTAAAAAATGTTTAAGTGTACTTTTTGAAAAAGAGAATAGATTCGCTATTACAATCAACTGCTCACGGTGAACTACTGTAGTTTAACATTGCAGCAGGAGGCTGTACCGCCACCTCGTGGGGATATACTGCCACAGTAAATTGGTTATCTAAAAATTCCTGAATCTCAGTGCTACTGCCGTTTTGGCTGGGACAATCCTTTTCTGTAGGGGCTGTCCCGTGCATTGTAGGATGATTAGCAGTATCCCTTGCCTCTATCCTCTAGGTGCCAGTAACACCCCCTCCCCCAATTGTGACAACCAAAACTGTCTCCAGACACTGGCAGTTGTCTCCTGGAGGGGGAAAATCTCCCCTGGTTGAGAACCACTAATGTGAAAGAATGAGTCTTGTGAGTGCAAAGTAGAGAAACAAAAGGTGTTCATTCATTCACTCATAAGAATATCACACCAGGTAAAGTCTTCATGAGATAATTCCCTCATGTCAGTTAGAATGAGTGTTCTAACCCACAGGTGCATGCACACAGAATTATTTTCATAGCTTGAAGATATTCTGCAGTTTAAATTCAGTAACAAGAAAACCCATTTTCATCCAGTAAATCCCCAATTGCCACAGGGCAGAAGCAACAAGGATGCAAAGCCTGTCACATGTATCCAGACTCCATTCCCAGGCCCAGGGCAGGACTTCAAAGCACTCTGTACCATGGCCTCATCACAGTGCTCCAGTCAATAACTACCACTAAATGTAAACCAGCTCCCTCCTGTCCCTCAATCAGCCGCTAATTTCTCCCACGTCGAAGCGTCCCTATGCCCATTGCTCTCCCAGATGCTCTCTATGGTCTACATGTCACAGAAAGAAGGTCTTTTTTTTATGCAGGGTTGGGAGGTCTGTGGAAGCTCAGCTCCGCTATCCACTGCCCTCACCCCAAATAGCACGGGCATATCATTTAACCTTTCCAGATCTCCATCTCCTCACTTGCAAAATAAAAGGCCCATATTATATATTCAAAGTTCCCTTTGGTTCTAAAATCTATGAACAGGGATGATGACAAATGATCCACTGTAGGCTTTCTATACAATTGTAAGTATTTTCTCCACTGAAGATTATTCTACATACAATTAGGTTGGTGTTACTGGAATCTTTTTAATTTCTAGTGTTGGGGTCCTATTAAAACCGTGATACTGAATAAGCAAAGAATCCTAAGCCATGGCTTCACTATACAGTTACTGTATTTCTAGGGTTTTGTTTTTGTCAGTGTGCATCATCTGATATCAATAATATACAGATGAATATTGTCTAATGTCTTCCCACTTTCACTATAGTCACATTTATTCCAGGACTAATATATGAAGCTGATTAAGGTTACGTGGAGTTTTTTTGGACTTGGATTAATCTGAAGTGCTTCTTTATTCACCTAGCAATCTTCCTACTAGGATAAATTGGCATATCTTCTGATACAGTCAACTTTGGCAAACCAAGGAAAAACACTCAGGAAGAGGAATAAACTAGCACACGAATGAACTGACTGGGCCTCTAGATTCACTGAAGTCGTGCTCTTACACACGGTTACTTCTGTAGTCAGCATGTAAGATGAAAACAGGGCAATACCAATATTGTCTTTAAAAATCCTTGAATTTGCCCATAAAATACACCTAGTTTTGTGTATAGCTCTGATAATAACTCATGTATAAATAGATAAATATAGAATTTTATATAGGTGTGCAAAACATAATTTTATAGTATTCTTAATTACACTAATTTATCTTTTGGTTTGGGGGGATATCTTGGTGCATATGGGTTAATTCTTGTTAAGTAAAATATAAGTATGAGATGATTTTTCCTGAGATGTTTATCTCAAGCCACTGTATTTTGCATAGATGACTCTTGGCAAAACATACCCAGCAGTCATCAAATATACGATATATATCTAACAGGTCAAAGTTCCTAGAAGAATGACTTTTCATTGAAAAACTCTATTTCACGTGGTTTTTTTAACCGTATGCAAGTATTATTTTGTGTAAAATCAGCAACAAAAGCCCTAAACAAAGATAGGTTTCCCTCATCATGATGATAATGATGTTAAAATCATGATCCCTGATGATGTTAAAATTGAGAATAAGGCCAGATATTAGTATCAAACCAAAATTGTCATGTTTCATAGGCATATGTGAGTGATATAAATAGTAAGTAAGCAGCACTGGTATTCAGAGGAGGAGATTATTTTCAGTTACAGTGGCCAAGAGGTGAGGGTGGAGGTGATACCTTAAACTGGGTCCTAAAGGAGACTAACTTGCAAAATGAAAAGAGTGATAACGTGACAACTGCCTCTTAACTTAAAGAAAACCTAAAAAGTATTAACGCTTCCTCCGAAAAGACAGAAAGCCCTACTTTAATCACTAAATATCTCTTCCTGCAATCCTCAAATCAAGCCTGGGGTCACCCTAGTTAGTTTATCACAACAGTGCAAATTATTCAGGATAATTTGCTTGGAGGAATTAATTTAACATATAAATTAATTTTCCCTTCACTGGACACATATCAGCCAAGCATACAGGCAATTTTAACATATAAGTTAGAAAATTAGACACTCATGATTTAAAAACTAAAGAATCCAGATTACCTACCAAAAAGAGATCAAAATATCAGAACATTTACTATCTAAAGCCCCAAATCAAACCCCCACCCCAGACTTTACCACAACCAAACAAACACACTGAGCTTTAGCTTAGGTTGTAAAAGGAGAGGAATTATATTCTCCATCATGAAGGGTAAGTGTGGTCTACACTACAGCCCACGAAAGAGAACCCTGTTATAGAAATATCCAAATGCTGGGCGTGGCGGCTCATGCCAGTAATGCCAGCACTTCAGGAAGCTAAGGTGGGCAGACTGCTTGAGCTCAAGAGTTCAAGACCAGTCTGGGCTATATGGCAAAACACCATCTACAAAAAATACAAACAAATTTGCCAGGTGTGGTGACGCTTGCCTGTGGTCCCAGCTACTCAGGAGGCTGAGGTGGGAGGATCAAGGATCCTGAGAGTTCAAGGCTGCAGTGAGCTGTGATGGCGTCACTGCACTCCAGCCCAGGCAATAGAGCAAAACCCTGTCTCAAACAAACAAACAAACAAACAAATCTGAGAGGAGAGCACAAGCATAGACCATACTACTAACAGTACAGTCAGAGTAAAAACTGAAACAAAACAAAAAAGGCTCTGTAAGTCCCAGAGTCATAACATTTCTAGAACTGTTCTGATTTCAAATATTTCATCACTATAATGTCCTCAAAATTTTAATATTTCTGGATCCAAATTATATTTAGGCTACAAGAGAATTATACCAATTCACTACAGTACAATCCACGAATTCATGCAATCCACCCATTAGAGGACAGACCTTTTGTTCAAGGACATCTGTCTTCAGTCTTTTGTTCTAAAATAAATTACCAAAGATGAGGACTCTGAAGGAACAACAATGGTTTCTACCAATCCAAAGCCAACTGGCTCCAGGAACTATGTTTGGAAATGACCTTGTTACCAATTGTTAACAAACATTACTTTAAGAAGTCCTATTCTAATGACAGACACTCTTATAGACGACCCTCCCCACCCCTTTTCAATTTCTTAAAGTTACGAAGGATTTTGGGCATTTCAAAAATTATTTCCAGATATCACCATTTATTCAGAGTGGTCTGTCTCACCGCTAATTTTCAGAACAAAAATCCTTTCTTCTCTAACTTCAGTTGTGCCTTCTGTAATTCAAGCCCTATTGAATTTCAAGCTGTACTAACACCGACTTCTTTAAACAGAAGAGAAGGATAGGAAAGCAGGTGAGAAGAGAGAGTTCAGAATAGCCCTTTTAGTGAGAAAAATAGAAAGCAGGGAAATCTCAGGTTCTGGCTAGTACACTGGGAATGATATGGGAAAGTCAAGGGACTCCAATCCTATACAATTGGATTACTCTCAGGTAACTGAAATGCATCTAAAACAGGAAGAAAAAAAAAAGGCAGGGAAAATAATTCATGGAAACCAAAAAAGTGACTCTAACATCAATTTAAGCTTAGGAAGATTTGAAAGAAAAAAAAAAGTTTGCATGTAAGTGTTGAGTCACAGCAACCAAAAAATAATGCCTGGCTTTATTAGGTACACATAAAATTTCTTAGAGCCATATACAGGAATTTTCATCAGGCAGCCTCAAGTAACTTAATCTGGTGATAGTCTGATACAAATTCATATGACCTTTTTTTTTTAATGTTTTCTAAAAGTGTTGACTCAATCTTCCCTAACTCTTCTGTTGGGATTGCATAATAGTTACTATGTAAGGCTGACAGTTTCCAAGGTAAATGGTTCTTACTTTCTGAGAACTGTTATAATTTCAGGCTTAAGGAAAGGGAAAAAAAAGAAAATTCTAAGAAAGTGGAGATGGAAAAAGCAAAATAGATTCCTCATCAACGGAAGACACAATAGTCCGGGCGCAGTGGCTCACGCCTGTAATCCCAGCACTTTGGGAGGCTGAGACGGGCGGATCATGAGGTCAAGAGATTGAGACCATCCTGGCCAACATGGTGAAACCCTGTCTCTACAAAAAATACAAAAATTAGCCGGGCGTGGTGACGGGCACCTGTAGTCCCAGCTACTTGGGAGGCTGAGGCAGGAGAATCACTTGAACCTGGGAGGCGGAGGTCACAGTGAGCTGAGATCATGCCATTGCACTCCAGCCTGGTGACAGAGCAAGACTCTGTCTCAAAAAAAAAAAAAAGACACAATAACATTAAAGAGCTATTTTGAGATAAGTGAAAAAAGATTTCTGAAAAGGTAGATGTAACAGAGTTTGGCCCCATTTTTGATGTCTGGCCATTGACAGCATTTAAGTTTCCACCATTTTCTATTCTCCCCTCCTCCACACTGCCCCACCGCACACCTGGTGCTTTAGATAAAGAAATCCATGGGCATCTCCTGAGCTCCCAGCACTGGCAGGAAGCTTGAATCCCTCAAGCCCACAGATCGAATGCTCTCCAGCCCCACTCCCTAGCTACTTTAAAGGCCCAGCCTCCTCTCTGTTCTTGCCATTTTGGACCAGCTTTCATCTATCTTGCTCTCCCCAGAAACCCTGTGTATGAATAGTAAACTTTCAAGTTCTCTTAGTGTGTGAAATGTCATCAGTCTTGACATCTGGCCTATTAACTGGGTCCCTCATCTCCCGGGGGGTGATCACAAAACAGTGGGATGAGGTAAAGCGAACAAAAGCTGCCCACAGGAGGGTATGAGCTGGGGGCAGGAATGACTACAGATTAAGGCAAAGTTTTATAGGAAGGTGGTATTAGGATATGTAATTAGCTATGAGCTTCTTTATTTTGTTTGGACATGGCACTATTTCCATCAGTACAAGAAGGGGCAACAAGCTCAGTTCTGCACAACTAGAATTTCTTGGCTTATTCCTGAGGCCAGGGAAGGGGGGTAAAATCACTGCATGGTGACAGCAGTCATTTCAGGTACAGATAAAAATACACACATATACATATAAAAATTGAGCTTTAGAGTCTATTAGGCTAGTCCAGATTTCAGTTCAGTGTTTCTTCACTTGGATTTGTTGCAAGAGAAAATAACCGGGGTAGGAGAGGAGGGATTTTCATCCCTTAAAATATAATAAAGCATCGCCACTGTAACAACCTATAAAAGTATAATTCTTTGGCATTTAACAAAATGAAGAGTCTGAGTGGATTTGTCCAGACATTCAGGGAGATTCTCCACTGTGAAGTCTCTGGTGTCTAATGAGGGCTGAACTACACGAAAGCTCTGCCACATTTATGTGACAGAACTCATACCGGAGAAAAACCCTACAAGTGTAAAGAATGTGGTGAAGCCTTCAGCCAGAGCTCAACTCTTACAAAACATACAAAAGTCTACACTGGAGAGAAACCCTACACCTGTAAAGACTGTGGGAAAGCCTTCAGCCAGAGTTCATCTCTTATCCAGCATCAGAGGGTTCATACTGGAAAGAAACCATTTGATTATCAGGAGTGTGGGAAAGCCTTCAGTAGAAGCGCCCATGTTACCCAACATCAGAGGATCCACACTGGAGAGAAGCCCTGTGTATATACACATACGTATGTGTATATATACATACGTATGTGTATATACACATACGTATATATACATGTGTATATACATATATATTTGCATATATAATATAAAAATATATATATTATATACTATACATATATATATACATTTTTTTTGCAGATACTTGAATGTTTGTGTTCGTTAGAGTTCTAGGCTCTCTTGTAACTCTTTTTGTGCTCTTTGGGTGATATTATCCACTCCCATGGCTTCAATTTCATCCATTCTCAGGCAACTCCCAAATCTGTACCACCAGTTAAGATCTCTTTCCTTTACTAAGATACATTTGGCATGTCATCCTTATATTCATCTAGCCTCCAGACATTACCACTTAGAGCAGGTTTTCTCAACTGCAGCACTGTTGACGTTTTAGACAGACAAGTCTTTGTGTGGGGCCCCGTCCTGTGCATTGTAGGATGTTTAGCAGCATTCCTGGACTCCACTCACGAGATACCCATAGCACACTTCAGACATTGCCAAATGTCCCCTGGGGGGCAAACTTGCCCCTGGTTAAGAACCACTGGTTTAGACTTATTATAGACACTTCAAACAACTTAAGAGAAACTGAACTCATCTTCCACTCCCTAAATTTGCTACTTCTCCTGTGTTTTCCATCTCAGGGAAGAGAACTTCCATTCACCTACACATCCAGACCAGAAACCTGAGAATTTTTTCTTTTTTTTTTTTTTTCTTGAGACGGAGTCTCGCTCTGTCACCCAGGCTGGAGTGCAGTGGCATGATCTCGGCTCGCTGCAAGCTCCACCTCCTGGGGTTCACGCCATTCTCCTGCCTCAACCTCCCGAGTAGCTGGGACTACAGGCGCCCGCCACCACGCCCGGCTAATTTTTTGTATTTTTAGTACAGATGGGGTTTCACCATGTTAGCCAGGATGGTCTCCATCTCCTGACCTCGTGATCCGCCCGCCTCGGCCTCCCAAAGTGCTGGGATTACAGGCGTGAGCCACCGCGCCCGGCCGAAACCTGAGAATTTTCTTTGTTACTCCCTCACCTCTCAAATCTACACAACAAATTATGTCAATTTTATATCCTTAAAATTATTCAAATTCTTTCCTTCTCTTCATATTTCTTATATAGCAGAAAACTAGGTAGGATAAGGACAGAGTAAATGAAGAAGTGATTCCAGCTACTAAAGAGGAAACGGGAATAGCCTCATAAAATGCCTCAGGATGAGGCACAAAGCTGATCTCTGGATCATGTGTTGGGCTTATAACTTTAAGGAGGAAGTATCTCTTCCTTCAGTCTGGAAAGAAATAAAGAGGCAAGCTATTAGGATTCTGATGTGGTCAAGTGAAGATGAGACTGCAGGGGGATTCAACATTTTCTACAGGCCCGGAGGATTTCGGAAGAACCCCTAACTCTTATTTCTAAAGATGCAATCCGCCTTGTTCTCACTTACGTGTACAGCTGCTTCTTGGCACCTCTCCCTCCTGCATTTGCGTTCGTGGGCCTACCACTTCTTCCAACTAGGAGATGATACCAGGTTTGGAAAATGGAAATCCTACTCAAGAGATACAAACAGAATGTAATTTTAAGTTCAAAAGAGAAAGGACCACTCTATTCTCAGTCCCACTCTGTTGCATTTTAGAGAGGAGAAAATGAAATAACTAATTGTCAAAAGCAATTAAATAATTTCTACCCAAGTAGGGTGAGAAACAGTTTAAGGATCTGATCTGGATTCTGTGGGGGAAAATAACCAAAGCCTCATTTGTTATCATCCCCTAATAGAAGCAAGGGAATCTTTAGAAGGCAAAGGTATCCTGAAAGGTCAATCTGGGGTGGAAGGACCCAAGCTTACCCAAGGAGACCAGGTTCCTATAGTTCTCCAGCATTACATCCCTGTACAAGACTCTCTGAGCAAGGTCCAGTACTCTCCATTCTTCCTAGTGAAGTTCACAGCCACATCCTTGAATGACGTAAAGCCCTGAAACACCTGCATGGGGTTCTGAAGAAAAAGTTAAATGAGGCATACTTAGGGGAGACTGATGGGATGGAGAGGAAATAGATTAAACTATGTTCGCAGTGTCAAAGACAAGATTTTATTGACTCATATATTAAAGAATCTTAAAATCTTAAAATGCGTATACCCCCTTGACATAATTTGATAGTTTTGTTTTACAGTAATTTTATATACAGAACTCAATTATAAGAAAACTATCGGCTGGGTGCAGTGGCTCACGCCTGTAATCCCAGCACTTTGGGAGGCCGAGGCGGGCAGATCACGAGGTCAGGAGATCGAGACCATCCTGGCTAACACGGTGAAACCCCATCTCTACTATAAATACAAAAAAAATTAGCCAGGCATGGTGGTGGGCGCCTGTAGTCCCAGCTACTCGGGAGGCTGAAGCAGGAGAATGGCGTGAACCCGGGAGGCGAAGCTTGCAGTGAGCCGAGATCACGCCACTGCACTCCAGCCTGGGCAACAGAACGAGACTCTGTCTCAAAAAAAAAAAAAAGAAAACTATCAGAAATACGGAGAGTTATAAACAAAGAATCACATCTATTTATACCTTACAGTAGAAAAATAGCAAAATCGTTCTAAATAACCTAAATGTTTGAGAACAGTGCTACGAGCTGCTAACTGTCCATGAAAATATACCTCCTCCTCTCCTTTCTAGGTATACAAACATTTCCCAACCTCCTCTGTAGTTAGACCTGGCCATGAGATCCTAACCAATGGAATGCAAGCAGAAGTGATGTGCGCCCTTTCCAGGCCTGACTCACGTATATTCCTCCATGCTGTTTTCCCCTTCTGACTGGCTGGTAGGGCCATGAGCCCCAGAGTGAGTTTGGAAGCCATGTGGTAAAGAGGCTAGAGCTTCAGGTAGCTCAGGTCCCTGAATGGCCATCCTATCAATCTATATACCCAGTCACATGGCTATGACAGCAAACAATACACTTCTACTGTATTAAGGCCATATATATTTTGGGTCTATTGGTTACAACAGTTATTAGTAAGCCAACCCAAACTAATTCAGAAATCAGCACCTTCAAGTGGGAGATATCATAATAAAAAGTTCAAATACACAGGTGGCATTGGATTGACAGTCAGGTGGCAAGCTTCAAAGAAAAGAATATTTACGACTGGAGAAATGCAGTCTCTCTTTTTTTTTTTTTTTTTTTTTTTTTGTTTGAGACAGAGTCTCACTCTGTTGCTGGAGGGCAGTGGCCACGATGATCTCGGCTTACCGCAACCTCCATCTCCCATGTTTAAGCGATTCTCCTGCCTCAGCCTCATGAGTAGCTGGGACTACAGGTGTGAGCCACCACGCCCAGCTACTTTTTTTTGTATTTTTAGTAGAAACGGGATCTCACCATGTTGTCCAGGCTGGTGACAGACTCCTGACCTCAGGTGATCCGCCCACCTCGGCCTCCCAAAGTGCTGGGATTACAGGCATGAGCCACCGCATCCAGCCAACAGATGCAGACTCTTAATATACACTGGCAAACTAATTAGCAACTATGAGGGCAGGGCAAATGCTCACTGGGCCTGTGGCTCTAGAACAGGTTGGAAAGCGCCAGAATGCTCTTTGTGTAGAATGCTCCTGGATATGTCTGGCGAACAAAGAATGAGTTAAGTTCAGGAAACAATGTGTCAATTTTCAAGCCAAAACAAAAGAGAATAGAGTGCAGAAATCTGAGGCCTCACGTGGTTGGAAAAGCAAACTGTTTCTAGATCTCATACAGTGGGAAGTAAGTCTAACAAGAGCTTTGAGCAATAAAGGCCCATTACACCTGTTAACTAAACAAACTGATTTAGCCCTGTAAAAAAAAGTCAGATTAAGGATGTGGCCTTCCCACCCAAGCCTATTGTTCAGCTGGCCTTAAGGTTATCTTCAGTTAAGTTGAGAGAGACAGATGGTAAGTAAGAAACTAAGACATAGGCCAAGCTGGCCAGGCGCAGTGGCTCACGCCTGTAATCCCAGCACTTTGGGAGGCCGAGGTGGGCGGATCACAAGGTTAGGAGATCGAGACCATCCTGGCTAACACGGTGAAACCCTGTCTCTACTAAAAATACAAAAAATTAGCCGGGCGCGGTGGCGGGTGCCTGTAGTCCCAGCTACTTGGGAGGCTGAGGCAGGAGAATGGCGTGAACCTGGGAGGCGGAGCTTGCAGTGAGCCGAGATGGCGCCACTGCACTCCAGCCTGGGCGAGAGAGCGAGACTCTATCTCAAAAAAAAAAAAAAAAAAAAGAAAAAAAAAAGAAATAAGCCAAGCTTGAGAATTATATCTAGGAAAGAACTTTGAGTATAAGAAGCCTTTAAGTTTTTGTGGAACAACACCTCCGTGATTTCAATGTACTGACTTTTTTCCTGTGCCAGAGGAATCAGTATCTTGCTTCGATTCTAAGTCATTTATGTCACTAACTTTCTATAAATCTTTCAACTTAGCCTTCAGGGCCCACATCAAATCTCACTACTTTCATTAGCCTAGGAGCTGCTTAAAAGGACTTTAAAATGCTAGTTGAATGAATAAAACCTTCCTAAATCTCTCTCAGCCAGACACATTTGCTCCTGCTCCTCCAAGTCTATACAGCATTTTCCCTAAGACACTTTATTATTGAGTAGGCCCTTAATAATAAGGGCCCTTAATAATAAGGCCCTATTTAATAATACTAAATCTGCTGGTTTGTGCCACACAGATTTGTGTACATCTTTTCTCCCCAAAATATTCTAAGCAGATGCAAGCAAGAAATGCCTCACGTGCCTTTGCATATCTACGCCAAATGTCTCAAGTGAACAAAAAGAAGCTTGATTCTTACCCAACCATGTTCTAGGAGTCACGCTCCTCAATTATCTGCTAAAGAGGCCTCATTCCCATCCTGCCCCCACCATCCTTTCTCCACACTGCCAACTGATGGGCGAGGCTACCAAGCCTCCTGACCTTCACTGCTACTGTCATACAACTGAGGAACACTCAAACACCATCCCGTTGGCAGTCCATCCCACCTGCTTGATCCTTTCCTTTCAAACTGCTGTGGCTAATGTGGTTGACAAGCTTCATGCTAAGAGAAAAAAATTTGCTTCAGGAATTAAAATAAGATTTCTGAGAAGAGAGGAAAATCCCCAACTCAATTAAAATAAAATTTCCGAGAAGAGAGGAGAATCCCCAACTCACCTGGGACTCTGCTGTCCGGCAAAGAGCAGCCATATTTTCCTTCTTAAGATACCCCTTTTGGGAAAGGGCAGGGTCCTCAGAGGGCAGAACTGGAAGGAAATTGACATAAAGGAACCTGGTTTATCTTTATGTATCTCAAACCTATGAATTTAGAAACAGCCACTTATGAGAAAATGTGCCTCTGACCTTGGCTGCCCATAGCTTGAAGGATTTTACAGACATCTATGTAATGAGACTTCAAAGATAATCTCAGAGGATAGAATGAACATAAACTTAGGGAAAGGTATGACCATTAACTGGGCTCAGGATCTGCGTGAGCCACTGCTCTGAAAACGAGGTTCCCTGGGACCAAAAAACCCTAAAACAAAACAAGAAGTGCAATGTTACAGTTGGAGAGGTGCTTAAAGACCTCCAGGCTCAACTCCTTTATTCACAAATGGAGAAAGTGACCAATTTTGTAGAACAAGAAAAAGGGAGTCACAGCAGCAAAAGACAGCAGTGCCCACCCCAGCAGTCATGGTCACAGACACCTTTAGCCACCCCATCGTGAGTATTCCAGGCCCACGGTGAGTCTGTGGCCACCTCAGGCCTGTTAACACCACACACGCTCCACTAAATTGTATGTGTCGTATCATTCACCACTGCATCCTAAGCACTGAGCACGGTGTACTTGGCAGACAGCAGTCCCTAAGTATTGTGAATGAATTAATGAATGAGCCCCAAATTCCCTTGGTCTGATTCTATGCCCAACAAGCAACCTTCTGCTCATAATTTACTTCTCCATTTTGATTTTTTTACTTGTAGGGAGAGAACTGCTGATCCTATTACCTTTGAGCATTTCTTTGCGCTTATCTCTAGGTAGTAGGGTTACATGCTATTTATCTTATTCTACATATCATTCTATATTTTCCTAATATTTTAGTTTATTATTTCTTCAATCCTCTCTCCACCCATCTCCAAAAAGCAGTACTTAAACCTCCTTGTGGATTTGTTTGGGGGAAGAAGTAGTTCTTTCAGGCCTCAGTTATTACCAAGTACAGGGTTTCACAATTTTGTAGAATTCATGCCTCCTGTAATCCTTTGTCATTGGAACTCTGGCTCTGGAGTCTGCCTGCCTACTGCCTTTACATCCTGGCACTGTGTAACCATAGCCAAGTTTCTTCTGGGCTTCAGTTTCCTAATTTTACAAAAGAGATTAATAATGGTACCTACGTTGCTACAATGTGCGTTAATGCACATAAACGGCCCAAACCAGTACCTGGTACAGAATAAGCACTCAGGAAAGGTCATTTAATCATCAGTTAATTATTATTCTCAATATTTTCTGCATATCAACATTAACCAAGACTTTATGGTGCTTTCTTTCTATACTTTGTTTTACGAGGAAAAAAAGGTATGATCAATATGTTTGGTCATACTCCCAAATCCCAACTTCCCCACAAGATGCCTGTCCCCTCCCTGTACTCGACACTGACAGTCAGTGGGGGCTAAGGTAGAGTTAGGAACTCCTAAGTTCCAGGACTTCCAGAAATCAGAGGGCCTGAGGGCAGGATATTATAGGAAAGTCAAACAGACTAGAGATAGACTATGGAAGTCCCTTCTAATCTGGGGCATCCCTTTGTATCTCCTTAAGAGAAAGCACTTTTTAAGAGAAAACTGAAAGAGAGCCAAGGAGCAGTCTCTAATTCTGCCAGAAATGAGCAGCAGGGCCATGGACCCTGGGGACGCAGGCCCCAGCTCTAGCCCTGAGCTCATAGAAGGTTCAAGGGACTAAGGCTCTCCCATGTGCTATAATGCCAAATCAAATCATCAGCCTCTCCATACCTATTTCTTTCTCCTCCTCCAAGGAGTCTGACTTATCCCCCCTCATCCTTCAGAAAGGCAGGTGGTATAACGGAAAGAGTACGGAAGTAAGGTATCTTGTTTTTTCAGAGTTTCAAATTAAAAGGGAATATTAGTAAAATCACTACCATTCTTCGCACACTCACCATACACCAGGTGCTTTCCATAAATCAGTATTTACAGATGAGGAAACTGTTAACTTGCCCAAGGTCTCTGTGCTGCCCACACACATTTTACAAGGTTGCTGTAAAGAAAAACTAAAATGAGGTTGTGTGTGCATACTGCAGATTCTCGGCTAATGGCAGGACCCTTTATTTCTATTTCTTACCTCTGTTCTGGAGTTTGCAGGTCCAATCCTCCATAATCATAGCCTTTGCGCCACTATTTGGGTGTAGCAACCTTTCCGTTCTCCACATATCTTCCTGGGAATTGCCAGCATTTTGCCAAAAACTGTGGCAAGAGATTCTGGATTGAAGTTTTCCCCTTTTTCATTGTATTTCTTTTTTCATTGTCTGAGACTCTACTCAGAACGCAGAGTCTGACGCAGTATCTTTTGAGCTAAAGCTAAACTCAAGAACTTCAGCAGCCATTTAATCTTCAGGAAGCCCTAAACACAGGCAAGTCTCAGTACCTTTATACCACCAGGGCCCTGCAGAGTCAGACACTGGGAACATAGACAGTTACAGACAACAGTAAGGATATTGTGCCTGATGAATACAAAAGTGCAGGGTGGTGGAAAGTGCCCTGCTGGGAGTGCCTGGATTCTAATTTCCCCTATGTGCTAGTTGGCTGGGTGACCTACAACAAGCTACTTTTCATTCTTGGGTGTTTCCTTCTTACGTACAAGTGGGCAGATGGATGCCTACTATTAATAAAAGCAACAACTGATTGATCCCTTACTTGGTGTCTGGCCCTGTGTCAACTGTTGCATGTCAAAATTCCATTTAATCCTCACAACCACCACTTAAAAGTAGGTACAACAAACCTCAAATTACAGGTAAAGAACACGAGACACAGAGAGTAACCTGCCTACACTCACATCGGAGCAATACCACTCTCTGAAAATGTGGATAAACGGGTCTCTGATATCCATCCCCTCCCACGTTCACACTGTCAGTCTATAAAACGGTTCCACCGCACTGCAGGCTGCAGAGACATAAGGGACGCGTTGGTGCCTAACCTGGCCCTGGTACAGGAGCCTTGGGCGCTACCTGCCTCACTTTCCAACCAAATGCTCCAGGCTGTGCGGGCCCTCAGCCGGTTTCCAAGCAAACGACCCGGAGGTGTCTCGGATAAGAAACACACATACACCCCACTCCCACACACACAAAACCCAAAGACACGCTCCGGGGGCAGAGGGGGCGCGTCAAGGTGGCCGAACCCTAGCTCCAGCAGAAGGAATTACAGTCAGATCAGCGGGCCCGGGGAGAGACCCAAAAGGGAGCAGCCGGGACCCCAAGTCTGACAATCCACTGCTGAACACACACACCCTGTCCAGCGTCTGCTCCTCCCCCGTCCAGACACAGAGAGGGTTCTCTGCTCTGGGGGACAGGGAGGACACAGACTCGCCACGCGCGGAGCTCCTCCAGAGAAAGGGGCCAGAAGCGGAAGTGCGCGCCGAGGCTCCTGGGAAATGTAGTCCGGAGCGGCCCGGGCGACAGAGCGAGATTCTCTCTCGAAACAAAAACAAAACAAAAAAACTAAACAATGTTAAAAGTGAAGTTATAGAGCAGAAATTTTTTTTCTTTGAGACGCAGTCTCGCTCTGTCGTCAGACGAGTGCAGTGGCGCGATCTCGGCTCACTGCAACCTCCGCCTCCCGGGTTCAAGCGATTCTCCTCCTCAGACTCCCGAGTAGCTGGGATTACTGGCGCCCGCCACCATGCCCAACTAATTTTTTTATAATTTTAGTAGAGATCAGGGTTTCACCATATTGGATAGGCTGACCTCGAACTCCTGACCTCAGGTGATCCACTCACCTTGGCCTCCCAAAGTGCTGGGATTACAGGCGTCAGCCACCACGCCTGGCCCAAAAATTGTTTCTTATGCTTGATCTAGTCTGTTGTTAGAGTCTTGATTGTATTTTTCATGTAATTCATTGGATTCTTCAGTTCCAAGTTTTCTGTGTGGTTCTTTTTTATATCTCTGTTAAATTTCTCATTCAAATTATGAATTTTCTTGATTTCATTGAATTGTGTAACTGTATGCTCTTGAATTCCACTGTTTCCTTAAGATTATTATTTTAAATTCTTTTTCTGGAACTTTGTATATTTTCTTTTTTTCTTTTTTTTTGAGACAGAGTCTCGTTCTGTCGCCCAGGCTGGAGTGCAGTGGCGCGATCATCTAGGCTCACTGCAAGTTCTGCCTCCCGGGTTCACGCCATTCTCCTGCCTCAGCTTCCTGAGTAGCTGGGACTACAGGCGCCCACCACCACACCCAGCTAATTTTTTTTTTTTTTTTTTTTTTTGTATTTTTAGTAGAGACAGCATTTCACCGTGTTAGCCAGGATGGTCTTGATCTCCTGACCTCATGATCCGCTCGCCTCAGCCTCCCAAAGTGCCGGGATTACAGGCGTGAGCCACCGCGCCCAGCCAGAACTTTGTATTTTTTCTTATGATTGGCATCTGTTACTGGAAATTATTGTGTTCTTCTGGAGGTGTTGTGCTCCTTGCTTTTTCATGTTTCATGTGTTTCTACATTTTTCTTTATGTCTGTCTTTCTTTTTCTTTCTTTTCTTTCTTTTTTTTTGACAAGAGTCTTGCTCTGTCGGCTGGAGTGCAGTGGTGAGATCTTGGCTCATGGCAACCTCTGCCTCCTGCGTTCAAGGGATTCTCCTCCCACAGCCTCCAGAATAGCTGAGATTACAGGCATGTGCTGCTATGCCAGGCTAACTTTTGTATCTTTAGTAGAGACAGGGTTTCACCATTTTGGCCAGGCTGGTCTGGAACTCCTGAATGAACTCAAGTGATCTGCCCATCTCAGCCTCCCAAAGTGCTGGGATTACAGGCGTGAGCCACTGCACCCAGCTCTACATTGATTTATACACATATGATGAAACAATCACCTCTTCCAATTTCATGGAGTAGGTTCTGTAGGGAAAGATTTATTCATATGGGTCTTGGGGTATTGTTTCAATGGAGTGTGTTGGCTTTCGTTCTAGGTGGATGCGGTAGTGTATTCCCTATGTAAGTTTCTTCAGCTGTAATACATGCTAGTGACGGGCTGGGCGCAGTGGTTCACTCCTGTAATCCCAATCCTTTGGGAGGCTGAGGCAGGTGGATCATGAGGTCAGAAGTTCGAGAGCAGCCTGGCCAAGATGGTGAAACCCCATCTCTATTAAAAATACAAAAATTAGCCAGGAGCAGTGGCAGGCACCTGTAATCCCAGCTACTCGGGAGGCTGAGGCAGGAGAATCACTAGAATCCAGGAGACGGAGGTTGCAGTGAGCCGAGATCATGCCACTGCACTCTAGCCTGGGTAACAGAGAAAAGACTCGGTCTCAAAAAAAAAAAAATGCTAGTGACATTTGTGAATGTCTCAGTGGCCTAGGCTAAGAGGTGGTGATGGCGGTCATGTGGCTTTTGCACAGGGCTGTTTCTCAAGTCAGGGGCTCATTTGTGTACATGGTGGGTCAGCCAACTTGGGGTTTGGCTCACTGGGGTTGGGGCTATGGGACTGTTAACTCTGGGTGGGGACACGAATGCATTGTTGCTTGGCCAGCCTAGAGGGTGCCTGCCAGTGATGGCCTGTGGCACTGTTTCTCAGACCCTGGACACAGGAGCACAGCTGCTTGGCTGTCCTGGGAACATGTCTTCTAGGCGAAGCCTGTGGAGCTGTTATTTAGGCTTGCAACAAAGGCACAAAGCTGCTTGGCTGGCCGGGAGATGTGTGTCCTGGAGTGGCCCATGGGACTGTTTCTCAGGCCTGGGATGGAGGCACACTGCTCAGCTGACCTGGGGGGGTGTCTGCCTGGGGCAGCCTGTGAAGCTGTTTCTCAGGCCCTGAACATGGACACATGGCTTCTCAGCTGGCCTGGGTGCATGTCTGCTAAGCATGGCCCACAGGGTTTTTCTCAGGTTCAGGATGTGGGCTTATAGCTTCTTGGTTGGCCAGGGGTGGCCTGAAAGGCTTTTTCAGGCTGGCAATGTGGGGGTACAGCTACTGGATCAGCCTTAGAGTGTGCCTTCCAGGGGCACCCTGTGGGATTGTTTCTCAGGCCTGGGATGTGGTTGGACAGCTGGCCAGCCAGCCTGAAGGGCATGTCTGCAGGAAGTGAGCCACGATGCTGCATCACAGGCCCTGATCACGGGTGTGGGGGCTTTGGGTAGGACAGGGGCATGTCAACAATGGGAGTGGGTACCACAGGGTTGTTTCTCAGGCTGTGGGCACAGGAGTATAGACATTCTGCTGATAGGGCAGCATGTCAGCTGCTTAGTGGCTCAAGGACCTCTCCTGCTTTGTGGAGGGTGGTCAGCAGTTTGGCTGGCTCAAGAGCATATTTGCCCTGGGTGGGATTGCCACATAGTTCCTCTGTCTCAAAGTGCAGATGGTTGGGGTCGTCTTCTCTGTTGCGCAGGACCAGAATCACAGTTGATCCTAAGCCCAATCTATGCATAGTGGGATTATGGAGTTTAGCCACCCTTGTGAGATTTGTAGAAAGAAGATGGAGCCCTGATGCTGCAGAGGTGCAGTGGCTACTGACTCCATAGGACGGTGCACTCCAGAGGTGGCTGTAGTCTCAAGATGGCACAGTGCTGCTGATGCCACAGCTTGACTCACAGTGGGTGAGTGGAGGTTGGGAGCACACACTTTCTGTTCCTAATCCGGAGCAGTGTGGTAGCAAGAATTTCAGACAGCTCTCAAAACTAGGCTCAGGGCTTTCAAGGACTGTGGCATTCTCCTGTAGTAAGGACTGTGGGTAAGGCAATGGGGGCTGGTGGAGTTGTTCTGCTTACCCTTTTCCTGTAAGGGGAAGTCCCTCCTGTCTCCAGGCTGATTGAAGCTGGGTGGAGCAGATGGGGCTGCAGAGGCTGGGTAACTCTGCACTGCTCTCCTGGATTTCCAATCACCTCAGCTGCCTCTGCAGTCCCCCACTGCACTCCAGTGCTTTCCCTTCAACATTTCAGTAAAATTTTAGCTGTTTTACCTGTTTATTCATCGCCTTGGTCCTTCCTGGATAGGAGGAGCGGGAGCAAGATCCATACATCTCTAGTCAGCCATCTTGCTCTATTTCCAGCTCTTTCTTTGTTATAAACTTTCCTTAATCTAAATTAAGAAATTAACTTTTAACCTAATTATGAACAGATATTGAATGTTATCAATGATTTCTATTGAGTTAGTTATTTGGTTTTACTTTTCCTTAAGAATCCATTAATGTAGCAAATTTCATATCTAGATTTTCTGATGTTAAAATCAACTTGATCATGATATAGGTTAAATTCAGTTGGCTGGCCGGGTGCAGTGGCTCACGCCTATAATCCCAGCACTTTGGGAGGCCAAGACAGGTGGATCACCTGAGGTCAGGAGTTCAAGACCAGCCTGACTAACGTGGTAAAACCCATCTCTACTAAAAATAGAAAAATTAGCTGGGAATAGTGGCTGGCGCCTGTAATCCCAGCTACTCGGAAGGCTGAGGCAGGAGAATTGCTTGAATCCGGGAAGCAGCGGTTGCAGTGAGTCGAGATCACGCCATTGCACTCCAGCCTGGGTGACAGAGTGAGACTCCGTCTCAAAAAAAAAAAAAAAAAAAAAATTCAGTTGGCTGGCCAGGCGCAGTGGCTCACACATGTAATCCCAGCACTTTGAGAGGCCAAGGCGGGTGGATCACAAGGTCAGGAGATCAAGACCATCCTGGCTAACACAGTGAAACCCCGTCTCTACTAAAAATACAAAAAAAAAAAAAAAAAAAAAAAATTAGCCGGGCATAGTGGCAGGCGCCTGTAGTCCCAGCTACTCAGGAGGCTGAGGCAGGAGAATGGCATGAACCTGGGAGGCAGAGCTTGCAGTGAGCGGAGATCGTGGCACTGCACTCCAGCCTGGGCAACAGTATGAGACTCTGTTTCAAAAAAAAAAAAAAAAAGAGGCCGGGCGCGGTGGCTCACGCCTTTGTAATCCCAGCACTTTGGGATGCCGAGGCAGGCGGATCACGAGGTCAGGAGATCGAGACCATCCTGGCTAACACGGTGAAACCCCGTCTCTACTAAAAATACAAAAAATTAGCCGGGCGAGGTGGCGGGCGCCTGTAGTCCCAGCTACTCGGGAGGCTGAGGCAGGAGAATGGCATGAAGCCGGGGAGCAGAGTCTGCAGTGAGCCAAGAGACTCCGTCTCAAAAAAAAAAAAGAAAAATTCAGTTGTCAGTTGGCTAATATTTTATTTAGGTTTTGTACTTATGTCCGTAAGTAAAATTGGCTCATAATTTTCATTTTTATTCCTTGTATTATCTTTATCCATTTTAAGAACCAAGTTTATATTAAATTACTAAAATAAATCTGGCCGCTTTATCTCTTTTTATTCCTCTGAGTTGTTTTAGAACACCTTTTATATAAGATAGAGAAGATCAGTTCATTGAAAGTTTGGTAGAATTTGGAGTGTGCCCCACATTTTAATTTCTTTTATGGTAATTGAGCTATTGAAGTTTCCAATTTCATTTTGTACCTTTTTATTTATTTCATATTTTCCTAAACTTATCTACTTCATCTATGCTTTCAAATGTATTGGTGCTTAATAATGTCCATTGTGCCTCTCTTTCTGTTTATCCAATCTGCAGTTGTATAACTTCATCTGCTCTCTTAAATTCATCATTCTTATTTGAAGTTTGTGTATCTTATTAATCTATTCATTAAACCAGCTTTTATCTTTGTTTGTTTTAAGATGGAGTCTCGCTCTGAAGATGGAGTCTTGCTCTGTCATCCAGGCTGGAGTGCAGTTGCATGATCTCAGCTCACTGCAACCTCTGCCTCCCAGGTCCAAGCGATTCTCCTGCCTCAGCCTCCTGTGTAGCTGGGATTACAGGCATATGCCACCATGCCCGGCTAATTTTTGTATTTTTAGTAGAGATGGGGTTTCACTATGTTGGTCAGGCTGGTCTTGAACTCCTGACCTCAGGTGATCCACCCACTTCAGCCTCCCAAAGTGCTGGGATTACAGGTGTGAGACACCACGCCCAGCCCAGCTTTTGCTTTCAATAGTCTTTTTATTGGTTTTTGTGTACATGACTTCCTTGATTTTTGAGCATTTATTATTTCTGTATTTCGTATTCCTTTGGTTTAACCTGCTCCTTGAATAAACTTCTTAGCTCACTTGTTTCCAATTTTTCTTAAATGTATTTAAATTATAAATATTTTCTAAATACTCTTCTAGACGTACTCTAACATTTCTGAATAACTTGTGATTCAGGTTTAACTATTTTGTAACTTCTTACACTATTTTCTCTTTAACCCCAAATTTACTTAGTATTGTGGGGTTTTCTTTATTTTTGTTTTTAATATTCAGAAAAAGTTTGAGCTCTCTTTTCTTTTTGATTTCTAATTTTATTGCATATCTTCAAAGAGCAATAGATCTGTGCTGTCCAAAATGGCAGCCAATATAGCCATGTGTGTACCAACCACTTGAAGTGTGCCTAGTCTGAATTGAGAAGCATTGTAAGTGTAAAAAAACACCTCCAAATTATGAAGACAGTGCAAACAATATAAAGTATCTTATTGATAAGTTTGATATTGATTACAAGCTAAAATAAAATATATTGGATATGTTGGGTTAAACAAATATGTTTATGTAATTAATTTCACCTCTTTTAAAAGTTTTTAAAATAGAGCAACTAGGCCGGGCGCGGTGGCTCACGCCTGTAATCCCAGCACTTTGGGAGGCCGAGGCGGGTGGATCATGAGGGCAGGAGATCGAGACCATCCTGGCTAACACAGTGAAACACCGTCTCTACTAAAAAATAGAAAAAATTAGCCAGGCGTGGTGGCGGGTGCCTGTAGTCCCAGCTACTCGGGAGGCTGAGGCAGGAGAATGTCAACAACCTGGGAGGCGGAGCTTGCAGTGAGCCGAGATCATGCCACTGCACTCCAGCCCAGGTGACAGAGCGAGACTCCGTCTCAAAAAAAAAAAAAAAATAGAGCGACTAAAAATTAAAATTACATATGTGGCTTACATTATATTTCTCTCTATATATAGTGGTATTGATGCATGTGAATTATTTTAAATCTCACTGAAGAATCATCTGTATTTTAGCATATGGTCAACTTCCCTGAATAATGCATGCGTGCTAGAAAAGAATGTATATTCTCTGTTTGTTGCATGTAAAGTTGCATGTAGACCTATTATCTTGAGATTCATAATCCTGTTATTGAAACTCCTAAAGCTCTCCTTCCTTTTATCTTCTTGATATATTGGTTTTTCAGAGGATTATGTAAAATTTTCCGACTATAGTTATTGATTTTTCTTTCAGTCGTTATACCTTCTTGATCTCACATTCCTTTTATAAGTTTATAATGTGTCCAGACAAGGTGTTGTAGATTTATTTTTCCTCGTTCCTTCCTGCTGATTACTATGAACACTAGAAATAACAAACAAGAACTCTGACAGGTAGGAAAAGGAAATTGGACTGGGTAGACAGGGACCCCAGGACTGGAGGAACATCATGTTAGTGGGGCATCTTATAACTCCAAGCCTAGCAATAGAAGATGGCCCACGTAGACTTATTCCTCCCCCTGTGGAACAAGGGCCCCACTAACAACACCAGGTAAGCCTGGAGGGATTGATTGGAAACCCCACTAACCATAAGCAGCCAGAGGGGATCCCATCAGGCCTGAGACTCTCCTCTCCCATCTAGAGCAACAGGTGGTTGGGCAGTACCATCACAGGGGACCTGCCACAGCAATCAGAAGCCCAATCAGACCTGGGAATTCCTATTCTCCCACCCGAAACACACAGACACACAGACACACACACACACACACACACACACACACACACACACCCCTAGAGACACCAGGTGGTTGGTTAGTACAGGCAGGTGGAAATCCCACCGTATAGAGATAGAGGACTCCACACAGGAAGCACTCTACTTCCATATGGACTGAAGATTCCCTTTCCCCACCTTGGCCCAGACTGGGCAACCTCTTTCCACTCATTCAGGCAACACCAGCAGGGATCAGTAGATAACCCAGAGCGGACCAAAATAGTGACACAAAGGTTCTGAAGACTAAATAGTCACTGGAAGCACAGCCCACCACAAAAAGTAGACCAAGGCCTGTATACTATATACTAAACCTAAATAAATCTTCTAAAAAATGAAAGATTTAAATAGAACCCAAAGTGTCTTAATATCCAGAAATCAATCCAAAATTACCCATCATCCCAAGAAATAGGAATATCACAACTTGAAAGACAAAAGACAATCAACTAATGCTTATACTGAGAAGAATCAGATTCTGGAATCATCTTGTCATGAGGTAAACCCTCATAAAAAACAGTTTCAGTAAGAAATTACAAATTTTCTTTTTTTTTTTTTTTTTTTTTTTTTTTTTTTTTTTTTTTTTTTTTTTTTTTTTTTGAGACGGAGTCTCGCTCTGTCGCCCAGGCTGGAGTGCAGTGGCGCGATCTCGGCTCACTGCAAGCTCCGCCTCCCGGGTTCACGCCATTCTCCTGCCTCAGCCTCCCGAGTAGCTGGGACTACAGGCGCCCGCCACCACGCCCGGCTAATTTTTTGTATTTTTAGTAGAGACGGGGTTTCACCGTGTTAGCCAGGATGGTCTCGATCTCCTGACCTCGTGATCCGCCCGCCTCGGCCTCCCAAAGTGCTGGGATTACAGGCGTGAGCCACCGCGCCCGGCCACAAATTTTCTTAAAACTGATGAAAAAATAAAAAATCTTAGCAAAGAAATACGTTATAAAAAAAGAACCAAAATAAAATTATGAAATTAAAAATATACAATTACTAAAATATTTAAAACTCACTGGATGGGCTTGATAGTAGAGTGGAGATGACAAATAATAGAACCAGGGAACTTGAGGAGAGATCACTGTAATTTACCCAGTCTGAACAACAAAAAGAAAATGGACTAAAAATAAATGAACACAGCCTCTGGACCTTTCTTTGGGACAATGACACAAGATCCAGGAATCTTAACATCAGAGTCCCAGGAGAGAAAAAAAAGAGTAGGACTGAGAATATTTAAAGAAATAGCAGAATATAATTTCCCAAATCTGGTTTACGTTCCAAATTATGAAAGACATATACTTACAGATTCAAGAAGCTGAACGAACCCCAAATAAAGTCAAATAAATTCCTACCAAGACACATCATAATTAAAATGCTGCAAACTAAAGATAAAACAACTATTAACAGCAGCAGACAGAAATGTTTCCATTACATCCAGGGGAACACCAATTTGATGACACCAGGTTTCATGTTTGAAATCATGAAGGCCAGAAACAAATAACACATTCTTTAAGTGCTGTCAACTCGAAGAAAAAAAGAAAAGGAACTGCAAACTGTGAATTGTATCCAGTGAAATTATCCTTCAGGAATGAAAAGGAAATCCAATCATTCTCAAATGTATGCAAACTACAAGAATTTGTCGCTATCAGATTTAGCCTTAAGGAATGGTTAAAGGAATTTCTCTAAACAAAAAGAATATAATAAATGAAAGTATCATGGAGTATCAGGAAGCAAGGAAGGAACAATAGAAAAAGTAAAAATAAGGTCAAATACAATAGGTCATACCTCTTCTCAAATTTTACAAAATAATGTCCATTTTTTGTCCATTATAATGTTTTTTTAATCTTGAGTTTAATTTTTTTTTTTTTTTTGAGATGGAGTTTCGCTCTGTTGCCTAGGCTGGAGTGCAGTGGTGCAATCTCGGCTCACTGCAACCTCCGCCTCCCAGGTTCAAGCAATTCTCCTGCCTCAGCCTCCCAAGTAGCTGGGACTATAGGCACCCACCACCACGCCCAGCTAATTTTTGTATTTTTAGTAGAGATGGGGTTTCACTATGTTGGCCAGGCTGGTCTCGAACTCCTGACCTTGTGATCCTCCCACCTCAGCCTCTCAAAGTGCTGGGATTACAGTTGTGAGCCACTGCACCCAACCAAATTTAATTTTATTAATAATAACATTGTTATCTGGCTATTTTTTGTTCATATTAGCCTGGTTTATATTTAGTAATAACTTGGATTTTAATATTTTTGTTTTGCTTGAATTCCAATGTACGTTTTGAAAAAAAATATTGCTGCATTTTGTTTTTTTTACTTATTAGTTTTTTTTTTTTTTTTTTTTTTTTTTTTTTTTTGAGATAGAGTCTCGCTCTGTCACCAGGCTGGAGTGCAGTGGCACCATCTCAGCTCACTGCAACCTCCACCTCCCAGGTTCAAGTGATTCTCCTGCCTCAGCTTCCTGAGTAGCTGGGGACTACAGGCGCCCACCACCATGCCTGGCTAATTTTTGTATTTTTAGTAGAGACAGGGTTTCACTATGTTGGCCAGGATGGTCTTGATCTCTTGATCTTGTGATCCACCCTCCTCGGCCTCCCAAAGTGCTGGGGTTACAGGCGTGAGCCACCGTGTCTGGCCCTACTTACTAGTTTTTAATCCAAATGGAGATTCTCAGCCTTTTGATAGATAAGTTTGACCCATTTACATTTATCGTGATAAATTATATAATAGGTCTTATTTTGTGTTTTCTTTTCTTTTTTTGACACAGGGTTGTGTTTTCTCTTTTCCATACTTTCTGTTTCTTCTATTCCTCTTCTCTCAGTTTCCATGGAATAATCACTTCTTTTCTTTTTTTTTTTTTTTTTTTCTGAGATGGAGTTTTGCTCTTGTTGCCCAGGCCGGAGTGCAACGGCGCGATCTCGGCTCACTGCAACCTCTGCCTCCCAGGTTCAAGTGATTCTCCTGTCTCAGCCTTCCAAGTAGCTGGGATTACAGGCATGCAACACCATGCCTGGCTAGTTTTGCATTTTTAGTAGAGACGGGGTTTCTGCATGTTGGTCAGGCTGGTCTCAAACTCCCAACCTCAGGTGATACACCTGCCTTGGCCTCCCAAAGTGCTGGGATTACAGGCGTGAGCCATGCACCGGCCAGTCACTTTGAATATTTTACATCCTATTTTTATTCTCCTGGTGCTTGTACCTAATTTATTAAAACCCACACCTATGTTTCTTCCCCACCTCCCATCCATTTTTTATGGTTGTGAATGTGTATTTTTTTATGCTGATCAGCCCAGGGTACTATATACAGCAAAACTATTTTTTCTTTCTTTTCTTTTCTTTTTTTTTTTTTTTGAGACAGAGTCTCACTCTGTTGGCCAGGATGGAGTGCAGTGGCATGATCTCAGCTCACTGCAACCTCCGCCTCCTGGGCTCAAGCAATTCTCCTGCCTCAGCCTCCTGAGTAGCTGGGATTACAGGTGTGTGCTACCATGCCCGGCTAATTTTTGTATTTTTAGTAGAGATGGGGTTTCACCATGTTGGCCAGGCTGGTCTCAAACTCCTGACCTCAGGTAATCCGCCTACCTCAGCCTCCCAAAGTGCTGGGATTACAGGCGTGAGCCACCACACCCAGCCTTTTTTTTTCTTTTGAGACGGAGTCTCGCTCTATCTCCCAGGCTGGAGTGCAGTGGCATGATCTTGGCTCTCTGCAGCCTCCCCCTCCCAGGTTCAAGCGATTCTCCTGCCTCAGCCTCCTGAGTAGCTGCGATTACAGGTGCACGCCACTATGCCCAGATAGTTTTTTTTTTGTTCTGTTTTTTGTTTGTTTATTATCATTATTATTTTGAGACAGAGTCTCACTCTGTCACCCAGGCTGGAGTGCAGTGGCACAATCTGGGCTCACTGCAACCTCCGCCTCCCGGGTTCAAGCAATTCTCCTGCCTCAGCCTCCCGAGTAGCTGGGATTACAGGCATGTGCCACCATGCCTGGCTAATTTTTGTATTTTTAGTAGAGACAGGGTTTTGCCACGTTGGTCAGGCTGATCTTAAACTCCTGACCTTAAGTGATCCACCCACCTCGGCCTCCCAAAGTGCTGGGATTACGTGAGCCACTGCACCTGGCCAATGTTTTCTTTTTTGTATTTTTAGTAGAGATGGAGTTTCACCATATTGGCCAGGCTGGTCTTGAACTCGTGACCTCAAGTGATCCACCCATCTTAACCTCCCAAAATGCTGGGATTATAGGCGTGAGCCACCACACCCGGCCTAAAAACTGAAAATAGAACTACCATATGATTCAGCAATCCCATGACTGAGTGTTTATCCAAAGGAAAGGAAATGAGTATATCACAGGGATACCTGCACTTCCATGTTTATTGCAGCCATATTCACAATAGCAACTTAAGTGTCCATCAATGGATGACTGGATAAAGAAAATGTGGTATATATACATAATGCAACACTATTTGGCCATAATAAAAAATGAAATACTATCATTTGCAGCAAGATGGATGTAACTGAAGGTCATCATGTTAAGTGAAATAAGCCAGGCATAAAAAGACAAGTACTGCATGTTCTCAGTCACATGTGGCAGCCAACAAAGTTCATCTTATGGAGGTAGAGAATAGAATGATGATTACCAGAGGCTGGGAAGGGTGTGGAGGGTGATGAAAAGGGGTTGATTAACAGGTACAAACACACAGTTAGATAGAAAGAATAAGAATCTTTAATAACGCAGTTAACAACAATATATTGTATATTTTAAAATCACTAGAAAAGAACATTTCAAATTTCCCCAACACAAAGAAATGATAAATGTTGAAGGTGATGGATATCCCAAATGCCCTGACTTGATTATTATATGTACTATGCATGTATCAAAATATCACATGTACCCCATAAATATGTACAAATATTATTTATCAATATTACATTTTCTTCTTGTAACCAGTCCTGCTATTGACAAATCAGATTTATTTATTTAATTATTATTTGTTGAGAAGCCACAAAATGCCAGGCACTGTTTTTTTTTTTCACGTTGATACCTTTTATTCTTCTCAACAATCAAAATACAAAGTTAAACACAATTGAGCCATTGTTTTGGTTATGCATAATGTGTATGCCTCCAAAAACAGAAGAAAAATAGGAAGAAGTACCCTCACTAAAGGTTCCCTGACTCGTCTTCCGGCAGATCCAACGAAGGGAGACTCAGGAAAATCACAGTTAGAAAGCTGCCCAATGAGGTATTTATGCAAAAAGAGTGTTCTGGAATTAAGAACATACTTTTATATTCCTGTATTTCTCAAAGAGATCAGAAAAGTAAATCACACACATTGAATTTTATTATTTTCCAAAAGAGGCCTCTGCCCCTTTAGAAAAATGAAATGAGGGGAGACAGCCCACGGTGGGGGTTTTAATTGGAAGAAGTCCTCGGCCAGAAACAGTCCTGAATGTTTAACCTCTGCCTTTCAGGAAAGAGGTCTGAATTTTATCATCTGGGGGGTGGGATGAAGGTCGGGGACTGAGCTGGAGGTCTTTAGGCTTGGTCAGGTGACAACACAAATCAACGTGTCGCTCAGGCTCCATAGCTGCTGGATGGCTTTTAGGGTGTCAGATGTTTGGGGAGACGGAGGGAACAGAGCACTGCAAAGATACTTTATTCCTATCTACTGGGAAAAATATGCTGGAAGTATTCAGCTTCAGGTCATGAATTCGACCTGCTGTAGAGGTGTAGGGTTTTTTTTTTTGTTTTTTTTTTTTTGAGACGGGGTCTCACTCTGTCCCCAGGCTGGAGTGCAGTGGCGCGATCTCAGCTCACTGCAAGCTCTGCCTCCCGGGTTCACGCCATTCTCCTGCCTCAGCCTTCCGAGTAGCTGGGACTACAGGCGCCTGCCACCACGCCCGGCTAATATTTTGTATTTTTAGTAGAGACGGGGTTTCACCATGTTAGCCAGGATGGTCTCGATCTCCTGACCTTGTGATCCGCCCGCCTCAGCCTCCCAAAGTGCTGGGATTACAGGCGTGAGCCACTGCACCCGGCCGAGGTTTAGGTTTTTTCAGGTTCTCTCATCAGCAACCCACTGGAAGGTAAGTGTGGGGAATGCACCAGTTAGTTCCCACTGTCCGGGCTGATGGAGATCTGACACTACCTGGTACTATTCCAGGCACTGTTTTTAACACTGAGGATTTTTTTTAATTGTGATTGTTTTCTTTTGTAGGTGATCTATGTTTTGTTTCTGGAAGGCTTTAGAATTTCTTCGTTAGATTTCACCGTAATATGTGGTGTCTTTTCATAATTTTGTTTGACTCTCTATGAATAATTTCACTATGAAGTCTTTAATTTTTTATTTTTCCATAATTCTTGATTATTTCTTAAAATAGTTCCTCCTCTCTGTTTTTCTTTCCTTCTGGATTCTCATAAAGTCTAGTCAGGCTCCATACTGCTTAATATTTCTTTCGTATTTTTCAACTTTTTCTCCCTTCCTGATATCTTCTGGAAGTGTAGAGTTCCCTAGCCTGATATTGCAGCTTCACTAGAATATTCTAGATATTCACTTTTCAATTTTACACATTCTGCTATCCAATCTAGTATTAACCATCATATTTTGACACACAGTTTCGTTGTTTTTATTTTTATGACAAGTTCTTGCTTGATATTTCCTGTATCCTCCTTTATCATTCTTAGGATAGCTTTTTAAAAGTACGTGTACAGGCCACACACCTCCTAGGACCAACTGTAGCCATTTGTCTTCCTGTGGGTTTCAAATCAACTTTTCAATAGTTGCTCAATCCAACAATTTTCCCTCTTCCAGACAATTCCCAGATTGGATTTTGACAAAGAAGATCCTCTTTTATGTTAGAAAGTGGAATTAAATTTTCCTGCATAACAATATGACCACATACTCAGTGGTCCAAAATAGCACACGTTTATTATCTCATAGTTTCTATGGGTGAGAGTCTGAGCACAGCTTAAGTGAGTCCTTTGCAGCCAGCTATCAAGATGTCAGGCAAGACAGGGTTCTCATGGGAAGGCTCTACAAAGAATGATTCACTTCCAAGCACACAGAGCTGTCCAAAGGGTTCAGCTCCTTGCAGGTTGTGGGACCAAGGGCCTTCGGTTCTTGCAGGCTATTGGCTGGAGGCCATCCTCAGTTCCTTGTCATATGGGCCTCCCCAACATCACCACCACTTCATCAAAGCCAGCAAGAGAGGAGTCTCCTAGCAAGACACACGTTAGACTTTTATGTCACCTTTATTGCACTGTATTGGTTAGAAGCAAGTCCCAGTCCATACACAAGAGGGGATTGCACAAAGGTGTAACTACCAGGTGGCTGAGATAACGGGAGTTACAAATCCCTTCTGGGAGCTGGAAATCATCTTTCCTTGAAGTTTCTAAAAGCCACTGAACGGTTTGAAGCACTAAAGTAATAGCATATTCTTGTTTTAGAAAGAGCACTAGCCAGAAAGTGTCGAGAACAGATTGGTGGTAGAGAAAACCTTAGTTAGGGAATCCAGTTACCAGGCTGCAACGGCAATCCTAGTGAAATGGTGGTGGCCCCAACTAAGGTAATGCTACTGGGAATAGAGAAAGATGGAAACAATTGAGTTATTTAAGATATAATGAATAGGACTTGGTGATAAATAGATGGTGAGATCAAAGAGTTAAGAATATTCAGGCTCTGGTTTGTGCAAATGAGTGAGTGGGCAGTAATGTCATTCACTGAGAAAAGGAGGGCAGTCTAGACACGAAGCTGGAGGTGGATGGGTTAGTCCTCTAACAGAATTGGAGAGACTGAATAACCCTCCCTTGAAAGAACCACCTTTTATGCTACGTTTAAACTAATGCTTATGTCTGCAAAGAACCTATTGCTTAAATTTGTTACAACAGGTTCAATCTTTTCAACTCGTTTTAAATACATGAATTTTAGGATTACAAGTAGTCTGTGGATACAGGAACATCTGACTGAGTGTACAAAGAGGGACCTGCTCTTCCTAAAAACATCCTTCGTATGTTTTGAAAGCAAAAGGATGAGTTCTGGGCGCACAAAATATGGATAAAAGCTATGTATTTTAACGTATCTTACACCGGAGTAATTTGGGTTGAACTCAGCAGCCCTAAGCACTGTGCCACAGGAACTTGTGCAGACAAAGCGCGGGGACGGACCCTGACTCCGGTCCGCGTCTCCGCTGCTCCCTCCCTCCCTTGCCCTGAGGATTAGACACAGGAGATGCTGCCTCATACTCTCGCGAGACGGACGGAGCTCTTCGATCGGCCGATTCTCCCAACCTCACCATGGGTGCTCCCACCTGCGGAGAACCGGAGTCTGGCGATGCCAAGGCGCTTCTGGGAATTGTAGTTCCGGGCGGAATGAGAGCAGCACGCCTGGCTCCGCTCCTTCTTACTCATGCGCGACTCCGAGCTGGCCAAAGAAGTTCGTCCCCTTTGTGAGGCCCGGGATGGGAGGTGAGTTGCTTGTGGTGATGTCTCTCGTCTCGGCTCGGCCTCGGCGGTAGTTCCCCGGGTCGTTCTGTGCCGAGTCGGGGCTAGAGTGCGCGTTTGTTAAAGGGGCCTCGAGGGCAGACCATGAGCCCTGTCCCTTCTCACTCTGGCCTGATCCTCTCCTCGGGGGACGCGGTTGTGCCACGGGCGGGGTGGTCGCGGGGTCCTGGGCCAGTGCCCCGAGCGCGGCAGAATTTGTCCAAACTCCTGATGCCCCAGCGTCACCTCTTCCAGGCGCCCGGTTCCCCCAGGGACAGCTTCAAGCGGTAGGGACAGACATCTGAGGACCCAGCCTCAGGGATGCTGTCCCCGGGCTTCCAGGCTCCAGCGCCGTAGGACTGAGGCAGACTCCACGGTGAGAAAGAGACCCGATCTAACCCAGGCCTTTCATCAGAGCCCAGGAGGGAAGGCAGGAAGTGGGACCACGAGGCCCGGGGGGCTTCTAACTCGTCTGGCCAGGGAGATCTGAATTGGGGTGAAGAGCAGAATCTCCAGAACAAGGAGGAGGTGGTGATCATGGAGACAGATTTGGCTGAAATGCCTGAGAAAGGAGGTGAGAATTGCGGACGTGTTGAACTTGTAGCGTGGAAGGACGAAATTCCTGCTCCTGAAGGGAAAACGGTTGGCTCAGGGGAGGTGGCTCTTGGCTGGCTGTCTCCATTGTCTTGGGGATGGATGGGCTTTTTAAGTGAGACTGAAGAGCTTGGTATGGGAGCACCGCCCTTTCCATGGCAGCTGGGCACACAGTGGACCCTTCAAAGCTACCCCCAAAATGTGAGTGAAATGTTAACTTCTATGGCAAGAATTCACCTCTTTGGTTGTCAAAAATGTTTTGTTTTACATAGGAGAAAACAGGCGTAGTAGTTAATGACTGACTTCCATTCTACCTGACCAGTTTCGTGAAGGTTGTGCTGTGACCTCCTACACCAGAATTCCCCCTGGGGTGGTTGTTAGATTTCTGGATTGTACCCCAGGCTCAACTAATGCTTATTACTTTGAGGTGGGGTCCAGCAATCTACATTATAAATAAGCTTTCAGAGTGAGAACCAACGAGTATAGATTAAGCTGGGAAATTTACTGACATATTCTAATTTCTAGATCAGAGGATGCCATCTTACAGAATGTGTTATGATTATAGCAACTGAATTCGAGCCCAGAGTAGCAATATTCCCGCATATCCCGGGAAGAGGGTCCTGGGAGGAGGTCGGTTGTTTTGGGGGTACCTTCAGTCTCAGTGTTTGTAGGCAGCACATATAGTATGTTGAAGCGGTTTTTAGACTTTAAATCTGAGTGGCACATTAAGCCTAGGTCTCATCATTACTGCTTTCTTGTCGTTAGTTCTGTCTTCCCAGGATTCTCCCCATTTCCAAGAGAAGAGCACAGAAGAGGGAGAAGTGGCTGCTCTGCGCCTCACGGCCAGATCCCAGGTGAGTGAGTCTGCTGATTATTGGAATTACACCTTGTTTCTTAGAGTACAGATGCACTCCCTTCTTTGTGATGTGGAGTTTCTTTATCCACTAAAGCCCATCTGCAGAGCTGAGTTCTAAATCTAAGAGACTAGTCAGGAGACTAATGGACTCAGAAGAAAATGTTTTCTACTTATAACACTGGATGGATTTCTTCCCTATTTAGTGTTTATTGTCCCTCAACAGATAGGTAAGCAGCATTTCCCTTTCTTAGCCTCCTATGCTCATTTCTGTGCTTGGTAATGTGAGAAACTATTTTAAATATAATGTGGCACATACCTCTTAAAACTTGTTTCTCTAGAGGAAACAGCATGTATGTGACTTTAAGTGGCAATCTAAGAAAGCACTTAAATGCTGAAGTGATTGTAAAAATAATAAATACTCACATAGTTCAAAGAAACACTGGAAAAGGAAAGCCTATGAAGGCGTAATTTAAAGAGTTACAGTTAGAATCCAGCCCTCTGAGATGACGAAAGCTAAGGTATGATCATGCCTGCAACTTACTTTTATATTGTTGGCCCCTCTCTCCCAAAAGGTAAATATGACAAATATTACGAATGTTTGGCTGGGCGTGGTGGCTCATGCCCGTAATTCCAGCACTTTGGGAGGCCAAGGCAGGTAGATGACTAGGTCAGGAGATTGAGACCATCCTGGCTAACACGGTGAAACCTCGTCTCTACTAAAAACACAAAAAATTAGCCAGGCATGGTGGCACGCACCTGTAGTCCCAGCTAGTCTGGAGGCTGAGGCAGGAGAATCACTTGAACCTAGGAGGTGGAGGTTGCAGTAAGCCGAGATCGCACCACTGCATTCCGGCCTGGGCAATGAGGGAAACTCTGTCTCAAAAAAAAAAAAAAGAATTTTTGAATTTAGGCGGTGATTGTACTATATCAGTGATTATTGCATTCATCTTTCAACTTTTGTATGTTTGAAACTTTTATTAAAAGAAGTTAGGGCTGGGCACGGTGGCTCATGCCTGTAATCCCAGCACTTTGAGAGGCTAAGGCGGGCAGATCACCTGAGGTCAGGAGTTCAAGACCAGCCTGACCAACATGGTGAAACCTCGTCTTTACTTAAAATACAAAAATTAGCTGGGCGTGGTGGCGCGCACTTGTAATCCCAGCCACTCCGTAGACTGAGGCATGAGAATCACTTGAACCCAGGAGGCAGAGGTTGCAGTGAGCCCAGATAGGGCTACTGCACTCCAGCCTGGGTGAGAGTGAAACTGTCTCAAAAAAAAAAAAAAAAAGTTGAGGAGGAAAAAAGGAGCTTTCCATGATGTGTGTGGCATACCACAACCCAGAGATTCCTCAATCAGCCTTTCTCTTTGCTTCTGTAATCCAAAGTGTAAAAAGTAGATACTGCACATTCATAGTGTTTGTAAAAGTCACTTCCTTTATGTACTTGCCTGTCTCCATTGGCTTCTCAACTGTCTTACATTAGTCTTGAAGACTTTATTAGTCAAGAAGCTTTAAGTTGCAGCGGATAAAATCAATTCAAATGGGTCTAAGTGAAAAGAAGTAACTATTGACTAACAAACTGAAAAATCTAGGTCTGGCTACATATAGGGCTCAAACAAGAATGTTAAAACCTAATTCTTCATTTTACTGACCTTTGCTCTCCATGGGTTTTATGGCCAAACAAGTTTTTCTCCTAGTGTTGGCCTCTAACGAGTTTAGGCTTACATCTTCCTGTGTTGAAGGCCAGAGAAAAAGGGCAGATTCTCTTCTAGTCATTCTTGCAGAAGTGCTGGGATTGACTCTAATGGGGTATTAGGCCCATTCCTGGATGAGATATTGGCCAAATTTAAGTGTAATTCTTTATAGAATATACCTACACACACACACATTCACGTGCACGCACAAACATCCCACCCGTGAGTCAGAGATGGCGTCAGTACTACCTGAGCTACACAGATTCAAAGTGGCCAGGCATAGTAGCTAGGGGAAAATTAGGGCACTGGTACCAGAAGCGTGAATATATATTTCAATACTTTGATATCAGATTCAACACTGTTAACAGCATCAAGGTGATTGAACCTATTATGGAAAATTTTTAAAACTCTCTTTGTTCTTTTTGCATTTTATTAGATTTTTAAAATGCAATATTGGAGCTTTTTTTCTTGTTAGAATTTGCCTGGGCTATTTTTTACCTTTGATTTGTTAGATTTTTAAAAATATTAAAAGTTTTAGTTCTTCAATGTAATAAAGTGAACAACACAGACATACAGAAATGTAAAGGTAATGCTACTTCCCCCTCAAATTCAGTCCCTGCCTCTCTCTACTATGTATATTTTTTCACATTTTTTGTTGTACTTGCACTACTGTATTCAGACATATGGTATACTATATTTCCTTCCATCTACCCACCAGTACCCAACCCAGCAATAATATTTTGTTTTGATGGCCTATTCTGTATATAGGATGTGGCTTTTTAAAAAAACCTTTTTATAAGGGAAATTTGCTCATTCACATATAATACATGTGTTTCAAACTTTTCTTGCCATGTGATTTTTATAATTCTGTTTCCTGTGCTTTATTGTTTCCTCTTTTGTAGTTTTCCTGCTGTTTGTGCAATGGTTTGCATTTTTGTTGTTCTGGCTTTTTCTTCTAATTTTTGGGCACTTAATCTCCACTGAATGTTGATTTAGTTATGTATATGCAGATTCTAGGCTAAAGGTCATTTTTCCTCATAATGTCTTTTCTACTTAGGGGCTACTTAGTGATTTTTACATATTATTTTATCTTAAGGGAATAATTCTCTTCTTTCTTTTTTTTTTTTTTTTTTTTTGCTTTTCCAACTTTATTTAGAAAAACAAATCCAGGTCTCAGTGCCCCCTGTACCCTCCCCGACCCCAGCCATAATTTAAATAACTTAGAGACAGAGTTGGAGGGAGGGGACAGGAGAGGTTGGGGTCACGGTGGAAGGAGGAAGAGAGCCCACTACAGCCGCCGTAGCGCCCGCTTCTTGTCCGTCTTTTTCTTGGCCGCCAGCTTCTTATCGCGCTCGCCAGCATGCTTCTTGGCCATGGGACCCTCAGCCCCTCCCAAGCCCCCTGGGGCCCCAGAGTCGGTGGAGGAAGCTGCAGTGCCACTGGCCAGGGCCCGCCCGGCTTTGGCCCTGCCGCTGGGCCCGCCGGCGCCCCCGTGGATCTCTGTGAGCAGACGGGCCCGAGCCGCATACTCCTCGTAGTTCTCCAAGAGCAGGCGGCCCGCCTCCTCGTTGAGTGCAGACTCGGGGTTAGGGTGGATCAGCAGGCACTTGATGGTCAGCAGTACGTGTCGGATGCCCAGCTCAGCCGTCCAGTCCCTCTTGAGCACGTTGACGCACATCTCGCCATTGGCGCCCAAGTTCGGGTGGAAGATCTTGGTCAGGAAGTAGCCCTTGGGTGGGGAGGCAGGGAAGTCCTTCCCCAGCAGGAGTTTCATGCGGAACAGACCTTGTATACATACAAGTAGACTTGTTTTATCAGAGGATAGATACATACTCACTGTTGGTAGATAGTGCCAAAGAGGTTTCTAGAGTCATTGTACCAATTACATTCCCAGCAGCAGAATATGTGCGTTCTAGTTGTTCCACATGCTTGTCAACACTTAATATTGCTTGTTTTCATTTTAGCCATCCTTTTGAGGTGTGTGATATCTTTTATTTTTTAAGAAATAAAAATATTACATATTCAGTTAAAGCCCTTTTATTCTCAGCTGGGTGTGGTGACTCACGCCTGTAATCCCAGCACTTTGGGAGGCCAAGGTGGGTGGATCACCTGAGGTCAGAAGTTTGAGACCAGCCTGGCCAACATGGTGAAACCCCGTCTCTACTACAAATACAAAAAAATTAGCCGGGCATGGTGACAGGCACCTGTAATCCTAGCTACTTGGGAGGCTGAGGCAGGAGAATTGCTTGAACCCAGGAGGCAGAGGTTGCAGTGAGCCGAGATCATGCCATTGCCCTCCAGCCTGGGCGACAGAGGGAGACTGTGTCTCAAAAAAAAAAAACAAAAAGCAAAGAAAAGAAACCCTTTTATTCTCTTTCTCCCCTAGAAGTAACCATTATATCTTGAAATTGGTGTGAATCATTTCGGTGTTTGTGTATGTGTGTGTATACACAGAGATATATACATATGTATGTAAAACAATCTGTATGTTTTATTGTTACACTTTTTCTTATGTAGTCTGATTTTTTAAAGTTCACATTGTATTTTGATATTAATCTATGTTAATATATATGAATTATGTTTATTCATTTTAACTACTGTGGAGTCATAAGTCCACTGTATGAATAAACTGAACAGTTTATTTTTTTGCCATTAGTAGCAGTTGCAGTGATCATCCTTTTTTTGATTCCTTATGTTCATCTTGAGAGCTGGTTTAGGGAGATAACTGGAAGAAGAATTAGTAGGTCTTAAATCATCACATGTTTAGCTTTACTAGGAACTGCCAACAGTTGAGTTATCAGACTTGTTAATTTTTGTCAATCTGATGGATGCAAAATGATGTTTTAAAATTTTCATTTCTCTGAGTGATAAATACAAGTTTGAGCATTTCATGTTACTTGGCTATTCAAGTTTCTTGTGAGTTACCTGTTGATACCCTTTGCCTGTTTTTTGAGATTGGGCTGTTTATATCTTTTCTCTTGATTTGGTGGAGTTCTTCATGTATTTTAGGTACTAATCTATGACAGAAGTAGCATTGCAAGTCAGTGAGAAGAAATTGGTTCTTCTAATCTTTGGCTTATTTTATTTTCTGGTGTGTTAGGCATATAGAATTAAACATTTTTAATAACAAATTTTTTTTTAAATATTGCTTTTTGTGAATTGTCTATCTACTTTATCCCAGTGTCAGAAAGATTATTTTATTCCAAAATGTTCAATTTTGTTTTACAGGTATTTATTTTTGTATATGATGAAATGGGAAAACTAATTTTGTCTTTTTCCGTGCTGAAAGCCAATAAGTCCAGCATTGTTCATGGAATAATTTTATGTTACTGATTTGTAATGCTACCTGTGGTAAACCCAGTTCCTCAGCATACTTAGTTCTGTTTCTTGTCTCTCTGGTTTACTTGTCTGTCTATGTCTAATACCAGACTGTTTTATTTACTATACTTAGTATTATATATAGCTCATAAAGAAAATCCTTCCTGGATATTATTATTTTTAAAAAAGTTATACTTTTGAATATTGAAACAGTTTAAAAGTCTTTCCCTGTGATTATGGATATATCTGTTTCACCTCAGAGACCTATCAGTTTCTGTGACTTACCACTCACCACCCATCTCCCTTTTTTGGGGTATTGCAGTTTTCATAGTGATCTGTTAAGAGGTCCTTATATATGAGGTTTTTACCTTTTCTTATGTTACAGATATTTTTTGTAGTTTTTGACTTTCAGTTTTGCTATGCATTTTGATGTACAAGTTTAATTTTTTATAATCTTTTTTTTTCTGCCTTTTCAGTGCTGCTTAAAATGTGTTTCATTAATCCAAGGTTACATATATATTTGCCTCTGTTTACTAGTGTATTCTTTAATTTTTTCTTTAGGTTCTTAATCCATTTGGAATTACTTCTTACTTCTCTGAGTGTATCTTCTTAGCCTTCTTTTTTGAACAATTAAATATTCTAATTACTCAAAATTTGATTTTAATCTCCCTTCCTTTTGTATACCTGGAGTCATAAACTTGAGTACTTACATGGGCCAGGAGGTAATATCACTGAGTTAAGCAAGCAAAGTGGAAACTGGTGAACCAGAGGAGTACAGGCCTCAACTGAAAGGAGTAGCTCTAGCTCAATGGCTGGCAAGCTTTTTATGTAAATGGCTAGACAGTAAATAATTACGCTTTGTGGGACATGGTGTCTCTGCAGCCATTCGATCTTCCACAGTAGTATGAAAGCAGCCCTAGAAAATGCATACATGAATGGGTATGTTCCAGTAAAAATTTATTTAGCAAAGTAGGCAGCAGGCTGTAGTTGCCAATCCCTGCTCTAAATGGTGGTTGTCGTTCAGTACACTTCCAGTTTTTTTCAAGAGAGAAACCCTAAATTTGCATTTGTCTGTAATCTCCCCCCCCCCTTTTTTTTTTTTTTGAGATGGAGTCTCGCTTTGTTTCCCAGGCTGGAGTGCAGTGGTGCGATCTTGGCTCACTGCAAGCTCTGCCTCCTGGGTTCACGCCATTCTCCTGCCTCGGCCTCCTGAGTAGCTGGGACTACAGGTGCCCGCCACCACACCCGGCTAATTTTTTTGTATTTTTAGTAGAGATGGGGTTTCACCGTGTTAGCCAGGATGATCTCGATCTCCTGACCTCGTGATCCGCCCTCCTTGGCCTCCCAAAGTGCTGGGATTACAGGCGTGAGCCACTGCGTCCAGCAATAATCTCCCTATTTTTAACTGTGTATAACTAGTTTTAAAAGTTTGTATAAAAAGTGTGGCCCAAAGAAAATGTGTCTAAGGTCTGATTTGGCCAACTGATCAACTGTTTGCAGCCTCTACTTACTACTTCATTAGTCTCATCATTCCCACAACCAGTTACCTTCTATCAAGATGAGTCCCAAATTGGTATTTCCATCCTAGAGCTCTCCTCAGGGCTGTTCTCAACATCTTAACTATTTGATTCCTTTGTTTGCTTATGTCAACGATACTTCAATACAACATGTTTAAAACTGAATGTCTAAAATAAGTCTAAATTTCCCATCTCCCCAACAACATCCTTTTCCAGTAATTGTTTTAATGGTACTTATTGTCATCAAATTGTACGTGGTGGAAATCTACGCACAGTCTTTACATCACCCCCTCTCTCCTTTATCCATCACTGTATTTACCTAATTATATTCTAAGTATTTCTTCACTGTTAATTTTCCTTCATATATTTTTTGTTTTCCTGGATTACTGTGATAATCTTTGTGATTCCGCCTTTGCCCTCATATACTTCATTCTCAACATTGTAGTGAGACTGATATTTTCATAATCAAATCTCGTCTTGTCATCACTCTGCTTGGAACATTTGAATGGCTTCTCGCTGCCTTCACGGTAACAGACAAAATCCTGGAGGTCTACAAAATCTTGTGAAATCTGGCTTTTACTCATTATCCCAACCTCATTTCACAACTACTCTTCTTCCATCTCTGTGCTCTAGTGTAGCAGTTCTGAATGCTTTGGCATCAGAGGACCTACTGTAACTATAAAAATTGTTAAAGACCCTAAAGATGTTTCATTTATGTAGGTTATATCTACCAATAGTTACTATACTACAAGTTAAAACAGAAAAATTTCAAGCTATTAGCTAATTCATTTAAAAATAATTGGCCGGATGTGGTGGTCCACACTTGTAATCCCAGTGCCTTGGGAGGCCAAGGTGGGTGGGTCGATTGAGCCCAGGAGTTAGAGACCAGCCTGAGCAATAAAGTGAGACCCCATCTCTTAAAAGAAAAATAGAAATAAAAAATTATAAACATGTCATGTGTTAGCACAGTATATTTTTTTATTAAAAAACATTATTTTCTTTAAACAAAAAGTGTTATTAAGAAGTATGGTCTCCTGTTCCTGGGAGGCGGGCGCGGCAAGACTGGGAGGTGGCGGCAGCGGGCGAGGACTCGCCGAGGACGGGGCTCCGGCCGGGGATAACCAACTCTCCTTCTCTCTTCTCTCGTGCTTCCCCAGGCGGCGGCGGCGGCGGCGGCGCCCGGGAGCCGGAGCCTTCGCGGCGTCCACGTCCCTCCCCCGCTGCACCCCGCCCCGGCGCGAGAGGAGAGCGCGAGAACCCCAGCCGCGGCCGGGCGGGCGGCG